>NC_000023.11:18804154-19107184 GCF_000001405.40 Homo sapiens
GCCTAGAAGCCCATGAGAAGATGTCTTCTCTAGTACCAAACAGAAACCAGAGAAGGCGAGCTTCATCTAGGTTGTTTGAAGGGGCCTCACTGTCCCTTATCCTAAAAGATATTTGGTTTATTTCCCTGATCTTCCCTAATCCCAGAAACAGAAATTCTTTTTTTTTTTTTGAGATGGAGTCTCACTCTGCCACCCAGGTTGGAGTGCAGTGGTGTGATCTCAGCTCACTGCAACCTCCGCCTCCCGGGTTCAAGTGATTCTCGTGCCTCAGCCACCCAAGTAGCTGGGATTACAGGTGTGCGCCACCACACCCAGCTAATTTTTGTATTTTTAGTAGAGACAGGGTTTCACCATGTTAGCCAGACTGGTCTCAAACTCCTGACCTCAGGTGATCCGCCTGCCTCGGCTTCCCAAAGTGCTGGGATTACAGTCGTGAGCCACCGCGCCTGGCCCCAGAAACAGAAATTCTGATACATGGCACTAAGTAGACACACAGAAAGGCTTGGTTCTTATAAGGCAACTGTCCCATACAGTGGGGTTGAGAATGTCCTTTTCCTCACAGAGCGCATAAAAGGCAGCAGTGAATCCAGTTTGCTCTTGCACTTTTTACATGTTCCCTGTGCAGGGCCCAAAACACAAAACACACTTCCCTTCAGCTCCCTGAGTAGGTGACCTCCAGCAAGTTGCTCACTGTAGTCAGTTTAGCTGCAGCCACTAAAACGGAGTGTGTTGTGTTCCTTCAGTGGTGTCTGATCAAAGGCTAAAAGAGGTGAGGACCGAGGAGCTGGTTTCTTGTCCCAAGTTGTTCTGGGATGCACCGTTTCTTTTTTTTTTCTTTTTTCTTTTTTTTGAGACAGAGTCTCGCTGTGTTGTCCAGGCTGGAGTGCAGTGGTGCAATCTCGGCTTACTGCAACCTCCGCCTCCCGAGTTCAAGTGATTCTCTTGCCTCATGCTCCCGAGAAGCTGGGATTACAGGCGCCCGCCACTACGTCCAGCTAATTTTTGAACTTTTAGTAGAGACAAGGTTTCATGATGGCCAGGCTGGTCTCAAACTCCTGACCTCAGGTGATCCACCTGCCTCAGCCTCCCAAAGTGCTGGGATTATAGGCATTAGCCACCGCGCCTGGCCTGGAATGCACCTTTTTCTATAGTGAACAGCAATAAATAAAAATGGACACCAAGTTGTGTGGCATTTCCCTCTGTGTCAGCACTTTGTTTTTCTGACCTTTATTAATTCATTTTCAGCTCATACTAACATTCCAAGATGAGTAAGGCAAGTATTGTTTAGGGTTTCTTTGTAGTAAGAAAATAGATAGAAAACATCAGTGGCTTGTCTGAAGTGACATGCTCATCAGGACAGAACGGGGCCTAAACCAGGTTCCCTGTCACCCACAAATATTGTCCTCCTGGCTGGGCACGGTGGCTCATGCCTGTAATCCCAGCACTTTGGGAGGCCAAGGCAGGTGGATCACGAGGTCAAGAGATCGAGACCATCCTGGTCAACATGGTAAGACCCTGTCTCTACTAAAAATACAAAAATTAGCTGGGCGTGGTGGCACACACCTGTAGTACCAGCTACTCGGGAGGCTGAGGCAGGAGAATTCCTGGAACCCAGGAGGTGGAGGTTGCAGTGAGGTGAGATCGTGCCATTGCATTCCATCATGGTGAGAGAGCGAGACTCCATCTTAAAAAAAAAAAAAAAAAAATTGTCCTCCCATATTCTACCACAGCCCAAGGCTAGTTCCTTCACAAGACAGTGGTCGTGGTCCCTTATTCTAGCCACTGCACCTCTGCCCTTAAAGCACTGACTTTCTGGGGCCCTGAACCCTCTAAATCACTCAGCTCCAAGCAGAAGAAAAAAACCGAAGTACCAGACAAATTTTGTTCTGAATGCTCAACTATTACAAGGCAAGAAAATAGGGGATTTATCCCCTTGGAAAAAGAATTTGCAAAATCAAACATTAAAGAGGATTCTGAGATTTGGCACTAAAATTGTACCCGAGAATGCAGGGCCATGCGCTGAGGACATTGGCTGAGTGGCCAGGAGTTAGTGCTGCTGGGGACACTGGGTAGTAGCCTTGTTTTCCTCCGATGCAGTCATAGAAATCACATCAGACTGTGATGATTTGCAGGGTTTATGAACCTTCTTTGATTTTTGCTTTTTAAGAATTGAGCTATTTCTGACCTTATTGAATGACCTTTTGAGAACTAATGTTACGTGAACCTGACCCTCTTTTTCTTTAACCAGGTGGTGACTATATTTTCTGCTTCTAATTATTATGAAGAAGGCAGCAATCGAGGAGCTTACATCAAACTATGTTCTGGTACAACTCCTCGATTTTTCCAGTACCAAGTAACTAAAGCAACGTGCTTTCAGCCTCTTCGCCAAAGGTGTGTATACTATACCGAGAGTGCTGAGCACTGGTATCACGGACCCATTAGAACCAGTCCCACGTGACTAAGAGCAGCCACGTGAGTGAAGAGAGTCATTTATAGCTTACTCATTAGTATCAACAAAATGTAAATAGTTCCAGACACCAAGTGGTGAATGCACCCATATTTGAAACCAAAAAGAGCAATTTTAAATTCATACATCTTTTTAGATGGATAAAGCAGTCAGCCCTCAGAAACGTAACTGAATGTAAAGAAAAGAAGATCCCCACACCCACTCAGTCCCCCAACCTACAACCTTCTCTGACCCACAAACAGCTCTATCTGGTCTTGCCCCTTTCTCTTCTCTATCCAGAAGTGTATGTGACAAATAGTTGAGTGTCTCTCTCCATGTGATGGCATTTGTAGCTTATACTCCTTTTCTCCCTTTAACATTATCTTTCTAAGTGTTTTTTTTGGTTTTTTTTTTGTTTGTTTTTTTTCATTTGTTTTTTGTTTTTTTGAGACGGAGTCTCGCTCTGCAGCCCAGGCTGGAGTGCAGTGGCGTGATCTCAGCTCCCTGCAACCTCTGCCTCCCAGGTTCAAGCTGTTCTCCTGCCTCAGCCTCCTGAGTAGCTGAGATTACAAGGGCCCGCCACAACACCTGGCTAACATTTTATATTTTTGGTAGAGACGGGGTTTCACCATGTTGGCCAGGCTGGTCTTGAACTCCTGACCTCATGTGATCTGCCTGCCTTGACCTCCCAAAGTACTGGGATTACAGGCATGAGCCACTGCGCCCGGTCTAAGATTTTTTACATTATAGAACTAACATGTTTGTTGTTAACAACTGAAAAAAAGCAAAGAAGAATAAAGAAATTGTTAACAACTTCTCTCCTTTCTCAATTATCCTTTTCCCCAGAGGTAACTAAAACTGGCAGTTTAGAATGGCCCCTTCCACCCTCTTCTTGCTCTTACAAAAATAGTCAAGCATTTATTCAGTCATTGAATTAAAAAAAACCTTTGAGTACCTGCCATGTGTCAGATACTATTCTAGGCATACATAATATAAGATAGGCTGAAGTCCCCTCATCAAACACATATCTCAGTGTGAAGAGAAAGACGATAAACAATGTACATACTTTTTTTTTTAAAGAAGGAGTCTTGCTCTGTTGCCCAGGCTGGAGTGCAGTGGCACGATCTTGGCTCACTGCAACCTCCACCTACTGGGTTCAAGTGATTCTCCTGTCTCAGCCTCCCGAGTAGCTGGGACTACGGGCATGCCCCACCACGCTGGGCTAATTTTTGTATTTTTAGTAGAGACGGGGTTTCACCTTGTTGGCCAAGCTGGTATTGAACTCCTGACCTCAGGTGATTTGCCCGCCTCGGCCTCCCAAAGTGCTGAGATTACAGGTGTGAGCTACCACGCCCAGCCTGTACGTACATTTTTTTTTTTTTTTTGAGACGGAGTCTTGCTCTGTTGCCAGGCTGGAGTGCAGTGGTGCGATCTCAGCTCACTGCAACCTCTGCCTCTTGGGTTCAAGCAATTCTCCTGCCTCAGCCTCCCAAGTAGCTGGGACTACAGGTGCACGCCACCACACCCAGCTAATTTTTGTTTTTTTAGTAGAGAGGGGGTTTCACCATGTTGGCTAGGATGGTCTCGATCTCTTGACCTTGTGATCCGCCCGCCTCAGCTTCCCAAAGTGCTGGGATTACAGTAGTGAGCCACCACGCCCGGCCGTACGTATATTTTTTAAAGAAAGAATCACACTGCATACTGTATTCTGCAACTGAATTTTTCCCCTAAAAATTTTATCATGAACATCACCGCAAGTTAGTAAAGATAGACCTAACTCATTCTTTTTAGTACATACATATTATTCTGTAGTATACATGTACCATAACAGTTATGGAGCAACTAAATCTTATCCAATTGATAGACATCCAGATTGGTTCCAGGATTCTGCATTTAAAAACAATGCTATAACTAGCATTCCTATATATAAGGAACTCATACGACTCAACAGCAAAAAAAAAAAAACCAAGTAATCCAATTTAAAAAATAGGCAAAGGACCTGAATAGACATTTTCCCAAAGACATACAAATGGCCAACAGGTATACGAAAAGATGCTCAACGTCACTAATTATCAGGGAAATGCAATGCACAGCCACAATGAGATAGATACCCTCTCTCACCGGTTAGAATGGCTGTTATCAAAAAGACAAAACCTAAGTGTTGACCAGGGAGTGTAGAAAAGGGAACGCTTGTACTCTGTTGATAGGAATATGGATTAGTACAGCCATTATAGAAAACGGTATAGAAGTTCCTCAAAACATTAAAAATAGAAGTACCATATGATCCAGCAATCCCACTACTGGGTATATATCCAAAGGAAATGAAATCAGTATCTTGAAGAGATATTTGCATTCCCATGCTCAGTGTGGCATTATTCACAATAGTCAAGATATGGTAACAAACCAAGTGTCTATCAAGACAGAAAAAGAAAGTGTGACTGATATACGTGTGTGGATTTATATATTATATATATATAGATATATCACATTATATCTATCTATCTATCTATCTATCTATCTATCTATCTATCTATCTATCTAGTAATTCCTTGATATTTGTAGGGAATTGGTTCCAGGAGCCCTCTCAGATACCGAAATCCCTGGATGCTCAAGTCACTTATATAAAATAGCATGGTATTTGCATAAAACCTATGCACATCCTTCCATATACTTTAAGTCATCTCTAAATTACTTATAATACCGAATGCACTATAAACACTATGTCAATAGTTGTTATACTGTATTGTTTAGGGAATAATGACAAGAAGAAGTCTGTACATGTTAAGTACAGGCACAACCATCTGTTTTAAAAAAAATAAATTTGGCCAAGCGCAGTGGCTCACGCTTGTAGTCCCAGCACTTTGGGAGGCCGAGGCAGGAGGATCATTTGAGCCCAGGAGTTCGTGACTAGCTGGGCAACATGGTGAAACCCCATCTCTACATAAAATACAAAAATTAGCTGGACGTGATGGCGCACACCTGTAATCCCAGCTACTCTGGAGGCTGAGGCAGGAGAATCACTTGAGCCTGGAAGGTCAAGGCTGCAGTGGGCCAAGACTGCACCACTGCACTCCAGGTTGGGCAATAAAGTGAGACCCTGTCTCAAAAAAAAAAAAAATCCACTGAAGGGAAACCCATGCATACAGAGGGCTGATTGTACATGCACAATGGAATATTATTCCAACATAAAAAAGAAATCCTGACATTATGACAACATGGATAAACCTGGAGGGCATTTTGCTAAGTGAAATAAGTCAGACAAATACTGTATGACATCACTTATATGTGGAATCTAAAAAAGCTGAACTCATAGAAACAGAGAGTAGTATGGTGGTTGCCAGGGGCTGAGAGGTGGAGGATATCTGGAGATACAGGTATATCAAATCATCACATTGTATACCTTAAATATGTACAATTTTATTTGCCAGTTATAAATATGTTATAGTTTTATGTCAATAAAGCTGGAAAAAATCCTCTGTGTGTGTGTGTGTGTGTGTGTGTGTGTGTGTGGACATATATCCATAAGTTTTAGTGGCTTTTTTAATGTAAGATTTTACAATGTGGAATTTATGGAATTTATATGTTTAAAATTTTAATAGCTACTTCAGAAGGGTTATAACATTGGACAATCTGAAAAACAACATACCATATTTATTTATAATTTCATTATAATTTTTGGATCTGTACCTTTGTTTAGAAAATTTCTCTTTCTCTGTCTCTGCCTCTCTCTGCGCACACACACACACACACACACAAATTCTCAAATTTAACAGCTACGTTGAGATGTAATTTACATACCACAAAGTTTACCCATTTACAATTCAATGACAGTACGTTTAGAGTTGTGCAACTATCACCATTATCTAACTTTTGAACATTTTTGCCATCCTAAAAAGAAAACTCATACCCACTGAGCAGTCATTTCTCAGTCACCTCCTCCCATCACAGCCCTAGGCAACCACTAATCTATTTTCTGTCTCTATGGATTTGCCTATTCTCGGCATTTCATATAAATGAGATCACACAATATGTGGTCTTTTGTGGCTGGCCTCTTTCACTCAGCACAATGTTTTTGAGGTCATTCATGTTGTATTCTATATCAGTACTTCATTCCTTCTTATGGGTGAATAATATTCCATTGTATGGATAGACCACATTTTGTTTGTCCATTCATGAGTTGATAGATATTTAGGGTGTTTCCACTAGTTGGCTATTATAAACAATGGTGTTATGAACATTCATGGGCAAGTTTTTGTGTGTACATGTTTCATTTCTCTTGAGTAAATACTTGGTAATGGAATTGCTGGGTTATATGGTAACTCTGTGTTTAACATTTTGAGAAACTTGCAAACTTTTTTCCCAAGAAGCTAACCAGTTTACCATTTCCACCATCAGTGTGTGAGGATTCCAGGTTTTCTACATCATTGCCAACTCTTGTTATGATCTCTTTTTATTTATTTATTTTTTTGAGACAGAGTTTCACTCTTGTTGCCCCAGGCTGGAGTGCAGTGGCACAGTCTTGGCTCACTGCAACCTCCACCTCCTGGGTTAAAGTGATTCTCCTGCCTCAGCCTCCCGAGTAGCTGGGACTACAGGCATGCGCCACCATGCCCAGCTAATTTGTGTATGTTTAGTAGAGATGAGGTTTCTCCATGTTGGCCAGGCTGGTCTCAAACTCCTGACCTCAGGTGATTTGCCCGCCTCGGCCTCCCAAAGTGCTGGGATTACAGGTGTGAGCCACCGCGCCCAGCTTGATCTCTCTTTTTTCTTATTGTTCTCTTAGTGGTGTGAGGTAGAATCTCATTGTAGTGTTGCGTTGTATTTCCCTAATGATTAATGATGTTGAGCGTCTTTCCATGTGCTTATTGGACATTTGTACATCTTCTTTAGAAATATTATATTTCAGGTACATTTTCCATTTTTAATTGTCACTCTTTATTTTTGCATTGCAAGAGTTCTTTATTCTATATACACATCACTTATTCAGTATATATATATATATATATATATATATATTTTTTTTTTTTTTTTTTTTGAGACAGGGTCTCACTTTGTTGCCCAGGCAAAGGCGATCATGGCTCACTGCAGCCTTGGCCTGCGGGGCTCAATTGATCCTCCTGCCTCAGCCTCTGAAGTAGCTGGGGCTACAGGCACAAGCCAGCACACTTGGCTAATTTTTGTATTTTTGATGAAACGGGATTTCACCATGTTGCCCAGGCTGATCTTGAACTCCTGGGCTCAAGAGATCCACCTGCTTCAGCTTCCCAAAGTGCTGGGATTACAGGCGTGAGCCACCACGACTGGCCACTTGTTCAGTATTTGATTTGCAAACATTCTCTCTCATTCTGTGGGATCTCTTATCCCTTTCTCTGTGGTATTATTTGTAGTGCAAACATTTTTCATTTTGATGAAATCCAATTTATGTGCTTTTTTGGTGGTGTTGTATCTAAGAAGGCATTGCCTAACTCAGAGTCATAAGGATTCATTCCTATGTTCTCTTCTAAGAGTTTTATAGGTTTAGCTCCTACACTTAGGTTTCTGATCCATTTTGAGTTAATTTTTGTGTATGGTGTGAAGGAAGGGTTCAGCTTTATTCTTTTACATGTGGATATCCAGTTGTCCCAGAACCATGACTCAAAGACTGTTCTTTCCTTCTTGGCACTCTTGTCAAAAATCAGTTGACCATAATATAAGGGTTTGTTTCTGGCCTTTAAATTGTATTCTATTTGTCTATGTCTATGTCTATCCTAATGCTAGGACCACACTGTCCTAATTATTGTAACTTTACAAACTTACTACAGTTTTAAAACTGGTAAATGTGAGTTGAACGTTGCACTTCTTTTTAAAGATTGTTTTGGCTATTTTGGGTCCCTTGCATTTTCATGTAAATTTCAGAATCAGCTTGTCAATTTGCAAAAATACCAGCTGAGAATTTGATAGGGATTATGTTGAGTCTGTAGATCAATTTGAAGGCTGTTACCATCTTAACAATATTAAGTTGTCCAATCCATGAACATGAAATTTTGTTCTATTTAAATCTTCTTTAATTTCCTCCAATAATATTTTGAACTTTTCAGTGTACAAGTCTAGGACTTATTTTGCTAAATTTATTTCTAAATATTTTATTCCTTTTGCTGCTATAGTAAATGGAATTGTTTTTCTTTTCTTTCCTTTTCTCTTTTTTTGGAGACAGGGTCTCACTCAGTCACCCAGGCTGGAGTGCAGTGATGTGATCATAGCTCACTGCACCCTCAAATTCCTGGGCCTTACATTAAAATTAGCTTGCACCACCACACCCGGCTAATTTTTTCAATTTTCTGTAGAGACAGGGTCGCACTATGTTGCCTAGGCTGGGTCTCGAACTCCTGGGCTCAAGTGATCCTCCAGTCTTGGCTTCCCAAAGTGCTGGGATTACAGATGTGAGCCACCGCACTTGGCCTGTTTTCTTAATTATATTTTTAGATTCTTGATTTCTAGTGTATAGAAATACAATTGATTGGCCGGGCACGGTGGCTCATGCCTGTAATCCTAGCACTTTGAGAGGCTGAGGCGGGTGGATCACGAGGTCAGGAGATCAAGACCAGCCTGGCCAATATGGTGAAACCCTGTCTCTACTAAAAATACAAAAATTAGCTGGGTGTGATGGCACACGCCTGTAGTCCCAGCTACTCAGGAGGCTGAGGCAGAAGAATGGCTTGAACCCGGGAGGCGGAGGTTGCAGTGAGCCAACATCACGCCACTGCACTCCAGCCTGGGCCACGGAGCAAGACTCCGTCTCAAAAAAAAAAAAAAAAAAAACAATTGATTTTTGGATATTGATCTTGTACAATCTTGATTAACTTGTTAGTTTTAATCTTTTTCTAGTAGAGTCATTGAGATTTTTTATAACCTAGATCATATCTGTTAATGGAGACAGTTTTACTTCTTTTCCAATCTGGATCCCTTGTATTTATTTTTCTTGTATAATCATCCTGGCTAAAACCTCCAGTACAGTGTTGAATAAAACTGGTGAGGGCAGATATACCTGTCTTATTTCTGATCTTAAGGGAATGCATTCACTCTTTGATAATTAAGTATGATGTTAGCTGTGTATTTTTATAGATGCCTCTCGTCAAGTGGAAGAAGTTTCTTTCTATGCCTAGTTTGGGTAGTGTTTTTATCATGAAAGAGTGTTGAATTTCATCAGATAAATTTTTTCTGCATGCATTGAGATGATCATGTGATTTTTGTGATTTTTTAAAATTTCAACTTTTATTTTCGATTCAAGGAGTACATGTGCAGATTTGTTACATGGGTATATTGTGTGATGCTGGGGTTTGATGTATGAGTGATTTCATCACCCAGGTAGTGAGCATAATACCCGATACTTAGTTGTTCAGCCCTTGCCCTCCTTTCTGCCTCCCCATCTAGTAGTTCCCAGTGTCTATTTTTCCCATCTTTATGTCCATGTGTACCCAATGGTGAGCTCCCACTTAAAAGTGAGAACATATGGCATTTGGTTTTCTGTTCCTATGTTGATTCACTTAGGATAATGGCTTCCAGCTGCATCCATGTTGCTGCAAAAGAAATGATTTTGGTTTTTTTATGGTTGTATACTATTTCATGGTGTATATGTATTGCATTTTCATTATCCAATCCACCATTGATGGACACCTAGGTTGATTCCGTGTTTTTGCTATTAGGAATAGTTCTATGATGAACATACAACTGCATGTGTTTTTGGTACAATGATTTATTTTCCTTTGGGTATATACCTAGTAATGGGATTGCTGGGTCCAAATGGGAGTTCCATTTTTAGCTCTTTGAGAAATCTCCAAAGTGCTTTCTACAGTGACTGAACTAGTTTGCATTTACACCAGCGGTGTATAAGCATTCCCTTTTCTCTGCAGCCTTGCCAATATTTATTATTTTTTGACTTCTGAATAATAGTCATTCTGACTGGTGTGAGATGGTATCTCATTGTGGTTTTGATTTGCATTGCTCTGAGGTTCAGTGATGTTGAGCATTTTTTCATGTTGGTTGGCCGCTTATAGGTCTTGTTTTGAGAAGTGTTTGTTCATATCCTTTGCCCGCTTTTTAATGGGGCTATTTGTTTTTTGCTTGTTGAATAGTTTAAGTTCCTTATAAATTCTGGATATTAGACCTTTGTTGCATACATAGTTTGTGAAGATTTCCTCCCAATCTTTAGGTTGCCTGCTTACTCTGTTGATATTTTCTTTTGCTGTGCAGAAGTTCTTTAGTTTAATTAGTTCTCATTTGTCAATGTTTGTTTTTGTTACAATTGCTTTTGAGGACTTAGTCATAAATTATTTGCTAAGGCTGATGTCCAGAAGGGTATGTCCTAGGTTTTCTTCTAGGATTTTTACAGTTTGAGGTCTTACATTTATTAATAAGTCTAATCCATCTTGAGTTAATTTTTGCATATGGTGATAGGTAGAGGTCCAGTTTCATTCTTCTGCGTATGAATAGCCAGTTATCCCCGTGTCATTTATTGAATAGGGAGTCCTTTCCCCATTGTTTATTTGTCCTGTGTTAATATGGTATATTACATTGGTTGATTTCAGCTATTAGACAAAGCTTGCATTCCTAGAATAAATCCCACTTACCCATGGTGTATAATCCTTTTTATATGTTTCTGGATGCCATTTGCTAGTATTTTGTTGAGGATATTGTATCTATATTCATAAGAGATACTGGTCTGTAGTTTTCTTGTGATCTTTATCTGGTTTTTGTATCAAGGTAATACTAGCTTCTAAGTGGGCAGTATTCCCACCTCTTCTTTTTGGAAGAGTTTGTGAGTGATTGGCATTAATTCTTCCTTAAATGTTTCATAGAATTCACCAGTGAAGCCATCTGGCTCTGGGCTTGTCTTTGCGAATCATTTGATTACTTAGTCTTTTTACTTGTTACAGGCATGTTCAGTTTTTTAATTTCTTCCTAGTCAGTTTTGATCGTTTGTGTCATTCTAGCAATTTGTCCTTTTCATCTATGTTATCTAATTTGTTGGTCTACAGTTGTTCTTAGTATTTCTTTATAATCTTTCTTACTTTTGTAAGGTCAGTAGTGATGTCCCCTCTCACTCTTGATTTTAGAAATTTGAGTCTTTTTTCTTTTTTTTCTTGGACATTCTAAAAGTTTGACAATTTAGTTTCAAAGAACCAATTTTTAGTTTTGTTGATTTTTCTTTATTATCTTTCCATTCTCTATTTCATTTCTTACTGCTCTATTCTTTATTATTTCCTTTTATCTGCTTATGTTGGGTTCAGTTTACTCTTTTTTCCAATTTTTTATTTTATTTATTTATTTTTTTTTTTTTTGAGATGGAGTTTTGCTCTTGTTGCCCAGGCTGGAGTGCAATGGCGTGATCTCGGTTCACTGCAACCTCTGCCTCCCAGGTTCAAGTGATTCTCCTGCCTCAGCCTCCCAAGTAGCTGGGATTACAGGCATGAGCCACCACATCCAGCCTTTTTCCAATCTTTTAAAGTGGAAGATTATGTTACTGATTTGAGATCTTTTTTCTTTTTTTAATATAGGCATCTATAGCTATAAATTTTTATCTAAGCACTACTTCATATGTTTTGGTATGTTGTATTTTCATTTTCACTCATCTTAAAAGTATTTTCTGACTTCTCCTGTGATTTCTTCTTTGACCTATTGGTTAAGATTTTGTTGTTTAATTTTCTCATATTTGTGACTTGCCCAAATTTCTTCTGTTGTTAATTTTTAATTTATTTATTTTCCCAAATTACTTTATTAATTTATTTCTTTCAATAAATCCTAAATTTTCTTCAAAGTAAAGATACTTTGATCTTAATCCTTTTAAATCTATTAAGGCTTATATTATGGCCTAGCATCGAGTCTATTGTGGAGAATGTTCCACATGTACTATAGAAGAATGTAATTCTCTTGTTGTTGGGTGGAGTGTTTTATACATATCTGTGAGGTCTAGTTGGTTTGAGTGCTGTTCAAGACTTCTCTTTCCATGTTGATTTTCCACCTAGTTGTTTCATCCATTACTGAAAGTCGACTATTGAAGTCTCAATATTATTGTTGAATTGTCTATGTCTCCCTTCAGTTCTGTCCGTTTTTGCTTCATGTAGTTTTGAGCTCTGTTGTTAGGTTCTCATGTGTTTATAATTGCTTCATCTTCTTGATGGACTGTTTTATCATTATAAAATACCCCTCTTTGTCTCTGGTAACAATTTTTGTCTTAAAGTCCATTTTGTCTGCTATTGGTATGCCACTCTAGCTCTCAGGCTTGCCGTTTGCATGGAATTTCCTTTTTGTCTTTTTCCTTTTAAACTCTTTGTATTTTTGAGACTAAAGTGTGTCTCCTATTAACAACATATAGTTAGATCTTGTTTTGTTGCTTTTATCCAGTTTCACAATCTCTGCCTTTTGATTATTTAATCCATTCTCATATGATGTTATTATTGATATGCCTGGATTTACATCTATCATTTTGCCATGTGTGTGTGTGTGTGTGTGTGTGTGTGTGTGTGTGTACATGCACAAAAAATACAAAGAGGAACAAAACAGTAATTATATGTATGTGTGTGACTGTTTTGTTCCTCTGTTCCTCCTTTATTTGAAAATTTATTTTTGTAAATGGTCTGAGGTAGAGGTTGAAGTCTAGGTTGTTAGCTAACTATCCTAGCACTCTTTTTAAAAATTGTCCTCTTCTACTGAATTGCAATACCTCTGTATTATATATATTATTCCCATACATAGTTTGATATATTTATGAATTTTTTTTTTTGAGACAGAGTCTGGCTCTATTGCCCAGGCTGGAGTGCAATGGTGCAATCTCAGCTCACTGCAACCTCCGCCTCCTGGGTTCAAGCAATTCTCCTGCCTCAGCCTCCCAAGTAGCTGGGACTACAGGCACGTGCCACCATGCCCAGCTAATTTTTGTATTTTTAGTAGAGACGGGGTTTCACAATTTTGGCCAGGATGGTTTCGATCTCTTGACTTTGTCATCCACCCGCCTCGGCCTCCCAAAGTGTTGGGATTACAGGTGTGAGCCACCACACCCGGCCTTTGTTTATGAAATTTCTATTATGTTCTACTCATGTATCAGTCTTCTCTTGTGTCAACATCTGTTGTTTTATCTCAGTGATTTAATGATAAATTTCAATATCTGGTATAGTAAGTTCCTCTTTATTTTCCTTCTTTTCAAATGATTGTTCATGTGAGTTTTGACATTCAAAAGAAAATACTATT
This sequence comes from Homo sapiens, assembly GCF_000001405.40. Lineage (NCBI taxonomy): Eukaryota > Metazoa > Chordata > Mammalia > Primates > Hominidae > Homo > Homo sapiens. Next base: position 18,817,824 of record NC_000023.11, read on the forward strand.
TGTAATCCTTTTAAAACTTCATGAAATGCATGTGTGCATGCACACACACATACACATACATATACATATGCATATATTTACCATCTAGTAGCGATATGTGAGAATCTGGGCAATTCATTTAAAGTAAAAATTCATAAATAGTAATATTGCACATTAAAATGAAACACAACAGGATGATTTATGTTACTTTTACCTAATTATTGTTTTCTTTGCAGAGTGGATACTATGGAAAACAGCGCCATCAAGATATTAAGAGAGAGAGTGATTTCACGAAAAAGTGACCTTACTCGTGCTTTCCAACTTCAAGACCACAGAAAATCAGGTAACAAATTTGCATAACATTTACCATTTCTTAACACACCAAGTTACATACAGATCACTTTTCATTTTCCTTGCTTCCTTAGGATTTCAGTTCTCCATTTTTACTAAGAAGGAAGAATAGAGATAAAAATAAAATATAATCCATTATTTGCTCAAAAAAGGCATATTTCTCCCTTTTAGCAAGCTATTTTCAACTTGGAAAACTAACAACAACCCTGAATTAAACTTTTTTTTTTTTTTTTTTGAGACAGAGTCTTGTTCTGTTGCCCAGGCTGGAGTGCAGTGGCGTGACCTCAGCTCACTATGACCTCCACCTCCTGGGTTTAAGCAATTCTCCTGCCTCAGCCTCCTAAGTAGCTAGGATTATAGGCATACACCACCACGCCCAGCTAATTTTTGTATTTTTAGTAGAGATGGGATTTCACCATGTTGTTCAGGCTGGTCTTAAACTCCTGACCTCATGATCCGTCCGCCTTGGCCTTCCAAAGTGCTGGGATTACAGGCGTGAGCCACCCGGCCCTAAACCTCTATTCTGATAGTATGCTAGACTAGATGTTCTGGAGGGCCTTCTTATTAACAAACAGCTAGATTTTGGAGGATGTAGAATGTTAATGCATTTACCAGCCTCACAGTAACGTGAATCTTCCAGCTGCATCTTCACTTTCCGTGAAAGATGATTTGAAACCACATGTGAGAGCATGGAGCAACAAGAAAGCACAAAAGACTAGATTTTCCTGGGGCCCAATGCTGATATTGGTATAGCAATCAATTCTGAGACTAAATTATAATATAGTAGGAAGATGGAAAAGCTGAATTTGAGACTTCCATCATCATGCTTGGACCCTCAAAGTGGCTAAAGTTGTCCTAAGTCTGTAATGCTCCCTGACTCCTGGCAAGCAAATGCAAATTTATCTTTGAGGGAAGCATCCCTAATTTTGGCCACTCACGTATCCAGAGATTAAGATCAACTCACATGAGATCACAATCAAAAATTACCAAACAAACAAGGATACAAACTACCATGAGTGAGAGTCAGCAGAAACAACAATTATTTCCCCGAGGACATCAAATATTGGAATTAGCAAATAAATATGTTCAAAGGAAATATGGAACCAGAAACATGCATTTGGGAATGATTTGAAGAAAAACCAAAGAGATAGAAAATATGCTTGTTAAAAAAAGTAAAAGCATAATGAATGGGTTAAACGGAAGATTAGACGCTACTCAAGAAAGAATTAGTTTAGGAGTTATAAACAGGCCAGGCGCAGTGGCTCATGCCTGTAATCCCAGCACCTTGGGAGATTGAGGCGGGCAGATCACATGAGGTCAGGAGTTTGAAACCAGCCTGGCCAACATGGTGAAACCCCACCTCTACTAAAAATACAAAAAAAAACAAAAAATTAGCCAGCCATGGTGGCAGGCACCTGTAATCCCAGTTACTTGGGAGGCTGAGACAGGAGAATTGCTTGAACCCAGGAGGCAGAGGTTGCAGTGACCCGAGACCGCACCATTGCACTCCAGCCTGGGTGACAAGAGTGAAACTCTGTCTCAAACAAACAAAAAAAGAGTTATGAACAATAAAATGAGAAGTTGAACATACACCTACTCAGAGTACTGGGAGGAGAGAATAGAATGTAAGAGACCATATATTTGACATGGTAATGGCTAAGACATTTCCAGAATTGATAAAAGACTCAAATTCATAAAGAGGAACAGTGATTCTCAAGTAGAATAAATGAAGTTAAATCCAGACCTACACACATTTGTTGTGAAACTCCAGAGCACCAGTAGCAAAGAAAAAATCTTTAAAAAGCAGGCAGAGAGGAAACACATATTGCTACAAAGAGATAACGATTAGACTGATAGATTTCTCAACAGTTGCAAAATTAGACCATAGAATCATATACACCAAACATTGGAAATTAAATTTAGAAAAACATATACCATGAAAACACTAACAAAAACAAAGCTAAGACAGCTTTATTAGTATCAGGCAAAGTAGACTCTAAGGAAGTATATATTACTAGAAATAAAAAAGGACATTTCATAATGATAAAATATTAATTATGCCAATTGAATCCATTCTAAATGTGTATGTACTTATTCATATAGCTTCAAAACTATTCAAAACAAAAATTGACAGAATAAAAAGTAGAAGTAGAAAAATCTACCACGATAGAGGGAGGTTTTAATACTCCTCTCTCAGGAACTAAAAGAACAAACAGATAAAAGATTAGCAGACTCTTTTTTTTTTTTTTTGAGATGGAGTCTTGCTCTGTCGCCCAGGCTGGAGTGCAGTAGCATGATCTCGGCTCACTGCAACCTCCGCCTCCCGGGTTCAAGCAATTCTCCTGCCTCAGCCTCCCGAGTAGCTGGGACTACAGGCGTGTGCCACCACGCCCAGCTAATTTTTTGTATTTTTAGTAGAGGTGGGGTTTCACTGTGTTAGCCAGAATGGTGTTGGTCTCCTGACCTCGTGATCCACCCGCCTTGGCCTCCCAAAGTGCTGGGATTACAAGCGTGAGCCACCGCGCCTGGCCAGCAAACTTTTTTCTTAAAAGACTACATAGAACTCTGTACCCAAATTTCAGAATGCATATTCTTATCAAGCACAAATGGACCATTTACAAAAAGTGACCACACACTGGAACATAAAGTGAATCTCAATAGGTTTTGAAGAATTGGAAACATTACAGAATAAAGTCTCTGACATATACAACTCCGTAACATAAGATAGTAATAAAATCACCCTTTGGCTTGGAAATGAGAAATATACTTAGAAATAATCCTTGGCTCCGGCCAGACGTGGTGGCTCATGCCTGTAATCCCAGCATTTTGGGAGGCCGAGGAGGGTGGATCACGAGGTCAGGAGATGGAGACCATCCTGGCTAACACAGTGAAACCCCGTCTCTACTAAAAATACAAAAAATTAGCCAGGCGTGGTGGCGGGCGCCTGTAGTCCCAGCTACTCGGGAGGCTGAGGCAGGAGAATGGCATGAACCCAGGAGGCGCAGCTTGCAGTGAGCCGAGATTGCGCCACTGCACTCCAGACTGGGAGAGAGAGCGAGACTCTGTCTCAAAAAAAAAAAAAAAAAAGAAATAATCCTTGGCTCAAAGAGAATCACAATGGAAATTAGATTGCTGAAACTGAATGACAATGAAAATACAATGTATTAGAATTTATGGGATGCAAATTAGAGAGGCATTGATGATAACCTTAAATGTAAAAGATATGATTAACAAAGTAAAAAAAAAAATTTGTTTTTGTTTTGTTTTGTTTTGAGATGGAGTCTCCCTCAGTCACCCAGGCTGGAGTGCAGTGGCACGATCTTGGCTCATTGCAACCTCCGCCTACCAGGTTAAAGCAATTCTTCTGCTTCAGCCTCCCCAAGTAGCTGGGACTACAGGCATATGCCACCACGCCCAGCTAATTATTTTTGTATTTTTAGTGGAGACAAGGTTTCATCATGTTAGCCAGGCTGGTCTGCAACTCTTGGCCTTAGGTGATCCACCTGCCTTGGCCCCCCAAAGTGCTGTGATTACAGGCATGAGCCACTGTGCCCGGCCAAAAAATGGTTCTTTGAGGGAACTGTTGAAGTTGACGAAACCATGGCGAGAGAGAGAGAGAGAGAGAGAGAGAGAGAGAGAGAGAGAGAGAGAAAACAAATAACCAGTGCAAGTGTAGGGAGGAGCTGCTGTCTAAGGCTGAGAGAGAGGACCCAAGGAAGGAAAAACTTGGAAGGGACCCCCTACTCCCAATCAAGAGATGAGATCAAGCCCTCATTGGTGAGGATGTGGCTATGGTCCACTGGATAGGGCAGAAGTTCACTGAGGTGCCTCAAGTTACAGTTGGGTCTCCGGCTGGTGGGCCAGGACTGGAGAGGATGGAGCCACCCACTGAGGTGCCAGCAAGACTCTCTTTGGGCTGTGCACCACCGCGTCTCCCACACACTAATGGTGAGGAAGCCATGGGCTGTGGTGTCAGTGAAATTTACTAGAAGGTGGGTGCCACTACATTTTCCACACATGCTAACCGTGCGGTGCTGTAGAAACAAGAAGCAAGGCACACCAGAACCAGAAAGAAAAGCTTTTTCTTTTGCTGTTCTTTGCAGTGTTCTTCCTGCACTGTCTACTAACAGAGACTAACGTTATACGAGCTGCCAAAGAGGAAATGATTACAGGGTCCAGCTCTAGTATCACAAAATGTGCAAAAAAAAAAAAAAGACTAGTTTTGGAGCTAAGTAGGAATAAATTGATAGCTGGGGTAGCCAGCAATTAGCTTTTAGATAACAAAAATCTTAAAAGATACCATTCACAATAGATAATCAAGTACTGTGGGAGAAACCTAATGAATGAGGTATGAGATTTCTTTTTTTTTTTTTGAGACGGAGTCTTGCTCTGTCGCCCAGGCTGGAGTGCAGTGGCACGATCTTGGTTCACTGCAAGCTCTGCCTCCTGGGTCCATGCCATTCTCCTGCCTCAGCCTCCCAAGTAGCTGGGACTACAGGCGCCCGCCACCATGCCTGGCTAATTTTTTGTATTTTTAGTAGAGACGGGGGAGGTATGAGATTTCTAAGATATTATTAAGATAAAGGGGACTGAAATAAATGGGTGGGTATTACTGTGTTCAAGGACTATAAGGGTTGAAGTTGTCAAGATACAAATTCCTCCCAAATTGAGCTATAGTTTCAATGCAATCTCAGTCAAAATCCCAAGGTGGGGATTTTTCAGTAGATCTTGAGAATCTGTATCTAAAAGTCATGTGGAATTACAAAAGGCCCCAAATAGCCAAGATGTTCCTGAAGAAAAAGAACAAGGTGGGAAGACTTTCCCTATTATATATCAAGATCTATTATAAAAGTACAGTAATTAGAATGGTATGCAATTGGCACAAGAATACCCATATAGACAATGGAAGCAAGTAGAGAATCCTGAAACAGATTCATGCATATATAGACACTTGAAGGTCCCACTGCTGAGCAGTGGGCAAAGGAGTCTTTTCAATAAACGATGCTGGGCCAAATGGATATCCCTATAAAAATAGAAACAGCCTATATGTAATAAAGATATTTGTGTTTTGAAAAATTACATATATTAGGAGGAAAAGAATATTAGTTGTGAAATGACAGGTGAATAATACATCTTTTATTCTTTGTATTCTTTTGTGTTTTTCAAATCTTCTATAATAAGCAAACCTAGGCCGCGCATGGTGGCTCACACCTGTAATCCCAGCACTTTGGGAGGCTGAGGTGGGCAGATGACTTGAGGTCAGGAGTTCAAGACCAGCCTGGCCAACATGGTGAAACTCTATCTCTACTAAAAGTACAAAAAAATTAGCCGGGTATGGTGGCGTACACCTGTAATCCCAGATACTTGGGAGGCTGAGGCAGGAGAATCACTTGAACCCAGGAGGCGGAGGTTGCAGTGAGCTCAGATGGCACCACTGCACTCCAGCCTGGGTGAAAAGAGCCAGACTCCTTCTCAAAAAAAAAAATAAATAAATAAATAAGTAAGCATACCTTACTTTGTTAATCAAAAAAAAGGAAAAAAAAAATCTAACACGTGAAGTCTGATTTCTTACAGGTGACAGGAAGGACACGATCTGTGGAACACTGAAGATATCCTTGAGTTAGTTCTCCTTCAGGGCTGCAGGGCCTGGGAGGATAAATTATGAGGGAGAGCAGCTGGCCCCATGCTGCCCTGGCTCTCCCAAGGAGGTTGCATTCTTTAAAATCATATTTTAACAAATCATTTGGGCTTTGTTATTGTTGTTGTTAGGAAAACTTTCTGTGAGCCAGTGGGCTTTTTGCATGGAGAACATTTTGGGGCTGAACTTACCATGGAGATCCCTCAGTTCGAATCTGGTAAACATAGACCAAAATGGAAACGTTGAATACATGTCCAGCTTCCAGAATATCCGCATTGAAAAACCTGTACAAGAGGCAAGTGAAACATAGCCCCAGCTAAAACCTAGCCAGGGTGAAACATAACTTAGTCCTTTGAAAAGCTGGGAGTGGCCGGGCACAGTGGCTCACGCCTGTAATCCCAGCACTTTCGGAGGCCAAGGCGGGCAGATCCCGAGGTCAGGAGTTCGAGACCAGCCTGACCAACATGGTGAAGCCCCGTCTCTACCAAAAATACAAAAATCAGCCGGGTGTGGTCGTGCCCACCTGTAATCCCAGCTACTCAAGAGGCTGAGGCAGGAGAATTGCTTGAACCCAGGAGGCGGAGGTTGCAGCGAGCCAGGATCGCACCATTGCACTCCAGCCTGGGTGACAGAGCGAGACTCCATCTCAAAAAAAGAGAAGCTGGGAGTGGGATAATCTAATAGATGGAGTGGCAGTCTTAGGAAAAGCCGAAGGGGAATCTCCCAGGTACACTGTGGTCTGTTCAGCAAATTTGTGTGTTCCCAGGATAAGCAAAAAGAAAAAAGAAAAAGCTTCCACAAGCAAGTCCACATCAAATACTGGATTTTTTTTTGTAAGTGCTGTCTAGCAGAAGGGGAGATATGACATCCATGCTTTTTGTTTGTTTTTTGAGGTGGAGTCTCGCTCTGTTGCCCAGGCTGGAGTGCAGTGGTGCAGTCTCGGCTCACTGCAACCTCTGCCTGCCACGCTCAAGTGACTCTCCTGTCTCAGCTTCCCAAGTAGCTGAGATTACAGGCGCCTGCCACCATACCCAGCTAATTTTTATATTTTTAGTGGAGATGGGGTTTCACCATGTTGACCAGGCTGGTCTTGAACTCTTGACCTCAAGTGATCTGCCCACCTCGGCCTCCCAAAGTGCTGGGATTACAGGCATGAGCCCCTGTGCCTGGCCTGACATCCATGCTTTTATACAACATACCATTTCTAATACTTAATGTATTGCTTGTTAAGCCTGAGTGTACAGACTTGCTGACATGACCCAGAATATGTCTGAAAGAGTTTTGAAATGTAGAAATCTTTTCTTAGAATGTGAATATCAGGGAGATTTATCAGATCCCCATACTTATTAGTTAACAATTCATCAGCAGTTAAATATGACATTGAGCTGAAAAGGAGCTGGTTGGAGCTAGGACTTGGGTGATCATTTGCAGTGAAGATGAGACGTTAAGAGCAGAGAGAAGGGAAGTAAAGGTAGGTTAGAGACTAAAGTATCCCCAGGAAGGAGGCTTTTGACGTCACTTCAGAGGCAGTTTACCATGGTGACTAAGATCACAGGCCTTGGCTTCAGGCAGCCGAGATTTAAATCCCACTCACCAGCTCTGTGACCCTTGGGAAAGTTCCTTTATCTCCCTGTTTTCAAATTTGTAAAATGGACATAATAATAGTTCTGTTCTTGTTCATTCTTGTTGTAGAGGACCGAATGAAATAATCCACATAAAGTTCTCTGTAAATGGTGGCTGTGTTAGTTACTGCTGCCTTATTCATTTTGGCCCTGTCCCCTGAGGATCACAGACTGAATGAAGAGGGTGGGGCCTCCAAGGGAAGTCTGGCCTTCTCAGATTTCTGTCTAAATCACATCATTTCAATTGTTGATGATGTTTTCTGTTTGTTACATTTGCTAAAAGCGATCAGTGTCATGAATTCAATATGTTCTAACACTTAGAAAATCTTTATTTTAGGCTCATTCTACTCTAGTTGAAACTCTGTACAGATACAGATCTGACCTGGAAATCATATTTAATGCCATTGACACTGATCACTCAGGTAAATAAATGAACTTGGATGAGTCCATTTAAAAAGTGTATGTGTGTGTGTATGTTGGGGATACAAAATGAGTACACTTTGATTGAGCCCTATAATTAATATGGTTTGACACCTTCATTGGTAAGATGGAGGCCTTGCTTATGCATACTGTTAAATGAAAATTGTAGGAGCCCATTGTTTTGGACTAAGCTCCTTCACCAGGCCCCAACAGACTAGACTAAAAGTCAAAATGGGGTAGCAGTAGTAGAAAGCAAAGGCTAATCTGGTTCTCTGAAATCAGAACTCTGATTTTATCTATTTTGTTCTTCATCTAACATGATGAAACTTGAGGGGAAAAAGAAACTCATTTAATATTATTGTTATTTCAGTTTGGCTGCAGACTCTGTATTCAAGACCATAGAGTCCTACAGAAGCCTAGGTAGCCATCAGTCAAACTGAAATAACTTTTTATAAATCACCAGCACAAATGAAAAGATGATTTACTATCCATTTCAGTATCTTAGTTACTCATGGCCATAAAAATCATTCCTAGAAATCTGATTCTGTTTTGGGGAGTAAGGGCTATGAAAAGTCATTTTCTGCTTTTTTTTTTTTTTTTTTTTTTTTTTTTGCGACAGAGTTTTGCTCTTGTTGCCCAGGCTGGAGTGCAATGGCGGGATCTCAGCTCACCACAACCTCTGCCTCCCGGGTTCAAGCAATTCTCCTGCCTCAGCCTCCTGAGTAGCTGGGATTACAGGCATGCGCCACCACACCCTGATAATTTTTATTTTTAGTAGAGATGGGGTTCTCCATGTTGGTCAGGCTGGTCTCGAACTCCCGACCTCAGATGACCTGCCCACCTCAGCCTCCCAAAGTGCTGGGATTACAGGCGTGAGCCACTGCGCCCGGCCTTCTGCCTTTAGCTTTGATGCACAATTACTTATTTTCAAATTTTTAAAAACTCATCAGATAATCCCCTAATGCAGAGACCTTTGAACACCGAAAAAAAAAAAAAATCAATGATCAACACATTAAAGTAAATGATTGCCTGTGAAAAAGGCAGCACCATTGTTTGTAATCCTCTTATTGACTCCCACCGTATCTTCTCCCTCTGCTTTGATGTCATCCTCCTCTCTGCCCTCCTTCCATGCACCTCACCTTTCTATTTTAGGTCTTGTAATTTCTATACCACATTTAGTCCCATAGTCCACAACCCCGTCCCCATTTCTTCACTGTTTGCTCATTCTGGCTTTAGAATAAGTTCAGGATCCCTTGGTAGTTGAAAGTGAGATATTGTTTCTTACATTTATGATCTTACTCTTCCATATCCTTCAGTATCTTCATGATTAGGCAGTTTAGTGAGTTTCTAACTGGGGCTATTTAATCAGTGTGGGTTCCCCAACCCTTGCCTTAGGTGGGTCTTAAAATGAACACTCACAACCTTCTCCTATATTCTTTTAGGCCTGATCTCCGTGGAAGAATTTCGTGCCATGTGGAAACTTTTTAGTTCTCACTACAATGTTCACATTGATGATTCCCAAGTCAATAAGCTTGCCAACATAATGGACTTGAACAAAGATGGAAGCATTGACTTTAATGAGTTTTTAAAGGCTTTCTATGTAGTGCATAGATATGAAGACTTGATGAAACCTGATGTCACCAACCTTGGCTAAACACAAATGAGAGCTTCCCTCAGGCTCCCTGAAACAGCTAGGCCCAAATCACAAGTACAGTCCTTTCCAACACCCCTGAAATTCATAGTCAGTAGCAGAGAAAAGCAGATCCCAATTCATCCCACAAACAGATGCATAGTATGGGTTTTGGAAGTCCCTAGCAAGCTGTTATTGGTAAGATTAGGTTAAATGTCAGTAATAGGATTTGGTTTCAGCATTAGTACCTACATATTGCCAGTGAGAAACTGGGTTGGACCTAGTGGTGTTGTCGTGAGTGCCACCTAACCAGGAGGCCAGAGCGGTTTGAAAACATCCTGAAAGGAACTCATACAGCACAAGAGAAAACTACTAAGCTTGACATCTGTGAGTGACTGAGGGAGACAGGAGGAATACCAGGTTATTCATGGAATAAAGTCTTTCCATCTTTAAACTGTGATCTTCTTTGGAGATTTTATAAGCCAGTGATCCTCAATTAAGGGATCCACCCTTCAGGGATGAGAACCATATTGGATTCTTGGGGGGAATCTGTGGGAGTGTATTGTTTGAAAAAGCGTATTTGTGTGTGTGTGTATGTTGGAGATACAAAGTGAATACACTTGGATTGAGCCCTATAATTAATATGGTTTGACACCTTCATTGGTAAGATGGGGCCTTGCTTATGCATACTGTTAAATGAAAATTGTAGGAGCCCATTGTTTTGGACTAAGCTCCTTCACCAGGCCCCAACAGACTAGACTAAAAGTCAAAATGGGGTCACCCATGCTGAGGTCCTGTGTCATCTCCGGCCAGCTTCAATTGGCATAATAATGAAGTTCCCTCTGCCTTACAACAAAAATAACCTGATGTTAACCAATCAATTATTTGTTTATTGTTATTTCCCTGCTGTCTTACAAGGAAGGTAACTTTGAAACAACCAGTCTGCTTTTTGTCCTTTGGTTCTGCTTTCTTCAGTTTTTCTCTGTCTATAAAACCAACCTCCTCTGCTCAGCTTATCAGAACACTTTATTTTTACAGAAGGAAGTGTTGCCTGATTCTAGAATCACAAACAAAGCCAGTTAAGATCTTTAAATGTTATCTTTTGACCAATCTGGTGACCATAAAAGGGACCATAAGGAGACTACTAATTACTCTTAAGGGCCTCTTGAGGAATGCAGGAGACGTGCTGCTGACCCCTTTCAGGTCCCCTGTCTTCCTCACAGAGTCCTAGGTGTTGTAAATAAGTTCCTTTTGTGCCAGACTCTGCTGTTTTTGCATTGAGACCCCTGAATTTTTTGGCCTTCAAATCCAAGGTAAATGCCAAGAGTGAGCATTTGACTTTGGAGTACTGCTATGATTTGAATATGGTGTGTCCCCTCTGAAACTCATGTTAAAATTTTATTGCCATTTTGGCCATTTTGGGAGGTGGGGTCTTTAAGAGGGATTAGTGCCTTTCTCATGGGAGTAAGTTAGCAATTAAAGAAGTTCAGCCCCCTTTTCTCTGGTGTGTGAGTGCTCTCTCTCCCCTGCTCCTTTCACTTTTCCACCATGCTATAAAACAGCATGAGGGCCTCACTGGATGCAGCCACCCAATCTTGGACTTCCCAGCCTCCAGAACCATGAGCTAAATAAACCTCCATTCTTTATAAATTACCCAGTTGCAGGTTTTCTGTTATAGCAACACAAAACAGACTAAAACAAATACCAAGGGTTTGTGCCATAAGAGGACACATGGCTTTTGGGTTTGCAGTGGATGATGAGTCACCGGCAGGGGCTGCAGTTTCAAAGGTAACTGACAGTAGTTGCAGTAACTGACTGTTACTGTAGGAGTGAGCCTGGCTTTCAGAATTCACAGCTATCTATCCACTTTATTTCTTCTCTTCTTGTGTGCTGAGGTAAGAAAAATCATTAGCTAAGTTAAAGGGATTTCAGAGCCAAAACCAACTTTGCTCTGAGAGACCCAAGTTCCAACATAAAAATAGGATCCTTAATTTCTAAAGAACTGAGTACTCTTGGCTTTAGGCTGCCCCTTTGTTAGTGGTTCTTTCCCTCCCATGGACAGCTATAGGTTTCCTATTTGTCATGTTTTTGTGTTCTGAGAACTTGGTCAACCAACCAAAAGGTTGGGAGTTGCCAAGAATATGGCTAGACAGAAATGTGGGTTGCACCTTATTTGTGACTAGCATACTGACTGTTATGTCTAAATCTTTCTTTCTTTTGGCTGTCTTTGGTATTCTGGATTTTGATCTAGAAAGATTAATAAGAAACATAATGGACACCCCAAGTTCTAATGCATGCAAATATAGTCCCCCTTTAGGGACTCCAGACAGCTATGTATTCAAACATTATGGTCCATTCTTGTGCACGTTTTTAAACCTATGGGCAGATTATACCAAAGACTTGGCCAGGCACGGTGGTTCACGCCTGTAATCCCAGCACTGTGGGAGGCCGAGACAGGTGGATCACTTGAGGTTAAGAGTTTGAGACCAGCCTGACCAACATGGTGAAACCCTGTCTCTACTAAAAATACAAAATTAGCCCAACATGGTGGTGCACACCTGTAATCCCAGGTACTCGGGAGGCTGAGGCAGGAGAATCACTTGAACCCAGGAGGCAGAGGTTGCAGTGAGCCAAGGTCACACCATTGCACTCCAGCCTGGGCAACAAGAGTGAAACTCCATCTCAAAAAAAACAAAAACAAAAAAAGATTATACCAAGGACCATTTGGAGTTCCAGTGGTCTTTATGTGGACTGTTCAAGCCTCCCAAGGTTGTTTTTATTCTTTTATTTTTTTTATTTTTATTTTTTGAGAGGGAGTCTCGCCCTGTCTCCCAGGCTGGAGTGCAATGGTGCAATCTCGGCTCACTGCAACCTCTGCCTCCCGGGTTCAAGCAATTCTCCTGCCTCAGCTTCCCGAGTAGCTAGGATTACAGGCGCGCACCACCACGCCTGGCTGATTTGCATCTTTAGTAGAGACGGAGTTTCACCATGTTGGCCAGGCTGGTCTCGAACTCCTGACCTCGTGATCCACTCGCCTCAGCCTCCCAAACTGCTGGGATTACAGGCGTGAGCCACCACGCCCAACCTCTTTTTATTCTTAGAACTAAATTAGCAGACTGTAGCTATAGGGTTAAAGTCTGAATGGGATGTATATAATTGATTAGCATGTAGAGGCTTCTAAGCTCTCTTTCTCTCTGTCCTCCCCTGCCTACTTAGAATCTGCTGACATTTTTGCTTGGTTACCTGCCCAGGATTCCAAAATAGCCTTTTTAAAAGCTTCATTGCAAAGAGCTAATGAAAGGCTAGAAATGGAAGATATCCCCCACACCAAGGATGGTAAAACTGATGTAACTCCTACTGCTCCTCTCTATCCTACTTTGCCTGAATATTTAGTCTATTAATACTCTGTCTGAATTGCCCTTCTTCTGTGAAAAAAAAAAAAAAAAAAAAAAAAAAAAAAAACAGTTAAACAGTTTCCTTGTAGCATAAAACCATCTGAAAATTCAGGAGACAATCCTGGAGTGATTTACATTGCCTGGATAAAAACAGCTCAGGGCCATAGGTTAAAAATTTTGCAAACCCAGGGAAGACCTTTAATCTGAAGAATTCACAGTGTGTTTTTTTTTTTTTTGAGACGTAGTCTTGCTCTTGTCACTCAGGCTAGAGTGCAGTGGCGCAGTCTCGGCTCACGGCAACCTCCGCCTCCCAGGTTCAAGCAATTCTCCTGACTCAACCTCCTAAGTAGCTGGGATTACAGGCACCCACCACCATGCCCGGCCAATTTTTGTACTTTTAGTAGAGACAGGGTTTTGCCATTTAGACCAAGCTAGTCTCGAACTCCTGACCTCAAATGATTTGCCCACCTCAGCCTCCCAAAGTGCTGAGATTACAGGCGTGAGCCACCATGCCCAGCCAGAATTCACAGTCTTAATTATAACTTAAGATCCCGGGATGGGGGCCGGGCGCGGGGCTCAAGCCTGTAATCCCAGCACTTTGGGAGGCCGAGGCGGGTGGATCACGAGGTCAGGAGATCGAGACCATCCTGGCTAACATGGTGAAACCCGTCTGTACTAAAAATACAAAAAAAAAAAAAAAAAAAAAAGCCGGGTGTGGTGGCGGGCGCCTGTAGTCCCAGCAACTCAGGAGGCTGAGGCAGGAGAATGGCGTGAACCCGGGAGGCAGAGCTTGCAGTGAGCCAAGATGGCGCCACTGCACTCCATCCTGGGCGACAGAGCAAGACTCTGTCTCAAAAAAAAAAAAAAAAAAACAAAAGATGCCGGGATACCTGATCTACACCAACTAATTTACATGTTGGTGGGATCTGGAAAGCCCAAAAATAGATGAAAGAGGCAGAATGGTATTTTCCTAAGAGTTATATTAGTGACCTGACAAGCCCCACCTGGTCCATTTACGGGTCAGACAAACCCTGAAAGATTGCAAATGACCTTAGGAAAGCTATTTCCAAAGTATTTCAGCTCTATGGCAACCAACAACCTAGAATGACTTGTGGGCCTGCCCCAGGGCATTCCAATAAGCAACCCCTAAAACTGCGGTTTCGAAAAACTAGTTGTCATTTGTGCAAATGATCAAAACATTGAAAAAGGGACTGCTCCCAAAGAACTTGAGAGAAGCCCTTAAAAACAAGCTGCCTACCTCTGATCATCTCTATGTTAACCACCAAGACTGACAGGCCTCCGAAGACAGCTCTGGTAAGTTTCTACTGGTTAGTTTTTGCCCTGTTTGTTAAAAAGCTCTGCCCTGAAGGCAATGATCTAAGTAAGGAACAGGATTTTGAAATTCTTTCTAAGAGAAATTTATATCTGTAAAGGAAATCTCCATTTGTAAGGCTATCTCCCTCTCTGCACCTAAACCATTAGAAACTTTTACAATGAGAAAGGCACTGGCTTAAAAGCTTGCATATCAACGTTTACCTTTGTTTAAGTTGCTTTTCCTGTCCATCTTTTTTTTTTTCTGAGATGGAGTCTTGCTCAGTCGCCCAGGCTGGAGTGCGGTGGCGTGATCTTGGCTCACTGCAAGCTCTGCCTCCCGGGTTGGTTCACCCCATTGTCCTGCCTCAGCCTCCCCAGTAGCTGGGACTACAGGTGCCGGCCACCATGCCCGGCTAATTGTTTTTGTATTTTTAGTAAAGACGGGGTTTCACAGTATTAGCCAGGATAGTCTCGATCTCCTGACCTCGTGTTCCGCCCACCTCGGACTCCCAAAGTGCTGGGATTACAGGAGTGAGCCACCGCGCCCGACCGGGCAAATGAATCTTAATGAAAGCAATAAGATCTGCTTCTTTCTGTGTGTATGTTTGTATATCTATGTGTTATGTGTATCTGATATTTTCATACCAAAATATATAAAAGAGCTCTATTTAATTGGCTTAAAGAAAAAGTGTTTAAAGTCATTAATTATAAAGCAAGCATATTTTTCCCCTAAATTTACTAGTCAAACAAGCTTATTACCTCTTAGATGTATAATAAAGCTATAAAGCCAACCAAAGAGCAAAATACATGAAAAAAAAAAAAATCTTGATACCTATCAGTCATGGTGATACAGAAGGGCTGGGCTCCTGGCTAAACCCAACCCATAAGCCTGGAACCTTGGCCCTAAGTGAAAACAGCTGACCCCGTTTTTTTCCAGCCAAATGTTGCCGTTTTTGGCCTGCCCTGCCCCTATCCTTTGCCGATGAAAGACTTCAGCTGGCAGAGCAACACAAGTGGCTGAATGTCAAGGATACAAGCAGCTGAGTGGTGAGCAGAGAAGCAGTGCGCGTCAGAGACTATGGATAGACACGGCTAACTTCAGGCGGTGCGGCTTCGGAGAGGAGCCCAGCCAGAGACGGCCGGGCTTCAGGGAAAGATCACCCTCCCATCCCCTTTCCAGCCTCCCTTTCTGCTGAGAGCCACCCACCGCTCAATAAAGTCTGCATTCATCACCTTTCTAACAGTTCATCGGACATGAACCCAGGTTCTGAGAGGGCAGGGTTTGCCACCCTGACCCTCCACTGACCTGGTTGGCACTTGGCCATCCCCGGATGGCAGAACTGAAAGAGCATTGGTCGTAACATGCTTGGACGCTGCTGCAGGGCCCACAAGAGCCTGCTCCCACCAGAGAAGAGTGACCAGTCGGTCCCAGGATTCATTTGCTCTGGTTCCTGCACTCACTCGCTTGCACGCTCCCTCCTGCCAAGAGTAGCCAGTGCGGGCTGAGTGGAATGAGCTACTCCAGTTTCCGCCCACGAAGGAGTTCAAGAGAACTAACCCGTCCCAATAGGAAAGGGAAAAAAAGCAGAGTGGAAGAACCATGTTTAACCTATTAATCTTTTTGCTTCTGTAATACTTATAGTTTCCTGATTTTTTTGAAAAATAACTTGAGGTGATGGCTAGCTTTGCTTAATGAACAACTCAAGCATAATTGTTAAAAATGAGTAAATTAGGTGTATGTAAATGGTATACAAATTGATAAATGAACTTTTCAGTTTTGAAAACCTTTTACCGTAACTTAAAGTCCTGTTATGATTAAGTAATATTCATGAACTGTCTGAGTCATTTCCAATTAAGTTAGAATACTGAAACATTAATTTGAACGTAACTTTAAATTTATTTTTGGCTTCTTAAATTTTATAGAAAGACTAAATATGGCTGGGTGCAGTGGCTCATGCCTGTAATCCCAGCACTTTGGGAGGCCGAGGTGGGCGGATCACGAGGTCAGGAGTTCCAGATCAGCCTGGACAACATGGTGAAACCCCGTCTCTACTAAAAATACAAAAATTTGCTGGGCGCGGTGGTGGGCTTCTGTAATCCCAGCTACTCAGAGGCTGAGGCAGGAGAATTGCTTGAACCCAGGAGGTGGAGGTTGCAGTGAGATCGCGCCACTGCACTCCAGCCTGGGTGACAGAGCAAGACTCTGTCTCAAAAAATAAGATAAAATAAAGACTGAATATATTTTAGTCTATTTAAAGAAAAGCTATGGAAAAATAAATATATTTTGGTCTGTTAATATGAAAAATTGTACTTTGAGAAAGTGCATATTTCTAGAAATTATGAAACTTAATTTATAGAATACTGATTCACAATTGCTAAGGATTAAAAATTCCAATAATAAAACTACTATAAAGGAATTCTGTATGCAAACTAAAGAAAGTAAGATGTGTTTTGGTGAGGAAAAAATAGAAGGATACTTTTTTCTTAAAAAGAATAATTTTGTCTAATTTGGAGGTTATTTAAAAGTTGTTTCAAAATAAGGATTTTGGAAGGAAATAGAAATGAGGTAGGGAGGAACCAGTAAGAGGGATGTCAAGAAAGTTACAAGTATGAAAACGTATGTTTGGCTTAAAAAAAAGTTGAAAAGAGAAAAAGTAATTTTTTTTTTGTATGAGGAAGAATTTGTGTTGTCAAAATGATAAGGGAAAAAGGAAAGTAAATTTTTGTCATAAAGTAGAATGATTGGTTGTTCCAATATGAAAAAGAAGGAAGTATAGAACAAAACTGAAGGTTTAAGCAAGTTGTACAAGATTTGAGCAAGTTCTAAGAGATCTGAGCAAGTTGTAGGTGTGTAGGAGATGAATCCTATGAAAAGAATTTTGTAGGCCAGGCGAGGTGGCTCACACTTGTAATCCCAGCACTTTGGGAGGCCGAGGTGGACGGATCACTTGAGGTCAGGAGTTCGAGACCAGCCTGGCCAACATGGCAGAACCACGTCTCTGCTAAAAATAAAAAAATTAGCTGGGTGTGGTGGTGCATGCCTGTAATCCCAGCTACTCGGGAGGCTGAGGCAGGAGAATCACTTGAACCCGGGAGGCAGAGGCTGCAGTGAGCCGCAACTGCGCCATTGCACTCCAGCCTGGGTGACACAGCAAGACCCTGTCTCAAAAAAAAAGAATTTTGTATGTGATCAAGTTGGCAAAAATTGGAAGGGAATTATTTATAGGGTTTTCTAAAAATTAAGCTTTGAGATCAAAAGTACACTAATACAAAACTAAAATTTAGTCCCCTATGTTAAAACAAGGTTTTCTTAGAGTATTCATCTTTTTTTTTTTTCCGGAGACCTTTTTTTGTATTAAATGTGTAAACAGTAGTCCTCATTTTACAAATTCAAAATCAGACAAATGTATGAGGGTGTATAATTGGTATATTTATAAACTGTATCACCCAAAAAACCACTGCGATCACAATCTATATTACATTCAACGTTTGCGTATTTACATGATACTTACTGCAAAGTAAATACAAAATGAACTCCCATCATCTTAGTTCAGAACACAGGTGATATAATTTCAGAACAAAGGCAGTTTTTTCAACAACAACAACAACAAAAAAACAGAAGTCTCCCAAGTACCAATTCGCTATTTTGTGGAAAAATACAGAAAGACTAATTATGAGTTCCATTCAGGTTTAGTCAGTAAGATATGTTGTTTGTTTTTTTTAGAGACAGGGTCTCACTCTGTCATCTGGGCTGGAGTGCAGTGGTGCAATTATAGCTCACTGCAGCCTCGAACTCCTGGGCTCAATGAGTCCTCCCACCTCAGCCTCCTAAAGCACTGGGATTACATACATGAGATACCACACTCAGTCTAGTAAGATATGTTTTTGTTATTGAAATACAGCTAAAGTTATAGATTTTAATCACCAAGATAACAGTACTTCTGGTTTATAATCGACCTTAAGATAGTGGATACTAATATATATACATTTTGACATTTTTTTAAAAAGTCTTCAAAACTTAATACAATTCTGAAAGTATATGTACCTTGCCATCCGTTCAATAAACATGATTTATTTTTATACAGGTCACAAAATTTCAATTAACTAGAATTCTATATCTATTGCCTGCCTGCTAGGTTTCAGTCTTAAGTCTGACTATATCAAAAACAGCAGTTCAGAATTTATTTCATAAAATTAATCCCAAAAGTTACTGGGTAGCTTTTAAAGTATTTTATTGTTTATAATACAACTCACTAGATAGTCTATACCGGTGGCTCCTGACATCAGAATTATCTGGGGAGCTCTTTAAAAAATACATGGGATCCACATCATAGCTAATTACACTAAAAGAATTGAGAATGTCTGTATTTTTTAATGTTCCCAGGTGATAATGCTGTGCAGCCTAGTGTGGGAAACCCTGACCTACCACTGAGCCTGTGGTTCTCAATTTTTCAGGTGCATTGGAATCACTGGGGGAAACTTTAAAAACTAAAAGCAAGGCAAAACAAAAAACCAGATGTGCTTCAGTAGATTGAGAGTAGTGTGCAGGAACCAGCATCTGAAACAACCATTGCAGTTGGTCCAAAATGACCCAGAAACACTGCACCCCCTCTGTCAGATATCACATTACAATGAGTACATTCAGCAATTTAGGTGACATTGTCCTGCAAGCCCTAATGAATCCTGCCCTAGGCAGTTTTAGCAAGTGTTTGAGGGCACCACTCAGCCTTTTCAAAGAAAATATATTTATACTCTTAAATATTAGGTCAAAGTCAACTGAATTGTGAGATCATCATTCATTAAAGAAGACAAATGCCCTTTCAAACAATTTAAACTTTTTTTTTTTTTTTTTTGAGACAGAGTCTTGCTCTGTCACCCAGGCCGGACGCCAATGGTGCCGTTTCAGCTCACTGCAACCTCCGCCTCCCGGGTTCAAGCAATTCTTCTGCCTCAGCCTCCCAAGTAGCTGGGACTACAGGTGCGTGCCACCACACCTGGCTAATTTTTGTATTTTTGGTAGAGATAGGGTTTCACTATGTTGGCCAGGCTAGTTTCGAACTCCTGACCTCATGATCTGCCCACCTCGGCCTCCCAAAGTGCTGGGATTACAGGCATGAGCCACCGTGCCTGGCCACAATTTAAACTTTTAAACAAACCAGTTCTTAGCCCTGAACTTAAATCCAATGCTTTCTCCATCATTAGCCTGATACGTGATCAGAGGTAGTGATTCCAGCTTACCAAAAATATAATGTGGATTATGGAAGATACACATTCATACACTTTTACAGGCTCTGCACAGTCCCTATGTAATAGAGATTGGAGACCAGTTGGATATTAAATAATACTGTAAAACAGTAAATAATACACTCTTGATTTTAAACAATGAAACCTCATAATATTTTCCTCACATAGTAAGTTTCTACATATAGTATCCAGAAAAAAATCTAGAAAACACTAAAGGTATCATGCTACCTCTTTGTGAAACTATTTACTAATTTTTCACCATCTCTATCATTATAAAGTGGGTCGTTGCTATACATCATTCCACTTCAAGAATTTTTTTTTTTTTTTTTTTGAGACGGAGTTTCGCTCTTGTTGCCTAGGCTGGAGTGCAGTGGCGCCATCTTGGCTCACTGCAACCTCTACCTCCTGGGTTCAAGCAATTCTCCTGCCTCAGCCTCCCGAGTAGCTGGGATTACAGGCATGTGCCACCACACCGAGCTAATTTTGTATTTTTAGTAGAAACAGGGTTTTACCATGTTGGTCAGGCTGGTCTCGAACTCCTCACCTCAAGGGATCCACCTGCCTCGGCCTCCCAAAGTGCTGGGATTACAGGCGTGAGCCACTGCGCCCGGCCTAGATGTAATCTTTGAACCCAAAAGCTTCAAAAGCAGTGACAACGACACTGGTTAGTAGAATCTATCTGGCATCTTGCTCACCTGAACTACACCTGAACTGCTGTTATTTCCTGTGCGTGCACTTTTCCATTATGTTCTTCACAAGGCTCACCTCTTTTCCAGGGGTAGATGTGATTAAACAGCTGGCATTTCTTCTTAACTAAGCAATGAAAAGACAATTACTAAAAATCAGCATTGTATTGCCAGAAACGCAAGCCAGTTCATAAAATAAGAACTGGAAAGTTTTAAATCTATATTCATTAAGAAGCTAAAAAATTCATTTGAATTTTTAACCACTTAGAGTCTAGACTCATAATAAACCATTTTCCAGTTTATAAATGATTCAAGGTCAAAATAGTACATTTTAAAATTAAATAAAATTTGAAAAACTTACATATAAATATCAAAAACAAAGCAGTATGATGTCTACTATTTAGGAAGAAAGGCATGGAGACACAGTAATCCTGGAATAAGGATTTCAAGATCTGACATAACGGTATAAGCCACTACCTCAACTTCAGTCTACACTTAAGCCATCTTAATCCAAATATAGGATAGGAGAAGAAAACACACAAACACAAATTGTCACGTCCTTTTAGCTGGTCTGGCAGTTAACTAATTTTCTCTTTCAAACTCCTCTCATTGCTGCTCTTTTTCCAACTCTTTTTTGCCTCCTTTGCTGCAGTTTAAGTCCTTTTTTTTTTTTTTTTTTTTTTTTTTTGAGACAGGGTCTTGCTCTGTCACCCAGGCTGGAGTGCAGTGGCACGATCTCGGCTCACTACAACCTCCGCCTCCCGGGTTCAAGAGATTCTCCTACCTCAGCCTCCCAAGTAGCTGGGACTACAGGCTTGCACCACCACGCTTAGCTAATTTTTGTATTTTTATTAGAGATGGGGTTTCACCATATTGTCCAGGCTGGTCTCGAACTCCTGACCTGAAGTGATCCGCCCACCTCAGCCTCCCAAAGTGCTGAGATTACAAGCCTGAGCTACCATGCCTGGCCTGTGCTCTTTTTTTAAAAATTTGATGTTTTTTTCATGAAGCATCAGCATCTCTTTTCTTATATTCACCAACTCGGCAGGATAGTATTTAGCCTCAGCAAACAAAGCATTAATATCCAACATAGAATGACAGTCTTTAAATTTTGAAATCTCTTGTTCCAGTGTGTCTGACAATACAACCTGGTTCTGTGTGAGCTCCTGGAGGGTTTGTTTTGATCTGTGCAGATCTGGCAGTTGCTCCACAGCCTTGTTTTATAGTCAAGTCCTCTATTAACCCTTCATCTAGAGAAGTGTCACTTAAACCCAGCGTGGGCTCCCGGGATTCCAGGCTGTTGGGTGGCCTTATCAGGGCCCCGTCCAAGGACAATGGCCCAAGGACACTCGTGTCCCTCCAGCTAGGAACAGGGAAGGGGCCTCATCTGCTTTTTTTTTTTTTTTTTTTTTGAGACAGAGTTTCACTCTTGTGCCCCAGGCTGGAGTGCAATGGCATAATCTCCACTCACTGCAACCTCCACCTCCCAGGTTCAAGCAATTCTCCTGCCTCAGCCTCCTGAGTAGCTGGGATTACGGGTGTGTGCCACCATGCCAGGTTAATTTTTGTATTTTTAATAGAGATTGGGTTTCACCATGTTGGTTAGGCTGGTCTCGAACTCCTGACCTCATGATCCGCCCACCTCGGCTTCCCAAAGTGATGGGATTACAGGCATGAGCCACCGTGGCCAGCCCTGTTTTTCAGATTTAAGAACACTTTTTTCTTTTAAGCTACCTATAGTTTACAACAATTTGATAAAGTTTATTTTTGTAAACAAAAATTGAAGGCCAAGGTGGGTGGATCACCTGAGGTCAGGAGTTTGAGACCAGCCTGGCCAACATGGCGAAACCCTGTCTCTACTAAAATACAAAAATTAGCTGGGCGTGGTGGCACATGCCTGTAGTCCCAGCTACTCGGGAGGCTGAGGCAGGAGAATCGCTTGAACCCAGGAGGCAGAGGTTGCAGTGAGCCAAGATCACGCCACTGCACTCCAGCCTGCGTGACAGAGTAAGACTCCGTTTAAAAAAAAAAAAAAAAAATTGAAACATTTGCTTTTTCTTCCTACCTTATCCTCCAGAATTTGGAAACTATTCATGAGTATTCTTATTTTTATGGCAATCTGGTTATTCACATAAGTTCAATAAGCATTTGCTTGCTTTATAACAGGATACAATTGACAACACTGGTTAAAATACTAAGGCTTTGACTGGACTGTCATATTTGAGAATGCGCATAAAATGCCTGCTTTCAAGGGTTCCCAGCCTTACAGTGTGGAAAAAAAGTCACTCTCAAGATATTAGATACTGCAGGCAAAGTCTGATGTCTGCCTTAGTTTGGCTTTTTATTATTGAGTGGTTTTAATTTTAATTTTAATTTTATTTTATTTTTGAGACAGTCTCGCTCTGTCGCCCAGGCTGGAGAGCAGTGGCACAATCTCGGCTCACCGCAACCTCCGTCTCCCGGGTTCAAGCAATTCTCCTGTCTCAGCCTCCTGAGTAGCTGGGACTACAGGCACGTGCCACCACGCCCGGCTAATTTTTGTATTTTTTAGTAGAGATGGGGTTTCACAATGTTGGCCAGGTTAGTCTCAAACTCCTGACCTCAGGTGATCCACCCACCTCGGCCTCCCAAAGTGCTGGGATTACAGGCGTGAGCCACCGCGCCCGGTCTATTATTGAGAGGTTTTAAAAAGTCCAGTGTGGGACTCCTTACAAAATTTCCAACCAAGCAGCTTTTAAAAGAACCTAAGTGATTATTCTTGCTGCGTTTATGTAAAACAACCAGGCCAAGTTTAATGAGAGTAAACTTATTTTGCAAACAAATTAGTTTACCTCTGATTAGTAGGAATGAGAGTGACTGTAGAGAGAAAAATTGTGTTTCAGAAGAACAAATGTAGTACCCCGTTACTAGATCATAGCCCTGTTCACTGTGTTTGAGTTTTTATTATCTACTTGTAGACTGGACTTGTTTCTGAATTCTAGTTTCCTCCAATAACTGGCTATAAAACTCCAACTAAGAACAAAAACTGCTCTGTTCCTAAAGCCCTATAAGCTGAAGCTGAACAACTCATTGTAAATTTGGGAAGGGACAAGTCTCATGCCTGATGTGTGGGCCACACAAAGAGTTCACCAGAATGCCCAATGTTACAACCAGAAACATTGAAACTGCAAACCAGGATGCGAAGCTGCCAACTTCACACTGTGGACAGCTTTCCCGAGACAATCGGAAGAAGCCTCCCTATCCTAAGACTCTTACTCCTCTGAATTTTTCTTTGCTTATTCTTACCTCTTTCACTTGGCAGAATGATGCCGTAGTTAGAATTTCAGTCAGTAGCTTTTGCAGGTCACTTGCAAATGGTCACTCTTTGCTTTAATTTCACCCAGTCATGGGATGGCGGATAATAAAATTGCTGCCTACTGCCATCTGTACAGTTGCTAACACTTCTTGTTGCTCAGGGATAAATCCATCAGGTATTGGAGACTCAGTTGCAAAAATTAACAGGCTACTTGGTTATGATGGTAGACCCCTCATCTGGCTCCTTCTTTGATCTACTTAATTTTAGTTGGGTTGGTTTATGGGAACCTTGGCTAAGAACCATACTCCAAATTCTAGGTATTATCCTCCTGATAGTTACAATAGTAGTCTCCGTAGTGCACTGTATCCTCTCAAAAAGTTTTAAATGTTTGAACACAGCCATTTGTCAAGCATGAAATGGTCTCTCATCTGCTGGAATGACAGAAACTCAGAGAAGTGTGTGATCATGAAGATACCATCACCTGTGATTGATATATTGAGACTAGAAACCCAGATGATGGTAACTGAGAGCAGCGCTGATGCCCTAAGTTTTGGTGGCACTCTCACCTAGGGGAGAGCCTGATCAAAAGAGGAGAAAGGTGTTAAACAAAAATCTGGAGGAGGCCATTGTTTTCAACTAAGCAACAAACAGACCAGACTAAAAATCAAAGTGGAGTCACTCATGCTGAAGTGCCACATCACCAAACCAAAAATGAGTTGTTAGCTGGCCTTCCAAAAAATCAGGATAGTGAAACAGCCTCATTTCCCAAATGGGCCAATTTCCACCCAAGTGATAATGAAGTTCCCTCTGCCTTTAATCCTTAAAACAAAAAGTAATCTGAAACTGGCCGGGCACGGTGGCTCATGCCTGTAATCCCAGCATTTTGGGAGGCCGAGGCCGGTGGATCACTTGAGGTCAGGAGTTTGAGACCAGCCTGGGCAACACATGGTGAAACCCCATCTCTACTAAAAATACAAAGTTAGCCAGGCATGGTGGCAGGCACTGTAATCCCAGCTACTCAGGAGGCTGAGGCAGGAGAATCACTTGAACCCAGGAGGCGGAGGTTGCAGTGAGCTGAGTTCATGCCACTGTACTCCAGCCTGGGCAAAACTCCGTCCCCCCGCCAAACAAAAAAACAGGAAAAAAAAAAGTAAGGAAAAGAAAATGTAATCTGAAGTAACCTGGTGTTAACCAATCAATTCCAATCAGTTATTTGTCTAGTGTTCTGTTTCTCTGTTTCTACCTTACAAGGAAAGTAACTTGGAGGAGACCAATCTGCTTTCACTCTTTGGTTCCGCTTTGCTTTCTTCAGCTTTTCTCTGTCCATACCAACCTCCTCTGCTCAACTCATTGGAACACTTACTCTAATTTTATGGAATGAAGTGTTGCCTGATTCTAGAATCACAAAGCCAAGTAAGATCTTTAAATTGTAATGTTGCCGTGAGCCACCACGCCCGGCCCCATGGACTATTTTCTATGGAAAAATATAACTCAAGAACAAAAGGAGTGTCTGAAGAGACATATAACCATTAAAGAAAGTGATGGCTTTGTAATTGTGTCAGTTTGGCTAGGCTGAACTACCTTTCTCAGAATTCCCTCTCTTGTATGTTTCTGGTTAGGGTGGGCCAGGAGATTTGGGAGGTAAAAGGAAAGGAGTTGCTATTTTGCAGCTTACACATGCTGTGGCTGATCTGCAGATTCACCTCATTGGTGTGAAACAGTAGCTAGGCCTGCAATTGCTCTACCTACCCCTGGATCCTATCAGCTTCTCTGATTTCTGGGCTGTGTACATGTGTTTAGCTCCATGACCGAAAGCCTTGGCTTCTGCAGGGCAACTCGATGACCAAGGTCAGAGATGGTAAGAAAGGACACAGGCTTCAGTTCATTTTTGTGGGGTGCCAGCTTGTGCTTGTGGGTTTTAGCCTGCTCGTGATCTTCCTTCCTGACTACCTGCCCTGTAGACTTTGAGCTCCAGCATCAGATATGGAGACCACATCTGGTTTCTACTGGTTATCTACCTATAAATCATCAATCACCTATCTGCCTACCTACCTATCTGTATCTTCTTCTGGTTCTGCCTCTGGTTGAACCCAGACTGACACAGAATTTGGTACTGAGAGTAGTTCCAGAAGAACAGAATCTTAAAGATAAGTGCTCTGAATTGGTTCTGGGTTTTCTGAAATTGGTTCCCTACTCTGATTTGATTTAAAGGTACGAGTAGCCCTGTTTCCAGTGCTAAAGAGGTACTTGTACTCCACAGTGTGAAGTGGCAAAATAGTTACTCAAATTATCACCTTCAGATACTTGCGATCAAGTACCTATAGAAGGCAAACCTCTAGGAGAACAAGTATTTGCTACTTTTAACATTTTAGTCAAAAGGATGAGTATAATAGGGTTGGTTGGTTGGTTGTTTACTGAAGAACTTGGGTAAAGAAAGTGATCAGCTCAAGGTCTACATAAAGGACCTGAATGTTTCTAAAACTACCAGGAAAGAAACTCTTATCTCCTATAGCCACAAGGCTTAGATTTCTGAAAGCCAAACCCGAAGTCTAATCCTGTGAATGCTTGAATGACAATACAAATTGAACTCCCAACCTCTTAGGGTATGTTGCTGAAAGGACAATGATTGGGAAGGAATGGCAGCCTGAAAATTGGAATGGAGACCGGTTAGAAATGCTTGTTCCCCGGTGCCGTAAACAACCAGCACTTGAACATAAATTTAATTTCCTCAGCAAGGCCATTTTTTCACTTTCTGCAGAAAGGGTACACTCGCCAGCAATTTTGCTGTAAGAGTACACCGAACAGAGGAGACAGGGTCATTTAACCTGACGTGTCCACCCTACTGCTGTGTCTGGTTTCCATTGGCTGGAATGGGACCTCAAATTCTGTATTTGTCCTGACTGGCTAGCAACTTAAACTTTTTTGTGTGTGTGTTTTTTTTTTTGTTTTTGAGACGGAGTCTCGCTCTGTAACCCAGGCTGGAGTGCAGTGGCACAATCTTGGCTTACCCCAGTCTCCGCCTCCTGGGTTCAAGTGATTCTCCTGCCTCAGCCTCCCGAGTAGCTGGGACTACAGGCGCATGCCACCATACGTGGCTAATTTTTTTGTATTTTTAGTAGAGACAGGGTTTCACTGTGTTAGCCAGAATGGTCTCAATCTCCTGACCTTGTGATCTGCCCGCCTCAGCCTCCCAAAGTGCTGGGATTACAGGCGCGAGCCACAACGCCCGGCCTGCAACTTAGAACTTTCTAAAAGAGGGAAAGGCAGAGGAGAACAAAGGAAGGAGGAAGTAACTTGTGGAATGCTGAGAAAGGTAAAAACACCTTCAAATAAGGAAGAGGAACAGGATATGACCTAATGCTTGCTTGGGCCAGTATAAGCATGCCAGGGCAAATATTTAGGCTAAATTGTGGAAGCTAAGAACATAAAGTACATTGATTTCTTTATTACGGCTAGCAGATATTTAAGAATGTTAGCACAGGTCTTTGAATAAATTTTGCTTCTAAGAGAAGTTACTATTTATTCCTAATTAGATGGGGAGGAAAGTCTTTGAAGAGGAACCTCTAGTTTACTGTTTCCAGGACCCACCAGCAGATTTTGATTCTTATTTTCCTTTCCTGGAGAAGCAGCCCTGCCATCCCTGCCTGAGGAGGGTACTTTTCCCCTTTTGGGGCCTGGAGGACCTGTAATGGCCTCCCCTGAATTAGTTGCCTTACAAGGCACTACTGATCCTTCTCAAGTCCTACCCCCACCACCTCTCTCTATTTGGATGTGCTTCTATGAGCCTATATGGAAGATCAGAAGTGCTCGAAGGACTCAAGAGCATTGAAATGGTAAATGTGTGAGTAAAATCTAAATGAATAATAACCTCTTATAAGAGTTAAAATAAGAGTAAAATTACAGAGACTAAATGATAACAATAGTTAGTACATAAGTTGATGAGAGAATAAATGGAGTTAAAGGGTTCTAAGGTCTTTTTATTGTCTAAAAACACGGTCAAAGCAACAATTAACATTAGATTGTGATGTCAAGAATGCATGTTGTAATCTCTAGAATAACTGGTTTAAAAAAATAGTAAAGGTATATAATTTCCAATCTATAGAGAGATGGAATAATAACAATTTTAAAAAGAAGTCAAAAGGGAAAAAGAATATAGAAGAGATAAGCCAAACAGTAATATGGTAGATTTAAATCCAAATATTCAGTATAAATTGATTAATTATCCCTGTCACGGAAACTATCACCTTTGATGGTTTAGGACCACTTCCAACTAAACAAACTCAGGCCTCTGGAGGAAGGCCTAGTCATCCCAATTAAATTCATCATAAAGTAGCCAGCCCCAGCTAACCCACCAGCCAACTGAAGATGCATGAATGAGTTCAGCTGAGATTACCTGAACCCATCCAGGCCAGAAGAACTGCACAGTTGAAGCTAGCCCAAATTGCTGATGTACAAAGTTATGGTCTTATGAACCCCCAAAATTTGAGACAGGTCTCAGTTAATTTAGAAAGTTTATTTTGCCGAGATTGAGGGCACGTGCCCATGACACACCCCCAGGAGGTCCTGATGACATGTGCCCAAGGTGGTCAGAGCACAGCTTGGTTTTACACATTTTAGGGAGACATGAGACATCGATCAACACATGTAAGATGAATATTGGTTTGGTCCAGAAAGGGGACAACTCGAAGAGAGGAGGGGGCTTCTACATCACAGGTAGGCTAGAGACAAACGATTGCATTCTTTTGAGTTTCTGATCAGCCTTTCCAAAGGAGGCAATCACATATGCATTTATTTCAGTGAGCAGAGGGATGACTTTGAATAGAATGGGAGGCACGTTTTCCCTAAGCAGTTCCTAGCTTAGTGATTTTGGGGACCCAAGATACTTCCCTTTCACAGTCCAAATAAGTGATTGCTGGGTTTTTTGTTGTTGTTGTTAGTTTGTTTGTTTTGAGATGGAGTTTCGCTCTTGTTGCCTAGGCTGTAGTACAATGGCGTGATCTTGGCTCACCACAACCTCCGCCCCCCCAGTTCAAGCGATTCTCCTGCCTCAGCCTCCCGAGTAGCTGGGACTACAGGCATGCGCCACCACGCCTGAAGGGGTGGCCTGCCCCTCCGCACCTGTGGGCGTTTCTCGTCGGGTGGGGCGAGAGACTGAGAAAAGAAAGAGACACAGAGACAAAGTATAGAGAAAGAAAAGTGGGCCCAGGGGACCGGTGCTCAGCATACGGAGGACCCGCACAGGCACCAGTCTCTGAGTTCCCTCAGTATTTATTGATCATTATCTCTACCATCTCGGAGAGGGGGATGTGGCAGGACAATAGGGTAATAGTGGGGAGAGGGTCAGCAGGAAAACATGTGAACAAATGTCTCTGTGTCATAAACAAAGTTAGAAAATGTGCTGTGCTTTGATGTGCACATACATAAACATATCTGGTGCATTAAAGAGCGGTATTGCCGCCAGCATGTCTCACCTCCAGCCTTAAGGCGGTTTTCTCCTGTCTCAGTAGATGGAACATACAATCGGGTTTTACACCGAGACATTCCATTGCCCAGGGACGAGCAGGAGACAGATGCCTTCCTCTTATCTCAACTGCAAAGAGGCCTTCCTCTTTTACTAATCCTTCTCAGCACAGACCCTTTACGGGTGTCAGGCTGGTGGACGGTCAGGTCTTTCCCTTCCCACGAGGCCATATTTCAGACTATCACATGGGGAGAAACCTTGGACAATACCTGGCTTTCCTAGGCAGAGGTCCCTGCGGCCTTCCGCAGTGTTTGTGTCCCTGGGTACTTGAGAGTAGGGAGTGGTGGTGACTTTTAACAAGCGTGCTGCCTTCAAGCATTTGTTTAACAAAGCACATCCTGCATAGCCCTAAATCCATTAAACCTTAAGTCGACACAGCACATGTTTCTGCGAGCACAGGGTTGGGGGTAGGGTTACAGATTAACAGCATCTCAAGTCAGAAGAATTTTTCTTAGTACAGAACAAAATGGAGTCTCTTATGTCTATTTCTTTCTACATATGCCCAGCTAATTTTGTATTTTAGTAGAGATGGGGTTTCTCCATGTTGGTCAGGCTGGTCTTGAACTCCCGACCTCAGGTGATCAGCCTGCCTCAGCCTCCCAGAGTGTTGGGATTACAGGTGTGAACCGCTGTGCCCGACAGTTGCTGTTTTTAAGACATTGAATTTTAGAGTAGTTTATAATGTGGCAAAAACTAAATTATAAGGAAAAGGATATCTACAAGTGGAGTGCTATCCTAACAAAAACTGAAATATGTGTCAGTAATTTTAGGACAAGGTGTTAGTGTGCCTGGACCAAACTGAGGATCGGGCTGCTATTTCTTGTGGCCCAATAACGAGATGCAGTTGAACTGGAGAGGAAGAGAGTTCTTATTTCTGCAACTGGCTACAGGGAGAAGACCTGGAAATTATGGCCAGGCCAATTCAAAATTACAAAGTTTTCCAGAGCTTATATACCTTCTAAGCTGTATGCCTACGTGTAAGTGTGCACTCATCTAAAGACATAAGTGATTAACTTCTTTTAATCTGTAACTAAGGTCTGAGTCCTGAAGACCTTCCTCTGGAGCCTCAGTAAATTTACTTAATCTAAATGGGTCCAAGTGCTGAGGTGATTACCCGTATCTTGTCTCCTGCTAAATCACGGAGGTTTGGGGAGTTCCTTCAGACCCCCAGTAAACTTGTTTGCAGAGGCCTGGGGAGTTTCTTCAGACCCACAATAAAACATGTTTAATCCTAAATGGGTCCTGTTAAGAATTCCTTCGTTATTTTGTCATGCTTTAAGGCCCAGGGAAGGGCTAGGCAAAACTCTTGGTGGGCTTTTGTTACATTCCAGCCTTTGTATAAGGGCACTGGCTTTTTAGCTTTTAATATTTAACTTAACCACTCAGTCAGTATTGAAACAGTTGTTATGGAGGCCTGTGTTAGTGAGACTTGGCCTGCCACATTAGGGCAGAGGCTGGAAAAGCAGTGAGGAAACAGCAAAACCTGGAAAATTAGCTAGGAAACTGCTATTGCAGGCTACAAAACATGGTTACACATGTTATGTGGTTTTGAAACAATTTCCAAAAGTGTAGTTTATGATAATATGGAAGATGGAAAAGCTTCTTAATGAAATTTGGATTTGACTAAGGAGGTCTACAGGCAAAATGTTGAAAGTGACAGCTGATTGGTCCTAGCTGTGTATAATAGAGTATAAGAAAAGAGAGATGAGCCAAAGCAAAAACTGTTCAGTTTTCAAGCAGGATTTATGAGGAATATAAAGGGGCCAGGGCAGGCTGAGTTGGAAAATAAAAGTACTTTTAATCTCTATCATCCAGCTAGAAGATTTTCAAAGTAAATGAAAACCTGAAGTCAACTTCTACTTCTGGCCAACATGGAGTAACAGGGACCAGATGTATCCTCCTGATACAACAAAAACAAAAGACAGAATATCTGAAACAATTATTTCCAAAACACTGCACATCAGGCACTAAAGAATAGTCATCCTGGAGAGATGAGAAATGAATGAGGTAAACCCTACAATTGCTCCAGCTTACTCCCTTCAGAGAGTTTACAGGCTGTGGCACAGGGAGGGGAAACTCAGGCAAAGCCAGAAGAATCCCTAAATTGGGAGTCCAAGGTGGCTAGAGTTTGTAGGACATAGTCCTGAAGAGGAGACAGCTGCACAGAGAGAGAACTCTGGAAATCTGCAGAGGCTTCCCCTCAAGTTTTTAGCAGAAGGCTGAGCAGGGCATGCACATGAGGAAATTACCTGAGGCCAGGGAAAGAACCACCCGCTGCTCACTTAGGGCCCAGAATAAAGCCTTGTCCCACTAATTAGTGTGGAAAATCTCCTGATTTTTGGAGCATTGGATAGAGTACTCCAAAGGACCTTGCCTCAGTGGTGGGGAATAATTAGCTTTAGACTAAATACTGTTCTCATTCCATATAATTCACCTTATTAACAAACCAAAAAAATCATATGAGTATCGCAGTAAACATAGATGTTGAATAAAATCCAACATCCATTTCTGATCAAACTTCTCAGCAAACTAGAAACAGAAGGAAAATTCCTTAACCTAATAAAGGGCATATATGAAAAACCTACAGCTCTGGCCAGTATAATCAGTTAAGAGGAAGAAATAAAGACATCCAGATTTGAACAGAAGAAGAAAAATTATCTCTATGTGCAGATGACATGATCTGATGGACTGTACAAAAGAGCTACCAGAACTAATAAGCTAGTTTAGCAAGTTTGCAGGATATAAGATCAATATATAAAAATCAGTTTTACTTCAATATACTCACAACGAACAATCAGAAATTGGAATTTAAAAACCAATACTGGCCGGGTGCAGTGGCTCACGCCTGTAATCCCAGCACTTTGGAAGGCCGAGGTGGGCGGATCACCTGAGGTCGAAAGTTCGAGACCAGCCTGACCAACATGGAGAAACCCTGTCTCTACTAAAAGTACAAAATTAGCCAGGCGTGGTGGCACATGCCTATAATCCCAGCTACTCGAAAGGCTGAGGCAGGAGAATCACTTGAGCCTGGGAGGCGGAGGTTGCGGTGAGCTGAGATTGCACCATTGCACTCCAGCCTGGGCAACAAGAGCGAAACTCCATCTCAAAACAAACAAACAAAAACCAACAACAACAATAGCAAAACCAATACTATTAAAAAGAGCTTCGAAAAATGGAATATTTAGCAATAAATGTGACAAAGTATTTGCAAGTTGTGCACTAGAAGCTACAAATATTGCTGAGGGAAATTAAAGAAGATCTAAATAAATCTTGAGATATACTGTGTTGAGTCAGAAGACTCAATAATGTGAAGATCCCCAACCATTCCCAGTTTATTAATCCATAGATTCAACACAGTCCCAATGAAAATCCCAGCAGCCTTTTTTTAAAAAATAGAAATCAACAGACTAATTCTAAAATTCATATGAAAACGCAAAGGAACTAGAATAAGCAAAACAACATTGACAAAGCAGAACGAATTTAGAGAACTAACACTCTACCTTATTTCAAGATGTATTATAAAGCTCTACTCATTAAACGGTGTGGTATTGGTGTAAAGATAAATAAATAGGTTAATAGAACAGAATGGAGTCCAGAAATAGATCCATACATGTGTGGACGACAGACTTTTTGTGTTTTTGCTTTGTAAATAATCTGTTTATTTTAGAATAGATTTAGGTTTATAGAAAAGTTGTAGAGATAGTACAGAGAGTTCTACATACCTCAGACCCAGTTTCCCCTATTCACGTCTTACATTGGTATGGTAAACTTGCCACAATTAATGAGCCAATGTTGATGCATTATTATTATTATTATTTTGAGATGGAATTTTGCTCTTGTTGCCCAGGCTGGCGTGCAGTGGTGTGATCTTGGCTCACTGCAACCTCTGCCTCCTGAGTTCAAGTGATTCTCCTGCCTAAGCCTCCCAAGTAGCTGGGATTACAGGTGCCTGCCACCACGCCCGGCTAAATTTTTTTGTATTTTTAGTAGAGACACACCACGCCTGGCTAATTTTTGTATTTTTGGTAGATGGGGTTTCACTGCATTGCCCAGGCTGGTCTCGAACTCCTGACCTCAGGTGATCTGCCTGCTTTGGCCTCCCAAAGTGCTGGGATTATAGGTGTGAGCCACCGCGCCTGGCCTTGATGCATTATTATTAACTAACGGAGGGGTCCCCAGTCCCTGGACTGCGGACAGGTACTAGTCTGTGGCCTGTTAGCAACTGGTCCGCACAGCAGGAGGTGGGTGGCAGGTGAGCTTGCATTACCGCCTGAGTTCCCCCTCCTGTGGGATCAGTGGCAACATTAGATCCTCATAGGAGCACGAACCCTATTGTGAACTGTGCATGTGAGGGATCTAGGTTGCGTGCTCCGTGTGAGAATCTATCTAATGCCTGGTGATCTGAGGTGGAACAGTTTCCCCCCACCCCAGTCTGTGGAAAACCATCCCCCGACCCCAGTCTGTGGAAAAATTGTCTTCCACCAAACCGGTCCCTGGTGCCAAAAAGGTTGGCAACTGCTGAACGAACGCATACTTTATGCAAATTTTCTTAGCTTCCACTTCATGTTATTTCTCTGTTCTAGGATCCCATCTAGGATACGGCATTACCTACATTCAGTCATCTCGTCTCCTTGGGCTCCTCTTGATTGTGACAGTTCCTTTTTTTTTTTTATAATCTTGGCAGTTTCGAGGTGTACTGCTCAGGTATTTTGTAGAATCTCCCTTGACTAGGATTTGTCTGATGTTTTTCTCTTGATTAGATTGGGGTTGTGTGTTTGGGGAAGGAAGACCACAGAGGTTAAGTGCCATCCTGGTGGCATTTTAGGATGCAAAAATTGTCAACTCATTCTATGAAGCCAGCATTATTCTGCTTGAATAAATTATATCAAGGATACCTACTATCAATATGATGTATCACTGATAATGGTACCAATTTTTCTAGAGTCAACACTTGTAAGTCTGTTTGGTGACCTGTGTCACATTCCAGCATGCAGAGAGACTGAGGTCTCTCAACCCAAACAGAAAGGAACCCAAGCATAGAACTAGACACACCCACTGTATGTACCTACTATGTGTTGGCTGCTGTATTTGGCAGTTTACATGAATGATCTCATTTTATCCCATAAGAGAGATGCCAGTATCTTCTTTGTTCCACCCACGAGGAAAATGAAGATCAGAGAGGTTAAGTACCTTGCCCAAGGTTGACCACCACAGCATAATCTTATTATGGGCCACCATCTCTCTCAGTTGCAGCCAAATGGAGGCAGTGCCAAAATTAAGAGTGTGTTCATGGGCAACAGCTGGAAGACCTTGCCCTAGTGCCCATCAGAAGGGCCAGTAGCTGAGGCGGGGCAGGCAGGTGTCAGTCGGACCCGCTCGGTGGTCAGCAGTGGTGGTAGTGGGGCTGGAGTAAGGAGCCTCTGGGCTCAGGTCACTGAATGGGGCTGTCAAAAGCAATGCTAGATCCTCTTAGGTAAGAACTGGGGCAAGCAGGTCTCAAGGCCAAGGTCTAGCTAGAGGTAGGATACACAGTGAGAGCAGGATCAAAGGCCAAGTCCACTTGACCCACGGTCAGCTCAGCTCTCCAAGCTGCCCCTGCCTGAAAGTGATGCCCTATTCCTGGGCAGGAAGAGCCTAGAGGCCTGTGGACCAGAAGCCGGGCAGAGTCTCATGCCCAGGCGCGTTCTCCCTCTCAGCTGGCCCGCAAGCTCTCTTAAGCCGATTAGGTGCTTTTTTCTACTCTCTGTTTCTCTCTCAAAATAACTTTACTGAGGGATATTTTGGATCCTATAATTCACCCTTTTCAAGTGTACAATTCAATAATGTTTTAGTAGATTTCCTAAGTTAGGAAACCATCACCATAAATCAGTTTGAGAACACTTTCATTAGATCAATAGGATCCCTCGCGCACACTTCTGGTTAACCCTCCTACTGCTCTCACCCTGCCCCACCCCATCCACTCTCCAAGCAACCATGAACCTACTTTCTGCCTATAGATTTGTCTTTTCTGGATAACTCACATAAATGGAACCCAACAATATGTGGTCTCTTGTGTCTGGCTTTCTTCACTGAGCATAACGTTTTTGAAGTTCATCTGTATCATAGCACATATTCATAGTTCATTCCTTTTTATTGCTGACTAGTATAGCACTGTATGGATATAGCACATTTTGTTTATCCACTCATCAGTTGATGAACATTCATTTGCTCTGTCGCCCAGGCTGGAGTGCAGTGGCACGATCTCTGCTCACTGCAACTTCCACCTCCCGGGTTCAAATGATTCTCCTGCCTCAGCCGCCCAAGTAGTTGGGATAACAGGCATGTGCCACCACGCCCGGCTAATTTTTTTTGTATTTTTAGTAGAGACGGGGTTTTGCCCTGTTGGCCAGGCTGGTCTTGAACTCCTGACCTCAAGTGATCCGCTTGCCTTGGCCTCTCAAAGTGCTGGGATTACAGGTGTGAGCCACTGCGCCCGACCTGTTTCTACTTTTTGACTGTTATGAAAACTGCCGCAAAGAACATTCAAGTTGCAAGTATGTGCATGGATATACGTTTTCATTCTCTTGTCCAACCCTCTCTCTTTAGCTTCCATTTCTTTTTTATTGGGTTTCTTCTACACTTTCTACTTCTAAGATTATCCTTCCTTTCTTCAGCTTCCTCACTGGCTTCCTGTTGTCTTCAGCATTAAACTCAAACCCCTTAGTGTGGTCGGAGAAGGTGCCTTCCTCCCCATTCAATCTTATCTCTTGCCACTCTCTTTTTGAAGTGAAGAGGTGTATCACTTACAGAATGGAGACACACTGAGACACAAGTCTAGAAATTATTTCTCACGTGTTCTAATGTTACTCATTGCCAGTCCCCCATATAAGATAATCTGCACTAATGATAACATATTCTTGATTTGATATAGTAACTAAATGACCACTTTGGTTTTTGTTTGTTTGTTTTTGTTTTTGAGATGGAGTCTCACTCTTGTCACTCAGGCTGGAGTGTAGTGTTGCAATCTTGGCTCACTGCAACCTCCACCTCCGAGGTTCCAGCAATTCTCCTGCCTCAGCCTCCTGAGCAGCTGAGATTACAGGCACCCACCACCACGGCTGGCTACTTTTTGTATTTTTGGTAGAGACATGCTTTCACCATGTTGGCCAGGCTGGTCTCGAACTCCTGACCTCAGGTGATCTGCCCACCTCGGCCCCCCAAAGTGCTGGGATTACAGGAATGAGCCACCGCACCTAGCCAGCCTTTACTCATTTTTCTAATGGCTGGTTGTATTTTTCTTATTGATTTCTAAGAACTTTAAAAACGCTTCTCGATACCAATACTTTGTTCTTTATTTGTGAAGCAGATGTCTTCTTCTAGTCTGTGACTTGATTTTTCACTCTTTTTCTGGCATCCATTTTCAAGTAGACGTTTTAAATTGTTATTTGTCCTGTTTGTCAGTCTTTTTCTTTATAATTTGTGCTTTTTGTGTCTTGTTTACAAACAAATCCTTTTCACTCCTGGAAAGATCAGAAAGATACAGTTGATCCTCATTATTCATAGATTTTGTATTTGCAAATTTGCCTACTTGCCAAAATCAGTATCTTCAGTGACCACATGCAAAAGTAGTGAAAAAATCTGAGTCACGCACATTCCCAGCTGAGGTGGAACAAGGTGACACTCTGCCTTCTTGTCTCAGCTGTCAAACTGTAAACAAGTGTCCTTCTTGAGGCACATTTAGTGCCACCGTTTCCACATTTTTGTGCTTTTTGTGGGTGACTTTGCTGTTTAAAATGGCCCCCAAGCATAGATGGAAGTGTTGTCTGGCACTCCCAAGCGCAAGGAAGCTGTGATGTGCCTTACAGAGAAAACACGTGTTAGAGAAGCTTCCTTCAAGCATGAGGGATGGCCCTGTTGGCCGGGAGTTTAGTGTTCAGGAATCAGCAATACAATTCAATGAGATGCCTTTCAACAGAAACATACACAAAACAAGGTTCTGGATTGATAGGGTGATGAAAATGTCGTGACCAGAGGCTCACGGGAACCCTACCCTGTGTTTCCCTTAAGAGCAATGGTTCAGTATTTGCTAATTCAGTGTTCACAGCGAGTTTATAGAACACAGCTATTGTGAATAATGAGAATCAACTGTATCCTCCAAAGGTTTTTTTTAAATTTTGCTTTTCAAGAGCATTTAGCTCTCTCATCCACTAGAAATGATTTTAAGGTATGATGTGGGAGCACAGTTTATTGAACAGTTCATTCTTTCCTACTCATTTGTAAGGCCGCCTCTGCCATACAGTAAGCTTCCATATCCACATGGGTCTGTTTTTAGGCCTTGTGATCCACTGGTCTCTTTGACTATCTTCTCACTAATATCTCATGTATCACATACTATAGGTTTGTAATAGTATTTTTTTTTTTTTAGATGGGGTCTCACTCTGTCATCCAGGCTGGAGTGCAGTGACATGATCATGGCTCACTGCAGCCTCAAGCCCCCTAGGCTCAAGCAGTCCTCCCACCTCAGCCTCTCAAGTAGCTAGGACTACAGGCACACACCACCACACCCGGCTAACTTTTTTATTATTTGTAGAGACAAGGTCTCACAATGTTGCCCAGGCTGGCCTTAAACTCCTGGGCTCAAGTGATCTTCCTGCCTCAGCCTCCCAAAGTGCTGGGATTACAGGCATGAGCCACAGTGCCTGTCTATAATAGTCTTGATATCTGGTAGTATGAGCCCCATCCCCATTACCTTTATTCTTTAACATTTTTTTTTTTGGCCCTTTGGCACTTTGTACAGATTTTAGGATCAGTTTGTGAATTCTGTAAAATCCTCTGTTGGATTTTGATGGGAACTGCATTAAATTTATAAGCTAATCTGGAGAAAGTTGCCACCTTCGCTATATTGAGTCTTCCCATCTGTGAAATGGTACATTTTTTCAATCATTTTAGTCTTCTCTAATGTCTTTCAGTGAAGAATTTATTATCATCCCTATAATCTTGTTTAAAAAACGTATTCCCTGATACATTATGGGGTTACTGTTCTATTTGATGTTTCTTCAATCCTTCTTGTCCTTTTTCCATAGAGTTTAGTTCTATTAGGATCTGATTGTGTCTTATCTAGTCTGCAGTTACTTTATATGTATTTTTAAAATAATCTCTTTCTGGTTATCTGTGTGCATTTGGAGTTTGTGGGGGTATAATTGTATGTTTGTACTATGTGCAGACTGTTGATTGAGTTGGATTAGTCACCAATGGGCTTTGTAATATTCTACTGTGAACTCATCATTAGCAGGGTTTATTTTTTTGTGTGTGAACATTCCATGATATTTGGGATGTGGGAGCTTCAATTCAAAGAAGTTTTTTGTTTGCTTCTGCCTTGTGCCCCAGGAGTATCACTGCTTGATGAATAATTCTCACGGTACTTTTTAGTCTGGAGTTTCTGAACTATGTGGGTAGAGTAAAAGCAATGTGAATTGTGGTCTTGTGGTTTTGACTTCTCAGAGAGCTTTTATTTTTTTCCCACCAAAAGCCCTGTGTCCTGTGGTCCCTCTTGTTTTTAAATCCTTTCATTTATAGAATAGTTATTTGAGGGTCTCAGCTGTAAGCAAAGCTCTCTGGGCAATTCCCTAGCTCCCAGAGCCCCAAAGCCTCATTTCCTGCCCCTGTGTGGGCATTCATTCCCAAACCCCCAGGCTCTGCAGACAGTTGCTCCCCATTAACTCAGGCACTCACCCTTCTGCTTTTTCATTTCCTTCTTTGTTTCTGGCACCCGGGGATTTGATTTTATTATTTGTGGGCCTAGCTCTACATTTAAAATAGTTAAGTTACATTTTACCCAGTATTTCTAAGTGATTATAGTAAAAGAATTTTCAGGTTGTCTGAGTCCACCATATTGCTAGCAGTTGATAAGTAGATTGTTTGTATTCTTTGCTGTTTGTTAATAATCTTTAGGCTTCATATTTTTTCCCAGACAATGACCAAATGTTCATAATATGCCATGTGCTTGAGTTATGCAACATAAATCATTTCCTGGGTCTCAATTTTTAAACCTTAGTAGGACCTACTTCTAAATTTCTGTATCTTTTTTACATAGATGGGATCATATATGTATTTTTTGAGGTGGGGTCTGGCTATGTTGCCCAGGCTGGCCTTGAACTCCTGGACTCAAGCAATCCTCCTGCCTTAGCCTCCCAAGTAGCTGGGATTACAGGCACGTGCCACCACACCTGGCCTATACTTTGTTGTTGTTGTTGTTGTTGTCATTTTTAAACAAGGGCATATTATTTTCCTTTTTCCCTTTCCTCCCCCAATATCAGCATGACCCTCATCCCCTTCTCCCTCACTGAGGGAAGCCATTTTAACCTGCTATATGGCCTTCCAAGTTTTTTTTTTTTTTTTTTTGAGACAGAGTCTTGCTCTGTCGCCCAGGTTGGAGTGCAATGGCTTGATCTCAGCTCACTGCAACCTCTGCCTCCCGGGGTCAAGCAATTCTCCTGCCTCAGCCTCCCAAGTAGCTGCGATTACAGGCGCCTACCACCACCTCTAGCTAATTTTTGCACTTTTAGTAGAGATGGGGTTTTGCCATGTTGGCCAGGCTGGTCTTCAACTCCTGACCTCAGGTAATCCACCTGCCTTGGCCTCTCACGGCCTCCTTACAGGCATGAGCCACTGCGCCTAGCCAGCTTTCCATATTTTTATCTGTCTGCATATAAATCTATAGAGACTCACATATATCCTCATATGTACATGTATTTACACCCCCAGGAATACATAATCAGGGTGGTTTTATTGTTGTATGCTGTATGAAAATGGGATTATATATATATAATATATATATTATAATATATTTTATATATATATATATATATATTTTTTTTTTGAGATGGAGTCTCACTCTGTTGCCCAGGCTGGAGTGCAGTGGCGCCATCTCGGCTCACTGCAAGTGCCACCTCCCAGGTTCACGCCATTCTCCTGCCTCAGCCTCCCCAGTAGCTGGGACTACAGGCGCCCACCACCACACCCGGCTAATTTTTTGTATTTTTTTTAGTAGAGACGGGGTTTCACCGTGTTAGCCAGGATGGTCTTGATCTCCTGACCTCGTGATCTGCCCGCCTTGGCCTCCCACAGTGATGGGATTACAGGTGTGAGCCACCGCGCCCGGCCAAAAATGGGATTATATTATACATGATTTTCCACATCCTGTTTTTCTTAACCAACAATCAATACCTAGTTGAAATCCCTGCAAGTTATTACAATTTTAAGTCTGGTGTTTCTCAATACACAAATCATGAATGTACTGCTTGATGAGTTTCCACAGTGAATACACCCACGTAACCAGCACCCAGATCAAGACATAAAATATTACCAGTGCCCGAGAACTGCTACCTCTCCCAACGTGCCTCCTCCCCTTGACCTCCCACCTCCCCAAGGGTATCCATCCTCCTGACTTGTAACAGCATCGATTTCTTTAGTCTGTTTTGTGCCTTACATAAAAGAAACGTTCAGTACATACTTTTTTGCATATTATATTCTTGACATTTATAATGTTGTTGCATGTAGTTGTGGCTTGTTCGTTCTGGTTGTGGTATACTATCCCATTGTGTGACTATACCAGAATTTATCGATCTATTCTCCTTCTAATAGGCATTGGGGTTATTATGGCCAGTGCTGCCATGAACGTTTTTGTTCATTAATTGATTCTTTTTAATGGCTGTATAATATTCCTTGCTATGGAGGACCACCCTTTATTCAGCGATCCTACTTTTATTAGGTGTTTACTTTGTTTCCTGTTCTTGACCACTAAAGCAAAGCTGCAATAAATATTGTATATATGTCCCTATGTAGAGATACTGATCTATCTCTACTAATGGAACAATGTATTAGTCCATTTTCATGCTGCTGATAAAGACATACCCGAGACTGGGTAATTTATAAGGAAAAAGAGGTTTAATGGACTCGCAGGTGGCTGGGGAGGCCTCACAATCATGGCAGAAGGCAAAAGGCACATCTCATATGGCGGCAGAAAAGAGAACTTGTGCAGGGAGACTCCCCTTTATCAAACCATCAGATCTCGTGAGACTTGTTCACTTCCACAAGAACAGCATGGAAAGACCCGCCCCCATGATTCAATTCCTCCCACTAGGTCCCTCCCACAACATGTGGGAATTGTGGGAGCTACAATTCAAGATGAGATTTGGGTGGGGACATAGCCAAACCATATCAGACAGATTGCAGGAAGTCAAATTGCTGGTTAGTATAGTAATTGCCTTTTAAAAGTAAATGCTGTTGCTTGTTTTTAAAACAAAACAAAACAAAACCCTGTGACAATGCCATTACTGTCAGCAATGCCTGAAAATTCCCCTTTCCCTCATCTCTGTCAGCATTGGATGTTAGAGTTCTTTCTGTGTTTTGTGAATCTCATGAGTATAAAATGATATTAGCATGATATATTCCCTGACCACTAGACAATTTAAGCACCTTTTCATGTGTTGGGACTTGTTCTTCATATTTTTTGCTCATTTTTTTTTTTTTGGGTCTATACATCTTTTTCTCATCAATTTGCAAGATATTTTTGTATACTGTAGAAATTAACCCTTTAGGCCAGGCACAGAGGCTCATACCTGTAATCTCAGCACTTCGGGAGGCTGAGGTGGGGGGTCACGAGGTCAGGAGATCGAGACCATTCTGGCCAACATGGTGAAACCCCTTCTCTACTAAAAATACAAAAATTAGCTGGGCGTGGTGGTGTGCGCTTGTAATCCCAGCTACTCAGGAGGCTGAGGCAGGAGAATCGCTTGAACCCGGGAGGTGGAGATTGCAGTGAGCCAAGATTGTGCCACTGCAGTCCAGCCTGGGTGACAGAATGAGACTCTATCTCAAAAAAAAAAAAAAAAAAAGAAATTAACCCTTTATTATACATTTTTGTCCACATCTATTGTTTGTCTATTGACTTTGTTCATGTTACCTTTTGCCACTGAGAACTCAAAATAAAATCCACACCCCCACTAACCAGCTGAGTGGAACCCCTCTTGGCCAAGGGCACCCCAGAAAGACCTTAAAAACTGTGTTCCCTGCCATGAGAGCTGGGAGGTTGGAAACATCTCGTTATACCATCTCCCTCTGCAGTTTAGACAGAACAACTAACCAGAATTAATGCTGAAATAGAGATCATAAGACTGATGGAAGGGACCCTCTGTGGCAATAAGATACCAAATTATAAACAAGACCTAAAGCCACGCCAGGCAAGGGTTAAGTTACACGCTCCTACACTTAAAGAATCAACTATGGGCCGGGCGTGGTGGCTCACACCTGTAATCCCAGCACTTTGGAAGGCCGAGGCAGGTGGATCACCTGAGGTTGGAGTTTGGTTTTTTTTGTGTTTTTTTTTTTTGAGACGGAGTCTCGCTGTCCCCCAGGCCGGAGTGCAGTGGCGCGATCTCGGCTCACTGCAAGCTCCGCCTCCCGGGTTCACGCCATTCTCCTGCCTCGGCCTCCTGAGTAGCTGGGACTACAGGCACATGCCGCCACGCCCGGCTAATTTTTTGTATTTTTAATAGAGACGGGGTTTCACCGTGTTAGCCAGGATGGTCTCGATCTCCTGACCTCGTGATCCACCCACCTCGGCCTCCCAAAGTGCTGGAATTACAGGCGTCAGCCACTGCGCCCGGCCGAGGTTGGGAGTTTGAGACCAGCCTGACCAACATGGAGAAACCCCATCTCTACTAAAAATACAAAAAAGTTAGCTGGGCGTGGTGGCGGGTGCCTGTAATCCCAGCTACCAGGAGGCTGAGGCAGGAGAATCTCTTGAACCCGGGAGGTGGAGGTTGCAGTGAGCTGATATCGAGCCATTGCACTCCAGCCTGGGCAACAAGAGTGAAACTCAGTCTCAAAAAAAAAAAGGAATCAACTGTGTTCTAATTGCCACAAGGATTTTTCTTTTCCCTTTTATTCTAGCAACTAAACAAGCACTGGTTTTGAAATAAGCAATGTTGATGCAATTGCAGCTCACCCACCACCAAACACTAAGTGACCCCCCAACCCTCTGTTCTACCAGCCATCACTACAGCTTTGATAGGGACTAATTGTTATCCATTTAAATGTTAAGTCTCCCCGCCAAAGTGAACATGGGATGTAACCCGTTCAGCATAAATCTTTGTTCCCCACTCCCTCGAAGTGTCTGCTGGAGGCTACACTTCGCAGCCTGTGGGATAGCCAGCCTGCAGGCTATATAACCCTTTATAAGAAATAAAGGCTCCTTTCCTGTCTGGGCATGGAGGCTCATGCCTGTAATCCCAGCACTTTGGTAGGCCAAGGCGGGCAGATCACGTGAGGTCAGGAGTTCGAGACCAGTCTGGCCAACATGGTGAAACTCCGTCTCTACTAAAAATACAAAAAATTAGCTGGGCATGGTAGCACATGCCTATAATCCCAGCTACCCGGGAGGCTGAGACAGAAGAATCATTTGAACCCGGGAGGTGGAGGTTGCAGTGAGCCGAGATCACACCACTGCACTCCTGCCTGGGCGACTGTGCGAGACTCTGTCTTGAGGAAAGAGAAGAGAGAGAGAAAGAAAGAAAAAGAAAAGAAAAGAAAAGAAGAAAAAAAAGAGAAAGAAAAGACATGAGGCCAGGCAAGCCTTTTCCAGATAAGGTTGATTAAGACATGCCCAGAAATGTTGGGCATAAGGGAGACAGTGCAGGAGAAAAAAATTCTCCAGCTGCCTCTGAGGGGAGTGCACTGCGGTGTCTTAATGAGGGTGACATACCTAATTCATGAGGTTAGGAGAGTGTCCACATGTGCAGGGTGGAATTCAAGAAGCACAGGCGTAGTAAGGGGTTATGCTAACACATACATCACATGAGCGGAAAATGGCAGATAAGCCCCTCCTTGGGCGGTCTGGTCTTGTGCACATGTGGGTGATAGGGTTAACTCCTTTGAGTAAGATTTATGTTGGGATATTGCTTATTTTAGTTTTTCAAGGTCCTGCGATCAGCCAGTATGGTGCCTTGAGTAAGATTTATTGGGGGTTGCTGTTTATCTTAGTTTCTTCAAACAGCTTGCAAGGTCTGGTCAGTATGTATGGAAAAATACATTAGTGGGCATGGGCCAAGTCCTGTCCCTATGGCCTCATAGGTACTTATTCAAAAAAGCCTATTTACTGTTGTAATGTATCTGGTATCCAGTCTCCTTACCAAATATCGTTACTCTAAAAGTTTTTTAATAGAATTGTTACAGTAGGTAGCTAGTCAGACATTAAACAGGACAGGAGAGCACCCCTCCCCTTCCCTGCCAACCACCACCAGGAATGTCAGATGTCAGGTGACCATCAGGTCATGGTCAGTCGGTTAACTGTCTCTCTAAAATAATAATTGGTCACAGCCAGCACCAGGGAAAAGCAGTTTCCCAATAGATAAAAACACCTGAAACTGATGATCAGCGGTTTCCCAGTAAGAGCTCAGGAATTGGGCGAATGCGCTGGAGCATGTGCATTAAGGGGCAAAATGGAGGAGTTTAAGTGGTATATGACCTTCTGG
Source organism: Homo sapiens (assembly GCF_000001405.40). Lineage (NCBI taxonomy): Eukaryota > Metazoa > Chordata > Mammalia > Primates > Hominidae > Homo > Homo sapiens. The sequence continues at coordinate 18,862,431 of NC_000023.11, forward strand.
GGACATTCTATTGGTAAAGGGAAGAACGCCTCAGGTGAGCATGCGTACACCTCCAGTAAACACACTGCGCATGCTCACCTCCCAATTGCTGGCAGGCCACCGCGCATGTGGGCAGCCCCCATAAGGGAAGAATCAAGGGAAAAAGGATGCAAGATGCGGGAAGTAGGCCAGCATATACAACCCCAAGTCCAAGGTGAAATGAGGCACTTGACCTCCAAGATGCCCCCTTGGCCCTCTTCTAAGTACTTTCTTTTAATTCCTGCCCTAAAGCTTTTATTATTATTATTATTATTATTATTAAGACAGGGTCTCACTCTGTCGCCCAGGTTGGAGTGCACTGGCACAATCTCAGCTCATTGCAGTCTCTGCCCCCTGGGTTCAAGCAATTCTTGTGCCTCAACCTTCCGAGTAGCTGAGATTACGGGCACACACCACCACACCCAGCTAATTTTTGTATTTTTGTGGAGACAGGGTTTTGCCATGTTGCCCAAGCTGCTCTCAAACTCCTGGACTCAAATGATCTGCCCACCTTGGCCTCCCGAAGTGCTGGGATTACAGGCGTGAGCCACTGCGCCCAGCTGACTCTAAAGATTTTTTTGTTTTTGTTTTTGAGACGGAGTCTCGCTCTGTCGCCCAGGCTGGAGTGCAGTGGCGCGATCTCGGCTCACTGCAAGCTCCGCCTCCCGGGTTCACGCCATTCTCCTGCCTCAGCCTCCCGAGTAGCTGGGACTACAGGCGCCCGCCACCACGCCCGGCTAATTTTTTGTATTTTTAGTAGAGACGGGGTTTCACCGTGTTAGCCAGGATGGTCTCGATCTCCTGACCTCGTGATCCGCCCGTCTCGGCCTCCCAAAGTGCTGGGATTACAGGCGTGAGCCACCGTGCCCGGCCTCTAAAGCTTTTTAATAAATTTTCACTCCTGCTCTGAAACTTGCCTTGGTCCCTTTTTCTGCCTTATGCCCCTCAGTTGAGTTCTTGCTTCTGAGGAGCCAAGAATTGAGGTTGCTGCAGAACCATATGGATTCACTGCCAGTAACGGGGTCTCGGGTTTTCAAGGTAGACAATTATAGCATCAGCAAATAGAATTCATTTATATCTCTTCTTTTAGGGTTGCCAGCTTTAGCAAACAAAAATACAGAATGCCCAGCTAAATATGAATCTCAGAAAAATAAGGAATAATTTTTTAGTATAAGTAAGTCCCAAGTACTGTATGGCACATACTTATATTAAAAAGCGATTCATGATACATTTGAAATTCAAATTTACCTGGGTGTTCTGTATTTTATCTAACAACCCTCTTTCTTTCCCAGCGAGGATGCCTGCTGCTTTATTTTCTTTTTCTGTTGCATTTGCTGAAGCCTCTAAGACTGGTTCTCATTCTGGGCTACACATTAGCATCAGCCAGGAAGCTCTGAAAAACAAAACAAAACAAAACAAAAAAAACCTCCTATGGCAGGCAGGCCCTTAGGCTCAGAGATTTAATTGGTGTATATATACATATATTTAAAAGCTTCCCAGATTGATGCTAATGGGCATCTGGGGTTGAGAACCACTGCCTTAAATCCATGTTAAATAATAATGTTAGTAAGCATCAAGAATCTTGTTCTTGATTTTAATTAAATATTTCCAGTGTTTTGACATTTAAAATAACACTTGTTGTTGGTTTTTAGTAAATATCCTTCGTTTTGTTTACATAGTTTCCATCTAGCCCTGTTTAAGTTTTGATTAGGAATGGTTGCTTTTAGCACCTATTAATATGATTATGTGGTTTTGAGAAAAGAAGAATAGAACAGTCTGGGCTATGTGTGGTCTGCAGGCCCAGAAAGACACGAATATGGGACTTTCATTCCTCCCTGCTCCCCCTCTCCCCATGCCTGGGGGCAATTGTTTAAAGTCATTTTGTTCCCAACCAGCTGTCTCACCCTTTGCCTTCTTGTTCCTAGAATTTGGGTTTGTTTGTTTGTTTTTTCGAGATAGGGTCTCTCTCTTTCACCCAGGCTGGAATGCAGTGGCTTGATTTCAGCTCACTGCAGCCTCTACCGCTCAGGCTCAAGCGATCCTCCTGCCTCAGCCTCCCGAGTAGCTGGGACCACAAACGCACATGACCATGCCCAGCTAATTTTTTTATTTTTTGTAGAGACAGGGGTCTCCCTATGTTGCCCAGGCTGATCTTGAACTCCTGGGCTCAAGTGATTCACCTGCCTTGGCTTCCCAAAGTGTTGGGATTACAGGGAAGAGCCACCGCCTGGCCTGGAATTTGTAATACAAAGAACCCTGTATGTAGCCTGTCAGTAGTTTGTTATTTTAATGTAAATTCTTGGTAAACAACTGAGGAACTTCCTCTTCCTTTCCTTTAAAAATCCACTTGTAGGCCGGGGCGGTGGCTCACGCCTGTAATCCCAGCACATTGGGAGGCCGAGGTGGTCGGATCACGAGGTCAGGAGATCGAAACCATCCATCCTGGCTAACACGGTGAAACCCCGTCTCTACTAAAAATACAAAAAAATTAGCCGGGTGTGGTGGTGGGCTCCTATAGTCCCAGCTACTGGGGAGGCTGAGGCAGGAGAATGGCGTGAACCCGGGAGGCGGAGCTTGCAGTGAGTGGAGATCGTGCCACTGCACTCCAGCCTGGGCGACGACCGAGACGCCGTCTCAAAAAAAAAAAAAAAAAAAAAAAATCCACTTGTAACTGCCACTAATCCAGAGTGTATATTCAGGGCAACTTGAATCTGTTCTCTTGAGGACTAATCTCTGACCTTTTTTCCCTCTTGCCCAAATTCCTATCTAAGGGACCTGGGAAGTTACGCCATAACATCACAAACCATATAACATCACGAACCATAACATCTCATCAGGTGAATTTTATTTAACTCTATATAATGTGTTACTTTCCAACCTGACTGGCATAACACCACTGGACAGAGAAGAAAATCAAAATATTGCTAGTGAAGTGGCGGAAGTGGCAGCTATGGAGCTGCTGGAGGAGAGAGAAACATTGCTGTGTGGTTAGAAAAAATATTTGGGCCGGGCTCGGTGGCTCACGCCTGTAATCCCAGCACTTTGGGAGGCTGAGGCGGGCAGATCACAAGGTCAGGAGATTGAGACCATTCTGGCTAACACAGTGAAACCCTGTCTCTACTAAAAATACAAAAATTAGCCAGGCATGGTGGGGGGCACCTGTAGTCCCAGCTACTCGGGAGGCCGAGGCAGGAGAATGGCTTGAACCCGGGAGATGGAGGTTGCAGTGAGCCGAGATGGCGCCACTGCACTCCAGCCTGGGCAACAGAGTGAGACTCTGTCTCAAAAATAAATAAATAAATAAATAATAAAAAAAGATATTATATATGGAGATCATCCCATTCCACAGTATGAGGTGAACCCACGGACCACAGAGATTTTACATCACCTTTCAGAACGCAACAGGGTCCAGAACAGGGATGTCTACCTGGTAATAGAGGACTTGAAGCAGAAAGCAAGTGAATACCAGTCAGAAGCCAAGTATCTCCAAGACCTTCTCATGGAGAGTGTGAATTTTTTCCCCTGCCAATCTCTCTAGCACTGGTTCCAGGTATCTGAATGCTTTGGTTGGCAGTGCGGTGGCCCTTGAAACGAAGGATGCCTCACTAACTAGTTTTATCCCTGTAGTGAATGATTTGACCTCTTACCTCTTTCGTACCAAATCCAAAAGTGAAGAAATCAAGATTGAACTGGAAAATTTTGAAAAAAAATCTAACTGCAACTTTAGTATTAGAAAAATGTCTACAAGAGGATCTCAAGAAAGCAGAGTTGCATCTGTCTACAGAAAGGGCCAAAGTTGATAATCGTCATCAGAACATGGACTTTCTAAAACCAAAGTCAGTGGAATTCAGATTTGGAATCAAGGCTGCAGAGGGAGCAACTTTCAGCCAGAGGCATGGATGCTTCTCTGTCTCATCAGTCCCTAGTAGCACTGTCAGAGAAACTGGCAAAATTAAAACAACAGACTATACCTTTGAAGAAAAAATTGGAGTCCTAGTTAGATTTAATGCCGAATCCATCCTTGCTCAAGTGAAAATTGAAGAAGCAGAGTGAGAATTAGATAGCATTGAAGCTGAACTTACAAGAAGAGTAGACATGATGGAACTGTGACAAGAGCCAAATAAACAGCCTTTTCCCTAACAAAGTAAATTGAATAGGACTTCACAGAGTTCTTTTTCCTCTTGGCATTTCTTAATAACAAAATTTTCTGTGTTCTTAGATTACAGAATATCATAATTGATAGAATATGGTTTCTAACTGTATTTCATTTTTGTGCCCAAATACATCGTTTTCATAAAAAAAAATCAAAATATCTTACCCCAAAATATGTGTTTTTTTGCCATATTTTGAAATGGCCCTGCAAAGCCATCTTTGGTGGGGGAAAGTTTGCATCTGTAAAGAATCTCCATTAACATAACTAGATCCTCCCCTTCCAGACCCTCCCAATCCTGAAGAGATAAACTGAGAGTCTGGCACCTTTTAAAGGTCTGAATAGGAAACATTTGCCATCTATTGTCTCTAAGGGCATTCATCTGTGACACTTCCTAGCAACCTTGGTCTCCACAACCCCTTATCTTAACCCAGACACTCCTTTCTGTTGATGCCAGGTCTTTAGATAATAATTTAACTCTTTCAACCAATTGCCAATCAGAAAATCTTTGAATCCACCTGTGACTTGAAAGCCCCCCCACTTCGAGTTGTCCCACCCTTCCAGATCCAACCAATGTATATCTCACATGTATTGGTTCATGTCTTATGTCTCCCTAAAACGTATAAAACTAAGCTGTAACCCAACCACCTTGGGCACATGTTCTCAGGACTTCTTGAGACTGTGCCTCAGGCCATGGCCACTCATATTTGGCTCAGAACAAACCTCTTTAAATATTTTATAGCGTTTCACTCTTTTTGTCTACACTCCTGGGTTGCAGTTCTTATACTTGGCCCAAATAAACTCTACTCAGATGAATTTTGCCTCAGATGCTGGGCGCATTGGCTCACGCCTGTAATCCCAACACTTTGGGAGGCTGAGGCGGGAGGATCACTTGAGCCCAGGAGTTTGAGACCAACCTGGGCAATATAGTGAAGACCTCATTTCCAAAACAAATAAAAGAAGTATTAAAAAATGTGCCTCAGCTTCTTCCTTTTAGGTTGGCAGTTTTCTCCTTTAGTTCATTGATGCAAAGAGTCATATTGCTGGGTTTCTTTGTATTGAAGAACTTTCTAATTCTGTTGTTCAATGCCAAAGTCTGTTTGCTAATATTTTATTTAGACTTTGCCTCTATATTTATACATTTAGTTGAAGCTGAGGATCTGTTATTGTTGGAATTACCATTGTCTGATTTTGGTATTTAAGTAACGTTGGCTTTGTAAAATAAACTGGTGAACTTTGTATCTTTTTTTCCTACTTTCTGAAATAGTTTAAATTGTTGCTACTCAAAGTGTGGGCCAAGAACCAACAATATCTGCCTCACCTGGAGCTTGCTAGAAATGCAGAGTTTAGGGCCCCGCCCCAGGTCTATTGCATCCGAATCTGCATTTTATCAAGAGTCACAGGTTATCAGTGTACACATTCATTTTGAGAGAAGTGGGTACAAATACCATTAGTCTCCTTTGTCCACTAAAGGTTAGATAAAACTCAGCCATGGGTGATGCAGTCCTGGTGCCTGTTTCACAGTGGATTGCTACTCCCCTTCCCAATCTCTTCTGTGATCATTGCTCTATTTCAGTAATTGGTCTATTTTGGTAACTTCAATTTTGCAAAGAAATCATCAATTTCCTCTAAATTTTTCAAATTTACTTGTTACTGCTTCTTAAGATTTTTTTAAATTTGTAGTTATGTCACCTTTCTGACTCCTCCTCTTGTGAACTTCTGCCTTCTTTCTCTTTTTCTTGATCTGGCTTGTAAGAGATTTGTCTCTATCGTTAGTCTTTTCTTTTTCTTTCTTTCTTTTTTTTTTTGAGACAGAGTTTTGCTCTTGTTGCCCAGGCTGGAGTGCAATGGTGTGATCTGGGCTCACTGCAACCTCCGCCTCCCAGGTTCAAGCAATTCTCCTGCCTCAGCCTGGCTTAGCCTCCCGAGTAGCTGGGATTACAGGCATGCACCACCATGCCCAGCTACTTTTTTTGTATTTTTAGTACAGAAGGGGTTTCTCCATGTTGGTCAGGCCTCAGGTCAGGCCTCGAACTCCCGACCTCAGGTGATCGCCCACCTCGGCCTCTCAAAATGCTGGGATTACAAGCATGAGCCATGGCGCCCAGCCTCATTAGTGTTTTCTAAGTACCAGTTTTACATTTATTTATCCTTTGAGATATTTGGGGGGAGGGTATTTGTTTTCTATTTCACTTGTTTCAGCTTTTATCTGTACACATCTCGGCTCACTGCAAGCTCCGCCTCCCGGGTTCACGCCATTCTCCTGCCTCAGTCTGCCCAGTAGCTGGGACTATAGGCGCCCACCACCATGCCTGGCTAATTTTTTTGTATTTTTAGTAGAGATGGGGTTTCACCATGTTAGCCAGGATGGTCTCGATCTCCTGACCTCGTGATCCGCCCGCCTCTGCCTCCCAAAGTGCTGGGATTAAAGGCGTGAGCCACCACGCCCGGCCTTTTTCCCTAATTTCTTATGATTGGTATAGGTTATTAATTTTTAGAAATTTTTAAAAATAATGAAGGCATTTAAAGCTGTAAATTTTCCTTTAAGCCTTGCTTTCACTGTGTGGTCAGTTTTAGTGTGAAGTGTTCTTTTCATTAGTTTCTAGACAGTAATTTCCCTTTTAATTTCCTCTTTATTCTTTTTTTTTTTTCTTTTTTGAGATGGAGTCTCGCACTCTGGCCCAGGCTGGAGTGCAGTGGCGCCATCTCGGCTCACTGCAAGCTCCGCCTCCCGGGTTCATGCCATTCTCCTGCCTCAGCCTCCCAAGTAGCTGGGACTACAGGCGCCTGCCACCAGGCCTGGCTAATTTTTTGTATTTTTAGTAGAGATGGGGTTTCACCATGTTAGCCAGGATGGTCCTGATCTCCCCATCTTGTGATCCGACCGCCTCAGCCTCCAAAGTGCTGGGATTACAAGCATGAGCCACCACACCCGGCCTAATTTCCTCTTTATTCTAAGGAGTTTCCAGGAGTGTTTCGTATTTTCCACATTTAAAATATTTCAAACTTCAAATTTTCACTCTTTTATTATTCCTTAAAATTTTAATAAGATTTTCCCTGTGGCCATGTACCTAATCTATTTCTGTAAATGTTTCATGGACATATAAACAAAATGTATGTTTTCCATTTGAAGAATGTAAGGCTCTCTATGTACTTGTTACACTAAATTGTTGGTTGTATCAGTCACTTTGTCTTTGCCCTTACTGACTTTTTTGCTTATTAGGTATATTCAGTTCTGAAAGAAGTGAACTGAAACACCCTACTAAAACTGTATTTTGGCCAGGCGCGATGGCTCATGCTTGTAATCCCAGCACTTTGGGAGGCCAAGGCAGGCAGATCACTTGAGGTCAGGAGTTCGAGACCAGCCTGGCTAACACGGCGAAACCCCATCTCTACTAAAAATACAATAATTAGCTGGGCATGGTGGCGGGCGCCGGTAGTCCCAGCTACTGGGGAGGCTGAGGCAAGAGAATTGCTTGAACTTGGGAGGCAGAGGTTGCAGTGAGCCGAGATTGCACCACTGCACTCCAGCCTGGGCGACAGATGGAGACTCCATCTCGGAAAAAAACCAAAACTATATTTTTATTCTGTTTGTATTTCTATATTTTTTCATTTTATGATTTTAGTGTCTATGTTATTTAGTGCACATAAGTTATGAATGTTATATATTCTTAATTGTACATTCTTATTATACACAAGTTCTTCTTCATCCTGTTTAGGGTTTTGAACTTCAACTTTCTCCATACCTCTGCTCTTCCTGCTTTCTTCTTATTGGCATTTTTCTGATATCTTTTTGGCATATTGTTTTCAATTTTTCTCTCTCATTTTATTTTTGCATTTTTCCCTGTGAGCAGCATATACCTGGATTTTTACTTTTAACTCTATCTGATAATCTCTGTCTTTTCTTGAGTGAATTCAGTTTAATCACCTCTGGTAAGTTGACTGATATACTTGATTTCATTTTATTCATCTTACTCTATTAAATTGTTGGTTTTTTTTCCTCTAATTTTTCTAGTTAAATTGCCGCTCATTCCATTTTCCCCTTTGTGAATACCTACTGTTGTTAGACTTTTAATGTGACTTATAGGTATATGGGCTTTTAAAAAAAGACTTTATGTGAGATTTTAAGTGATAAAGTAACAGATACATTCATGGAGTTGAAAGACAAGTTGGTGTCCTTTTGACTGTAACTCAAGTGATCTTTCCACAATACCAGGGCTTTGGAGCAAAACCAAAAATTTCCTTTTTTTCTTTCTTTTTTTGAGACGAAGTCTTGCTCTATTGCCTAGGCTGGAGTGCAGTAGTGCAATCTCGGCTCACTGCAACCTCCACTTCCCGGGTTCAAGTGATTCTCCTGTGTCAGCCTCCTGAGTAGCTGAGATTACAGATGTGCACCACTACACCTGGCTAATTTTTGTATTTTTAGTAGAGACAGGGTTTTGCCTTGTTGGCCAGGCTGGTCTTGAACTCCTGACCTCAGGTGATCTGCCTGCCTCTGCCTCCCAAAGTGCTGGGATTACAGGCATGAGCCACCACACCCAGCCCCAAACCAAGCATTTCTAACTGAAAAACATGGCTCATGCTCAGCCCAGCTTAGGGTCAGGGTTATCACTCTATCTGGGCACAAATCTCATCTTGAATTGCAGCTCCCACAATTCCCATGTGTTGTGGGAGGGACCCAGGGGGAGGTAATTGAATCATGGGGGCTAGTCTTTCCTGTGCTGTTCTCGTGATAGTGAATAAGTCTCACGAGATCTGGTGGTTTGATAAAGGGGGCGTTCTCCTGCACACGCACTCTTGCCTGCCACCGTGTAATATGCCTCTGCTCTTCCTTCATCTTCTGCCATGATTGTGAGGCCTCCCCAGCCACGTGGAACTGTGAGTCCATTAAACCTCTTTCCTTTATAAATTACCCAGTCTTAGCTAGTTCTTTATTAGCAGTGTGAGAACAGACTAATACAGGCCCTTACCCAGTCATTGACCTAGAGGGGCTGGACTGCCATAGCGGGATCGCAGCCCCTGATGACTCCCTTCCTGGGGTCCCTGGGCCTGTGGGGAGGACAGCCATCCTAACAGGAGCCTATCTGGTGTTGTCATTTTAGAAAGCCTTCCGGAGAATGTACTTGGAGCTCCTAATAAGATATCTCGGGCCAAGGAAAATGTCACATTTCTTTGCTCTTGGCAGGAATCCCAGCTCCTTGGCTTGGGAGCACCCTTTCTCCCATGCTGAACAGAAACTTCATTTGGCCATTATGTTCATTGCCAATTAATAAATTATAGGAGAACAAATTAATTTACTTATCACTTGCAGCTTTGGAGAAAAACTCGTTCAAAGCAGGGAAAGTGGGGTGATAAAAAGATCCCTGCAGGAAAAACGTTGGGGATCCCCGGGGCCACTTACATGTTGGGTCTGAGTGGGTGAAATCACTCTTCATTACAAAGCTCTCAGAGGATCCGCAGCAGGGGCACCTCGTCCACAACCCCCGCCCCCCTGCCCCCAGCTGGCCTCCAAAGATTGTGGTGAGGTTCCAAATGAGGTGACAACATTGGAACTTGCTGCATCCTGAACGTGTGCACTGAGTGATGAGGGTGCTGGCGCTCTGGTTGTGGGGACCCTGACTACACAGCCCCGGGTGTGGCTCAAAGTGTCAGTCTCCCACTGCCTACCAGTGCTACAGACCCCACCCTGCAAATCTCCTAAAGGGAGAAACCTGCTCCCGGCTCCAAGCACGTGGTTGCAGTAGGAACACCTGGGAACACACGAAAGCGTGCTGGGTGGGGTCAGGAGGCTCAGCTCTGTCTGCTTGGGCTCACCGCTAATGTGTGTGAGCTGGGGCTTGCATTTCCTCGCCTACAACAAAAGTGACGGACAGAATGCAGGGAAGGCCCAGGTAGCACCCCTATCCTGTGAGTTCTGCCTCCACCTGCACTGCTGCCTGTGGGTTGTGTGTGAAGCACGTGAGGCCCTGTCCCTCAGTGCTCAGCGATGCCGCGGGTGGTCTGAGATGATGTTGGTGGTGATGGTGATGAAAACTCACACACTAGCACTTCTACCAAGCCCATTGGTATTCTAAGGGTTTCACCCATATTAACTCATTAATCTTCACAACCAGCCTATGAGGTTACTGTTATTATCACTCCTATTTTACACAGGAAGAGACAGACACAGGTGAAGCCACTTGTCAACATTGTGCAGCTGGTACGCGGTGGGGCAGAGCCCAGTCAGGCTCCGGGGCCTGTGTGTGGGCACTACTGTGCGCTGTCTGCTGTGTCCCGGTAGCCGAGTTAACCAAAAGCAGCACAGAGATCATGAAACTTCATTCTAACCTGAGCTTTCAACCTCCTCCCTCTCATCAAATTTTACTTAAAATTTCAGAAACTAGCAAGAGTCGAAATGGCCCGATGTCCCCTCCTTCTGTTTCCCCTGCCGCTTGTCCCCATGGCCCTGGGGGCATCCGCAGGAGGGAGGTGCCCCTGGGGCTGGGGAGAGGATTCTCCTGGCGTTTGCTCTTTTTCCTGGCTGCCCAGGTACACTCTTAGCCATGTCCAGTCCTCAGGCTTTCCCCAAAAGGGAGAATAACGGGAGCATGGGCCAAAATCCTGAGTGAAATATAAAGGCCCCAGATAAAGCAATTATAAATGGAAACTCTGAGGCTGTGATTCACTCAAGCAACATGACTCATGTTCTGCTGAGGTTTCCGTGAACAATATGTTCACAGTCTGATTTAATTATAGCCTAGATTTACTGCTGCCTCGGGGAGCCTCCGAAGCTCACCCCATCCCTCACTACCCCCAGCGCGGCGCCTGGTGAAACGCCTCCCAGTGCGAGAGTGGGAGCAGGCACTGGAAATGGTTTTCTGCAGGTGCTATGTGTCACATCGTGCACAGTGGACAGCTCTTGGGACCTCAGCTGGGCGGGGAGGCAGAGTCGTCAAATAAGTTAGAGCTCTGGGGTACAGCTCAAGCCCCCGGGGATGGGGGGGATTGTGCTTCCTGGGCTTCCCCTCCGTGCAGGGGCTCCTGCAGAGTTGAGGTTTGTCAGCGCCGAGTGTGGGCGCCTAGAGTGATCGATTGAGAGAGAGAATCCAGTCACAGCTCCCTCACGCGAGGGTGGAGGGAAACCCGGGGCTGCCTGCCGAACTCGGGGGCGTTCTCGCGGGGACCCGATAACACCGGACAGAAAATGTCCCACTTCTCATCGCTTTGTGCTTTCAGTGAGAACCCCCCCGGAGGTACAGCATTTAAAGGGGATAATTTCAAACGTGGTGATGTGGCCACAATTATATCCTCGTTATCAGACAAAAACTGTAGGTCCCCTCCCTCTGCAAAGCACGAAAGCATTTGTGTGTATTTCAGTGTAACAGAATGCTGTCCCCCAGTATCTGGTGCCATGTGCTCTTTCCACGCCCCCCGCACCCCGGCCCTGTTTGCTTGAGTAACCAGAGTGGAAGAGGGCAGCCCACTACTGTGGGCTTTAGTGTTGTCAGCTAAAATACAGGCCGCCCCGTTAATTTGCATGTCACATAAGCGATGCATAATAGTTTCATTTGCGCATGTCCCAAATATTGTCCGGGACATGCTTGTGCTAAAACCAGATTCCTTGTTGACCTGAAATCCAAATTTATTTTTTGAGACGGATTCTCACCCTGTCACCCAGGCTGGAGTACAATGGCACCATCTCAGCTCACTGCAACCTCTGCCTCCCAGGTTCAAGCGATTTTTCTGCCTCAGCCTCCAAGTAGCTGGGACTACAGGCGTGCGTCACCATGCCTGCCTAATTTTTGTATTTTTAGGTAGAGATGGGGTTTCGCCATGTTAGATCTCCCAAAGTGCTGGGATTACAGGTGTGAGCCAGTGCACTGGGCCTTAAATCCAAATATAACTGGGTATTTTTTTGTTTTTTTTTTTTTTTTTGAGGCAGAGTCTCACTTTGTTGCCCAGACTGTAGTGCAGTGGCGTGATCTTGGCTCACTGCAACCTTCGCCTCCCAGGTTCAAGTGATTCTCCTGCCTCAGCCTCCTGAGTAGCGGGGATTACAGGCGTGTGCCACCATGCCCGGCTAATTTTTGTATTTTTAGTAGAGACGAAGTTTCACCATGTTGGCCAGGCTGCTCTCGAACCCCTAACCTTAAGTGATCCACCCCCACCTCGGCCTCCCAAAGTGCTGGGATTACAGGCCTGAGCCACCGTGCCCGGCCGGCGTTTTGTATTTTTAGTTGTCAACTCTGGCAACCCTACATGGACTTTGAAGTCATACAACCTGATTTCAGATGCCCCTCTGCCATCAAGGGTATGGGAAACTCTGGACAAATGACATGGGCATTCGGAGCCTCCATTTATCGTAACCACAACCACATCCCGGGACCATAGCAAAGATGAGAGCGAATGTACGTGAAGCACGTAGCACAGGAAGCGGTATCTCGTTGTAGTGGAAGCTGTTGGCCCCGCTGCATCCCCTTTATTGGCCGGTGCACTCATCCTCCAGCTTCTAGGAATGTTGGGTGCCAGCAACGCACAGCGACCCCCTTTCCTGGTGCATTGCCCTGGACTGATGGGAGGTGCTTGCCTAAGAGCTTGTGTCCCATCCGCGTCCCCCCCAACTGCCCCCATTGCCACCCGCGGGCAGCCAGCAGTCACTGGCTAACTGATGGCAGAGGCTGCTTTTATCTTGCAGTGCTCACTCCAGAGCCCCCTGTGGCGTCGGGCTGGCTGGGTTCCACCTGATGCCACACCCTGCTCAGCTCCTTCCCCTGTCACTCTTGCTTCCTTCCAGGCTGCTCCCTGGAGCACACTCTTGGCATTTCACTTGTACAACATGCCTGGCCCTGGCACGCTGCTGGTGCTGGTGTGCACACTGATCACATAAGCTTGTGAGCATTCAGCGCTGAAGGCCAAGGATGCCTTGTGCTCTGAGAATGGGATCTGCTTGGGGGCAGGAGAGACTTGGGGTCGGGGTGCGTTGCTGGGGAACAGACAAGGGATCTGTCGCCTCCTGGGAAGCTGGGAAATGGTGTGGGGTGGGGCGACTGGGAGAGGACGGCCAGGGACAGCTTCAGGCCTGGTGTCCTGCAAAACCTGACACCTAGCAGATGGGAAGATGCGGCTCAGCTACCTCCTCCCGGAGCCAGGCTGAGGAGGTCACGTGGGCCCAGGAGGTTCAGCCTCAGTTGGGCTGTGCTTGGGGAAATAAATCATCAGGACTCAATGCAGAAAAATGACATGAATTAGGGGGCTCGTCTGGGTGCCACGCGAACCTCTCCCTGTCTCTCCACCTTGCAGGCATGCTTTTGGGTACCGACACATGTTCCTCCAGGAGGAGTGGTGGAAAGGAGGAATCCTTTGGCCTCCAACCCTGGAAGAAGGTGTATAGTTTTAAAGGGCAAGGCTTGGCTTTGAATTGCAGCTCTGCCACTTCTTTCTCCTTCTCTCCCTTCCCTTCCCTTTTCCTTCTCTTCCCTTTTCCTTCCCTTTCCCTTTCCCGACAGTCTTCTCTGTTGGCCAGGCTGGAGTGCAGTGATGCACTCTCTGCTCATTGCAATCTCCACCTCCCCGAGTTCAAGAGATTCTCCTGCCTCAGCCTCCTGAGTAGCTGGGACTACAGGCACGTGCCATCATGCCCACTTAATTTTTGTGTTTTTAGTAGAGATGGGGTTTTACTATGTTGGCCAGGCTGGTCTCGAACTCCTGACCTCAAGTGATCTGCCTGCCTCGGCCTCCCAAAGTGCTGGGTTTACAGGTGTGAGCTACTGCACCCGGCCCCATCTCTGCCACTTCTATACAGGCGCTAGAATCCAGACCAGCTTCTGAATATCTCTAAGCCTCAGTTTCCCTGTCCACAGAAGGGGGTGATATGCCTTCTCTCAGAGAGGTGGCGTGAGGAACAAATGGCATGTGAGGGATGAGTGTGCCTAGGATATGGGGAATGGATGTTCTGCTTGTTTTCTTTGCCCTAGAAGTCACTGTATTTCAACCTGAATTTCCAAAGAACATTGTCAGACACCTAAAGAGAAGATCACTTGAAGGAAGTTGAATTTTGATATTTGAAGTTTAACTGTTTTGCCACTCACAGTACAGTTACTTTTGTTTTTTTTTTTTTTTAAAGACAGAGTCTTGCCATGTTGCCCAGACTGGTCTCAAACTCCTGGGTTCACACCATCCTCTTGCCTCAGCCTCCTGAGCAGCTGGGACTAAGGGTGCGTGCCACCACACCCAACTAATTCTTAAATTTTTGGTAGAGATGAGGTCTCACTATGTTGCTCAAGCTGGTCTCAAACTCCTGGGCTCACGTGATCTTCCTGCCTCAGCTTCCCAGATTGCTGGGATTGCAGGCATGAGCCACGGTGCCAGGTCAATTGCTTACATTTTAATGGCCAAAGGGAAGAAGTTGTTCTCTAACTTCTGAAAGTGTTCGGAAAAACTGCAGAGCTTAAATGACTGCTGAGAGATTTGGGATTCTGAACAGACACTGCGAGGAGCCAGAGTTTGGGGGTTGGTGACCTGGACACAGCTGCCGCCACTTTCTGATGGAGAGAGGGTCCTCTGAGTGGAGCTAGTGGCAGAGGTTGTAGAGCCCAGCACCACTAGGAGGGATGGGAGGTCCCTGAGGAGGGAGAACAGGCAGGGTCCCACTTGGAAGTACCGCAATGGCTGTGTCTTCCTTGGTCCTTCCAGGGCGTTGCTGCTTGTGATTCTTTGCTTTCCCAGGGTCCATGTGGGAGGAAACAGCTCACAGGTCATCAATGAGACATCGGAGAGAGCCGCTAGGTGTTGTGGCAGATGAGGCAGTGCCTCCACGTGTGCTCATGGGCACTCCCGGTCATGAAGAGTGACCCACCTTGGCAAGGCTCTGGAGCTTGGTGGCCTTTGACATCCCGACCCAGAGCCTATTCAGGATCCCAGTGTCTCCTTGGATTTGGAGACACTCATTCATTCCCAGCAATGAACACCAAGCTTTTCTCATTCCTTTGGCTTGTACAGTACAGACCCCTCAGCAACTGCGCTCCATGCACGCAGCACTGTGTGGACTTGTTCCCCTGGTAACCACCTTCTATTCCCTATTACTGTGAGCTGGACTTTAGATTCCACATAGAAGAAGGATCACGTGATATTTGTCTGTGTCTGGCTTATTTCACTTAGCATAATGCCCTCCAGGTGCATTCGTGTGGAGGCAGGACTTCCTCCTCCATTTTTTTTTTTTTTTTTAAGGCAGAGTCTCGCTCGGTCACCTAGGCTGGAGTGCAGTGGTGCAATTTTGGCTCACTACAACCTCCATCTCCGGGGTTCAAGGGCTTTTCCTGCCTCAGCTTCCCGAGTGGCTGGGATTACAGGCGTGCGCCACCACACCCAGCTAATTTTTTGTATTTTTAGTAGAGACAGGGTTTCGCCATGTTGGCCAGGCTGGTCTTGAACTCCTGACCTCAGGTGATCCGCCTGCCTCGGCCTCCCAAAGTGCTGGGATTACAGGCATGAGCCACTTTTTTAAAGAGACAGGACATCCAAGTCCGAGGAGACACTTGGATCCTGGGGAGGCTCTGGGTCAGGAAGCCAAAGGTCACCAAGGTCCAGGGCCCTGACAGGGTGGGGCACTCTTTGAGACCAGGAGTGCCCATTAGTACTCATGGAGGCACTGTCCCATCTGTCGCCCAGGCTGGAGTGCAGTGGCTTCATCCCAGCTCACTGCAGCCTCCACCTCCTGGGCTCAAGTGATCCTCCCTCCTCAGCCTCTTGAGTAGTTGGGACCACAGGCGTGTGCCACCACATCTGGGCCCACTCTGCCTCTGCTATGAGTGCTCTCCCCCAATGGCCATGCAGCCCTTTCTCTCAGCCCTTTCCAGTCTTTGCTCAGATCTTTTCTTCTTGACAAGCCTATTTAATACTGCTGCCTGACTCCCTCACTCCAATCTTTCTTTGAGGCCTGAGCCGGCCTCACTGTGGAATTGGCTGCATAACATCCCGATTTGTTAAGGTCGTTGCTTATCGTCTGTCTCTGCCTGAACTTAGGCTCTGAGATGGGAGGAATCACTGTTTTGTTCATGGATTCTCCCACGTGTCTAAATCAGTGCCTGGCATGTAGTAGGTGCTCAGTAAATACGTGTTCAATGCACTGACTGAGGAAACTGGAGCCCAGAATGATTATGTGACCTGCCCAAGGCCACCCAGCACACTGGGGAAGGAGCAGGGATGGAAGCCTAGACTCTGGTACCAGGATCAGAGCTCTTAACCACCGAATACTACTGCTCACCCAGTGACACCTGTGGCCTTTGGGTGACCTCCACCCCTCTTGTCTAGGTCTCATTAGGTTGGGCTGGCACCCTGTGTGCCCTTCAGTTTCCACCCAGGCTGGTGTCTGGGCTCTTTTGGGGGTTCCTGCTCCCACCTCTATATCCCTCCCAGGAAGTGGACTAGACTGTGTGGTCCCCACCAACTGTCCCCTCACTGCCTGTTACCCCCTCACTCTCTACCCTGTCAGAGGAGCAAGACGCAGCCAACTCCTTGTGACCTCAGCCTGGCCTAGGGGGTGGCTGGCAGCTATTAGAGTGGGCCTTGACTTTGAGAGACCCCTGAATGACATTTCACCAGCTCTCTGTGGCTGTGCCCCCAGTCCTTTGGCCTTCAGGCGAATCCTGCCACCTGTGAATTCCTCTTCTGTCAGTTTTGTCTCGGGGAGGGTCGAGGCATAATCCCAAGGTGCTGCGGGGTCCCCGTGAGAATGAAATGCTGGCCCTGGCAGCCTCTAAGCCTCATGCCCACAGCAGCAGCAGCATCCCCTCCATGTGTCTTCCCCACGCAGGAGAGGCACCAACCGCGGGGATGCCCTTGGGGGAAGCCAAGGAACAGACCTGCAGAAATAGTTCAGCAGAGGCCCCAGGACAAAGGTGTCCGCTCTGTAGTTCTTCTGGATTTGGGGGGGGAAAGTGATAATGATCACTGCAAACTCCATGCCTGTTTTTTCTTCCGGTCAACCTCTTATTTATTTATTTACTTATTTTTGAGTCAGTGCCTCACTCTGTCACCCAAGCTGGAATGCAGTGGCGCAAATCACGGCTCATTGCGGCCTCAACCTCCCAGGCTCAAGCTATCCTCCCACCTCAGAGTCTCAAGTAGCTGGCACTACAGGTGTGTACCACCACACCTGGCTAATTTTTATTTGTTAACTTTTTTGTAGAGATGGGGTCTCATTATGTTGCCCAGGCTGGTCTCAAACTCCTGAGCTCAGGCGATCCACCTGCCTCAGCCTCCCAAAGTGCTGGGATTACAGGTGTGAGCCACCTCGCCCAGCCCTGCATCTTTCTTTAAGGCTTAGTAAATAATTGAAATTTTAATACTCCAAGTGTGCGTGAAGAATCCCAATATGTATTCGCAAATTGTTGAGCAGACCTGTCCTCATGTCTGTCAGCTCAAGGTTGTTAACTGTGTCACTGAGATCTTCTATGTCCTTGATGATATTTTGGTCAGCTTGACCTACCAGTAGTAAAAAAAGATGTCTCGGAGCCTCCCACCAAGATGATGAAGTCATCTTGTCCTTGTACTTTTGTTAATGTTTCCTGCATTTATTTTGAAGTTGTTTATTGGATAAAGAAATGTTTAAAATGGAAATGTCTTCTTGGCAAATTTCATCTTTTATCATCATGTTATCCCGTTTCTCGTCCTTAATACCACTTTTGGTCCTGAAGTCTATTTTACCCAACAGTGACACAGGGGGACCAGCCCTCTTTCTGATAGCATTTGCCTGGCATGTCTTTTTTTGTCCTTTTCTTTGCAACCTTCTGTATCCATATGCCTACAAAGAGCATATATCTTTCTACATGAACCATGTAAACCCAATCTGTCAACATTTGTCATTTAACAGGGGTCTGGTCTCTTGACATTATTGTCACCATCGATCTAGGTAGCTGGTTTTGAACATGTTCATGTGTATGGTGGCTTCTCCTACCTGGTCCTTCCTGTTGCAGAGCATACGATATACACTGCTTTGCATTACAGACTTATTTTAGTTTGTCACGTTTTGTCTGGGTGACAAACAGATACACAGGCACTCCGTCCTGGCTTCAGGATGGAAATTCTGTGTTTCTATGTTTCTTGTCTTTTTTTGAGACAGAGTCTTGTTCTGTCACTCAGGTTGGAGTACAGTGGCGCAATCTCGGCTCACTGCAACCTCCTCCTCTCAGGTTCGAGTGATTCTCTTGCCTCAGCCTCCCCAGTAGCTGGGATTACAGGCGCCCTCCACTACACCCGGCTAATTTTTGTACTTTTAGTAGAGACGGGGTTTCACCATGTTAGCCAGGCTGGTCTCAAACTCCTGACCTCAGGTGATCCATCCGCCTCGGCCTCCCAAAGTGCTGGGATTACAGGCGTGAGACACCACGCCCAGCCTCTCATCTTGTTTTTGAATTGATCTCTTTCTCACCCCTTATATTCGAAAAGAACATTTGCATATTTCACATCCCAGAGTGTCTACTCCCTCACCTCAAATTCTATCATGCTGATTTTATCTAGACTTTTCATTCTGGGTAATTATTAATATATTTGCAGCCGGGGGTGGTGGCTCACGCCTGTAATTCCCAGCACTTTGGGAGGCCAAGGTGAGCGGATCAAGAGGTCAGGAGTTTGAGACAAGCCTGGCCAACATGGCGAAACCCCGTCTCTACTAAAAATACAAAAATTAGCTGGTCATGGTGGCGGGCACTTGTAATCCCAGCTACTCGGGAGGCTGAGTCAGGAGAATCGCTGGAACCCAGGAGGTGGAGGTGGCAGTGAGCCGAGATTGCGCCACTGCACTCCAGCCTGGGCGACAGAGTGAGACTCTGTCTGGAAGAAAAAAAATATATATATATATATATGATCTACAGATCATATATATATATGATCTACAGATCATATATTTGTATGATCTACAGATCATATATTTGTATGATCTATAGATCATATAGATCATATATTTGTATGATCTATAGATCATATAGATCATATATATGATATAGATCATATAGATCATATATATGATATAGATCATATAGATCATATATATGATATAGATCATATAGATCATATATATGATATAGATCATATAGATCATATATATGATATAGATCATATAGATCATATATATGATATAGATCATATAGATCATATATATGATATAGATCATATAGATGATATAGATCATATAGATCATATATATGATATATGATATATATGATATGTATATCATATAGATGATATACATGATATATGATATGATATCATATATCATATATCATATCATATATGATATATATAATAAATATTATATATAAATATGTATATTTGCTCTTTTGCTTTGGTTTTGATTACTCTTTGAAGACAATCAAAAATCTTACCAAGGGCTGGACTCAGTGGCTTAAGCCTATAATTGTAGCACTTTGGGAGGCCGAGGTGGGAGGATTGCGTGAGCCCCATCCCTCAGAGTGCAACCTCCGGCTTCTTTGTGGGGATATTTTTGTTGGACCTTAGACCTGCCCGTGCTGCCAGGTCCCCTAGCCTGCCTTCTCCCAGCCCAGGACTGATGCAAGGGGCCCTGGACAAGGCATAAGAAACTTCAGGAAGCATAGAAAGAGGCCATGACCATGACCCAGGAGGCTAAGTGCTCCTGGCAGACTCAAGGTTGCCCAGCAGCCATCTCCCTTCTTCCCCACTAACAGGACCCCGAGTTTGTTGCAGATATTTGACAAGTGAGGTCTCCAAAGGTGCCCCACCAACCTTGCAAGGCCCACGATGGTTCCAGACTTAGAAATCCATCCTGTTAATCCTTATTGCGCTTGCCAGTGATTAGTGTTAAACAGGCATATGACTCAGTCCTGGGCATTTCGAATTAAGGAAAAGTCTGCCAGAGGGCTTCTAGGAGAGACTTCCCTACCTGGAATGGGTTGATAGGGGGAGAGAGGGGTGGAGAGGGAGCGAGGGAGTGAGAAAAAGACTGGAGCAAGAGAGAGAGAAGCCAAAAGCTAAAGAAGAAAGCCCTGACTCTCCCTCCTTGGTTGGGATGTTGTCCTTTAAGGATGTGATGCTTGGAGCTGTGGCAGCCATCTTGTAACCATGAGAAAAGAAAGCGCCACTCTGAAGTTGATGGAGAAGAAAGACAGGAAGAGCATGGGTCCTTCGTGGCATTGTTGAGCCACTGAACCAACTCTGCAACCTCCCAGCTGCAGTCGTTGTCTTACATAGGGTGAGAAATGTCTTTATTGTTTGAGCCACTGACAGGCTGGGTAGCTGTGATGGACAGCTGAAAGTATCCTGAGAGATTACTGAGGAATTTGTCCTCTTGTGTGATCCTGCCTGCTATTTTAATTTAATTTTTTTGAGATGGAGTCTCGCTCTGTCGCCCAGGCTGGAGTGCAGTAGCATGATCATGGCTCACTGCAGCCTCTGCCTCTGGGCTCAAGTGATCCTCCCAGCTCAGCCTCCTGAGTAACTGGGATTGCAGGTGTCTGCCATCATGCCCAGGTGGGGTTTTTTTTTTTTTTTTTTTCATTTTTTGTAGAGATAGGGTCTCCTTATGTTGCCAAGGCTAGTCTGGAACTCCGGGGCTTAAGCGATCCTCCCACCTCATCTTGGCCTCCCAAAGTGCTGGGATTACAGTCACGAGCCACTGCACCCAGCCATTCCTGCCTTTTAGAGTCCTGGGAGGAGACAGGTTATCAGAACGCAGATCCCAGGCAGTGCGGCCTGCACATAGGCAGAGAAGATGACAGTTGGGAGTTAAGGACCCTTTCCCCATCACACTGGCCAGCTCAGGGGCTGAGAATTCCACAAGTCAGAGCTTTCACCGAAACTTGCATGTGACTTGTGAAATGCAAACATTCCAGGGAGAACTGGGAGTGACCCGCACCCTGTGGCTTCTTTCCTGGAACACTTCAGCACCTGAGTGTCTCCCAGGTAGCGGGAGGCTGGCTGTCGAGAGGACAGCATGGGAGAAAAGGGATTCGGAGGCTTTCTCAGAGGAATTCATTGAATATTTGCTCTGTTCCAGCAGCTTTATCCCCACTATCTTTTTTTTATTACACAAACATTTATTTAGCACTTACTATGTGCCAAGTAGTATCCAAGCACTTTAAAAATATGTCACACTCAATCTTGTGACAGCCATGCGAGGTACAAGTGCTCTCACTAAGCCCAAGTACAGAGGTGGTGGCCCTGGATGTGGCCCAGACAGACCAGTGCCAGCCCCAGTGCCACGCTCTGAACCACCCAGCGTGCCAGGCAGCTCTTGCAGTCTCAGGCTGCTGTGTAGCAGTGACACCTCCAGCGAAGTGGCACCACTTATTGCCAGCTCCCTGGACCCAAGCCCTCCCTGGTTGCCTGCCCTGGTGGGTCCCGAGTGGGTCAGACAAAAGGCAAGCCCTGCTCCTCAGCCTCCCCTAGGGGCATCCCCCATCCCCGGCTCTCTCCCTTCTTCTAAGGGCAGACAGGCTTCTCCCAAGTGAGGGCAGGAGGCTCCGCACCCCTTTGCAACCCCAGGCCCTTGGGCGGCAAGTGTCAAGAGGAAGAAGGAATCCAGAGATAGGTGAAGGATGAAGACAGGGCCTTTATGCTCTTCGCTTCTCTCCTCAAAGTGCCACCTCCTGCCTCTGTCTGCTCTGCTCTGTCCTTGGTCCGTATAGCAGAGCCCTGCTCGGGGCGGCGCTGATTTCAACACCCTTGACGTTGAACTGGGCTCCTCCCAGGTGTGCCAGGCTGGAGTCCTCACAGAACTCTCTCTTGCTCTGTTTAAAATGGATGTATCCCCCTAGCTTATTCTTAACAGTCCTCCAGAATCTTCCACCATGAGCATCGTCATCCCCATTTGACCAATGAGGAAATGAGGCTCAGAGAGTGACTTGCTATCCATGGCCACGCAGCTCAAATGTCACCTGTCTGATCCAATGCTTACCTTCAGACACACCCTGGGCCCTCCGGGATGATCTGGAGCCTGCAGACCTAGGCCAGCGCCACCGTGGGGTGGGGGAGTGGCAGCAGCCTCTGTCTGCTGAGACTGTGCCAGTGCCAGGGGTGTACAAACGTGATCATGACCTCATTACATACACGGTATTGTTACTGTTATGTCCATTAGCTTGTTAATCTCTAGAACCACCACATGAAGATGGTTTATATAATCACCATCCCATTTCACAGAGGAAGAAACTGAGGTACCAAGAGATTGTGTCTAATCAAAGGGTGTCCAGCTCTAAGCAGCAGCATGGGGGTCAAAATTCTGGCCCATCTGACCCCTGAGCTCCTGGTGGTGACAGGGGCCCGGGAGGTAGCCAAAGCAAGGTGTTGAGACCTTAAACCCAATGCTGCCTGTGTCACAATTTTGCCAAAGGCTACCATCTGGGAACAGTCCCTAGGGTGGCTGTGCCCACATCACAGCAGAGGCTACTTAAGGGCTTTGTGGGCTCCAAAGCATGAGCCACATTTCTCCTGACCTTGAAATGGACTCTTTGAGAGAGGCAGGGGGGGGACCTGGTGTCCTTGCTTCCTAGCTGGGACAGCCAGCGGACTCGGAGGAGCTAAGAGACTTGCCACTGTCCACGGTGCTGCATCCCCAGCCTTGCTGCACCACCCAGTTGCAAGCGTGACTTCTATCACCCTGGGCTGAATTTAGCTTCCTAACCCCTGTATGCTAAGCTGAGAATTCCCTTCCCCTTCAATATTTCTCTTCATATCTACTATCCAAACCTTGAATAAACTGAACAAATGAGTCTCTCTTCTGAGGTAAATTTGTTAGAGACTAAAGCAAGGTTCTTTGCCTAGATCTAGGTAAACATGGAGGCCGGAAATGGGCTTCTTTCTGATCTGCCACTGACATGTGTGAATTTCTGAAATTCACAAGCCCTCTTGAGTCTCAGTTTCCTCATCTGTAAAATCCAGGTGCTAACAGCAGCCCTAACTAAGCAGGCATAGATGATGATCACGTGCTCTTCAGCACCTGTGGAATGTGTCCCTCAGCTGGAGCCACAGCTCAAGTCTTTACTCTCCTCTAGTTTCCAAGACGCCTGAGGTTTACAGGTAGAAGACCCCCAGAGGACAAAGTAGCTGATTCCAGGGATTCCTTGGAGCCAATCCTCTTGGCCTCAACTATCCCCTCCTATATTCCCTCTCCCCACCGGCTGGGGTACGTACTCCCTGGCCAGCCTCCTGGAATGTTCCACTGGTCCCCACCTCCCAGCACAGTACCCCTCCCTCCCGCTAGTGGATGACTCACTACATTTCTTTCTTGCTTTTTTTCCGATTGTGCTTTTTTTAAGTTTAAAAAAGAAATGTGTCAAAGTCAGCATAGCACATCTATTTAAAGTGCAGAGGAAGCAGCCTCTGAACAACTTGCGGTGTGGAGCCTTTAGAACCTTTCCAGGCCTCAGCCCCAAAGTCTGTCACTGTTGCTTTCTAAAGCCCCAATATGAAGGGCAGTGGACGCTTAGGGACGTCAGGGGAGAGGTAAGGTGAGAGCAGGAGAAGGCAGGGCGGAGGAGGGTGCCCTGGGGATAGAGTCCCGGCCACTGTTTCCTTTGCCCACCCCATCCCCCGAGGAAGGTGGCGCCAGCAGATGCAGGTATATGGCTTTGTACGTGCATGTCGGCTTGAACGTGGTGTAGGGACCACGTAGGGTTTCAGGCCTGAGACAGCGGAGGGAGCTGAGGAAGGGAACAGGCATCGCTTCTCTCTCCCTCTTCTGTCATTTCATCACCCCCATTTTCCAGTTACTAGATTATCTCCCCTAAATAGCAGCAAAGCAGGGGCTGCTCCCGAAGGCTGTCAGCTCCTCAAAATAGGTGGAAGGAAGTCACATGGCCTCGGCACTGGCTCCCTTCCTGGCTCCGCCTCTCACACATGTCCCTCCAGACCTGCGGTGAAATGAACTGCTTCTCCCCTCTGCCTCTGCCATGGCTCCACTGCCCCCTAACCTTTAAAGCAGATCTCTCTGGGCAGGGTTGGCAATACTTGTCATTCTTCCCAGTGACTTGGGACAAAAGCCAAAGTCTGGACTCCTTGGTGGCTCCACTCCCGCCCCCTGCAGACGTGTTGGGTGCAGTACTGCCTCCCACGTTCGCACTGGCGGTTCCTTGCTGCCCGGCACCGTCTCCTCCAGCTAAAGTGAGGCTCAGGCCCTCACTTCCTTCAGGTCGCTGATCACATCTTGCCCACTGAGATCTTCTCCAGTCATCCCAGAGGACAGGCCCTCTGTGCTCCCAGGCCTCCCCACCCGTTCCTCTGCTTCGTTCTGCCCCCGATATGCTGCGAAAATCATCACTCCTTGTTCATTTTCCGGGGCGGGGAGGAGGAGGGGTCAGTCTCACTTCCTCCCTCGGCTGAGCTGCAGGAGACTCAGAGATGGCCTTGGCCTCACCCAGCTGTGCTGTCCCCACCCAGCCGGCTGCTTTGACATTTAAAGGACTAGTCCGATCCTGCTGGGTCGCATTCTTGAGCAACTCCGGCGCTGTGGCCCTGCACTTTCTGGAGGACTGAGTGTTTTACTCAGCCTTCACCTATGAGGAGCCCGTGAGACCCAGGCGAGGGTTGGGAGGGTCAAATCCCCACCTCCTGCCCCAACCCATCTTGAGCCTCTACCCTCTTCCCCCAGCATAGCTGAGCAAGTGGGACTGGGGCTGGTGGAGGGGTAGTGCCTGCCATTCAGGGGCCGAAGACAGTGGCTTTGCTAAGGCCCCTCCACCCCCAGCCAAGCCCAGGAAGCCCCCTGCATCCCCTCCACCGAGTGCCGGCAGTTCCCAGGCTGCCTGGCCTGTGCCCACCTGTCCCCGCGTTTTCTGCCGCTCCACACCCCCTAGTCCCGGCTCTGGTCACTCTGCGGAGCCTCTGCTAACCCTGTGCTGACAGTGAGCTCCCCGACCCGGGCTCCATCTTGACCCCTCTTGCACCGCAGACTTATTTTTGACTCTTTGCCCTACTAGGCATGGAGCCCTTTGTGCCTCAGCCAGCCAAGCCCAGATCCAGCCACGTGGACGTGTGCTGACAGCACCGTCGATGCACAGTCTCCACCAAGCTGGGACAAAGGTACACATCCTGCGGGGGCAGGGCGGGGCGGCAGTCACCACCCTAGCACTAGGGAGCTCTCTGCTTTAGGCGATGGAAAGCCCAGAATCCTTTCTGGTGAGATTCAGGCGGCAGTGCAAGGAGCCACTAAGAACGGCTGCTTCATCTTCTGGCGTGAAGAGCTGCGTCAGCCGCGGTGGGTGCAATGCCCTCTCAAAACCTTCTCCCAGCCTGCTGGGCCACTTTCGCTCCAGATCTCTTGTGGCTAATGAGGGAAAGGGGAGCAGGGAGCTGTTGCCTGCACTTCCAGAAGGAGGGGAGGTTGGGGAGAGGCAGAGAGGGCCGCCTGGCCTAGATGGCTGTGCCTCTCTTGAGCCCAGGAGAGACTCCAGTACTTACAGGAACTCAAACGATCCCTGGTGACAGCTGGAGGAAATTATTCACACTGTCAAGAGAGAGGCTTATACCACGAACGGTTCCAATTCATTATTTTTAAATCCCCCAGCTGGCTAAAGAGTTAGAAGAAAAGATGTGACAATCATTTGAGTCTTGTCCCAGATGGGCTGTCACTCAAGGGCTATGAAAATCGAATGGGACTGGGCTGGTGGTCACAAAAACTGCAGGGCGCACTGGCAATTCTGCAGGGCTTTGCAGGATGGTGGAAGGTGGTCTGGTGGGCCATACTGGGCAGCAGTGGTGATCCAGCCCCTATGGCTCAGTAGCATTTCTACCCAAAGACAGAACATGTAATTAATTGTCCTACCTCCATCCCAGAGGTGGGTACCAGGATGGCTTCCATGCACCTGGGGTGAGGAGGGGTTGCCTGCACGCCCCTCTTCACTCCTGACACACAGCCTTCCTCAGGGGCAAATGTGCCTCTTGCGTCAGCTCTCCAGGGCAGACCCTGGCGAGGGCACAGGTCCTTCTTTTATGGGCAGAGGAAAGAAAAGCAAGCATTCCAGCTGGAGCGGACACTGAGTTTCAGATGTTTGGCATTTGAACCTCCTTCCTGTGTTCAGGGGATCCCCATGTTATGAAGTGGGGACCTCCACTTTGGAAGGCAGAATTCTCAAGATGCGGCTTTTTTCTTTTCTTTGAGACAGGGTCTTGTTCTGTCACCCAGGCTGGAGTGCAGTGGTGCAATCACGGTTCACTGCAGCCTTGACTTCCCAGGCTTAAGTGATCCTCCCACCTCAGCCTCTTGAGTAGCTGGGAAAACAGGTGTATACCACTGTGCCTTGCTGATTTTATTTTTTGTAGGGAGGGTTTCACATTGTTGCCTAGGCTGGTCTCTAGCTCCTGGGCTCGAGACCTCCTGCCTAGGCCTCCCAAAGCGCCAGGATTACAGGCACAAGCCACTACGCCTGGCTGGATGCTGTTTTTTCTAACCTCTCCCTCAGCCGAGGCAGTATGCTTGCCTGAGACCTTGAAGTGGCAGCTAGTGGCTGTTTAAAATCCCTTTTGGTGACAAGTAGAAGCCTCTACATTTAGTTTCCAAAAGAGCAGAGGCAGTGGTCCCAGTGACAGTGCCCAGCATTGGGGGTGTCTGTGGTGTAAGTCCTGGGGTATGAACCTGGGAGTACTGGAGAATGACATGGGATCTTGGTCCTGGCTAGGGAGCCGCTTAGCCTGGTGACCATGTGACCTATCCAATATTGTTTAATAAACTTCCCACTTAACCCAGCCACAGTTGGTTTCTGTTGTTTGCAAATGAACTTCGAGACAATGGCAGCTGGTGGCACAGAGATTAGAGCCAGTTACTGGGATTTCTCTTTGGCAAGTCCATCCTGGGTTTGCATCTGGGAAGATCTTTCACAAAAGGAGATGTGGAAGGCACAACCATCCCCTCGTGCCCAATTCAGATGCAGCTTACCCTTTGCAGAGCCTGGCACCTTGGCTATGCCAGCTGCAGGGGAAAGGGGTGGCGGCCACCTGCAAGGGTTGGGCCAATGCTGCACAGGATTCGGGCTCAAGACACCAACACCCTGCTAGGCCAGCGCAGGGAACACTCACCACGGGAGCCTAGGGGCTTCCTCAGGGGCCTTCAAGCACAAAAAGAGATACTTTTCACCCTCCCACCCCCCAACCAGGCTGTATGCCTGCCTGGCCCTCAGTGGGCATGGCAGAAATGCTAGGATTCGTGTTGGATTCATGCATTTTTCAGAATAGTTTAAGGACTGCACGAAGACAGAGGGACGAATCACATGACTTCAGAGTTCATTGGTTCCAACTATTCCAGCTCTCCTGAGAAGGCATGTTTTGCCAAAAGTGCACATATGTTCCTCTAAAGAAAACCATGGTAGTTTTTTGATGGAATTTTTTCCTCTCCCAGGCATCGTCAGACGTGCCCAGCACTCGACTGCAGAGCAGCCTCTCTCACAGTTTCCACTCTCATTTCTCAAAGAACTCTCTTGGTACCTCAAGGCCGTGGCTTTCCTAAGTGGCTTTTTGAGGGAGACAGCAGGGACTGGGCTTTAAGGGGGCCACAGCGCAGCTTTCTTTTCCCCTCACAGGCAGAGCTATCAGTAGCCACGTCGGGTAGAACAGAAGGCATTCTGGGAACGCGGTGCTCTCACATCCTGCAAAGTACAGGCCTGCAGAGCAGATGGCAGGGACTTCAAAAGCTAAGTCACCTTGAAAGATAATGGCACAAAGGGCGATTGGGGGTGGGGTGGGTGGGAGGCTTTTGTACCCTTTTGCAACAAGGAAGCAGAAAAGACAAAAGCTATTTGCCAGCCTGGTGCGGGAATCAACAGAATAGAGAGATGGTTCTGCTGCAATTTCCATCAAGGGTGGCCAAGCCTCCAGTCTTCTTGTCCAGAAGTAAGTGGCATCAACCAACTCTGCCAAACTGCATTTCCTGCCTCCTGATCTGGGGTCTTTTCCTTTTCTTTTTTCACACAGGGAGTATTTCCATCCTCTCTGTCCAGGCAGCTGAGCCTTGACAACCTCTCCTCCCCTTCACCATGCCCCGACTGATCTCCTAATGGAGCCCCACCCCTCGAGTCCCTGGGCCTGTGGAAGGTAGGGTCTCCCCCTCCTCCTCATCCTCCCCCACTCCACTCCAGGTGGGGTTGCAATAGGGCTTATCTGGTTTCCTCTAAGCATGAAGCCCTTGACCAGAGGAGGAGCGGGAGTTCACGTCACGCCCCCATGCTTAGTCCTGGCCTTTTGCATTTTTTGTGGATGGGTAAACTGAGGTACATAGTGGTCAACTCATGCCCAGGATCACAGAGGCACTGGCAGGGTGGCAGGAATGCTGAATTCACCTGATGAGAGCCAGGGACAGCAGCGGGTGGGGCGGTGGCTGCTTTTCAACTGAAGTTGTTAAAAGGAATGCTTATTCCTGGCCCCACCGGCTTGCCCTCCAAGGCAGAACGTGTTAATACCGAGCCCCAGCAAAGGTTCAAATTGACTTCTTGGCTCTGAGCAGGGAGGTAGAAGTTCCTGCCCCCGCCACCCCCGGCTCGAGGCTCCAGGGGCTGCCAGGCTCCTCTCGCCTGGCCTAGAAACAATCCCCTCCTGCCACCTCCACGCAGGTGCTGTCAGGACAGGCCCTCTGCCCTCAAACATCTGCTCCTCTCCTCGGGGAGGGGGGCCTCAGCTGCGCGCTGAAGGGGCCAGGCCTCAGAAGCCTGTTCTCCTTTGAAGCTGACAGCTTGATGCCTGTGGAAATGCGGTCCTATTTCAGGATTTCATTTTAAAGAGGTTTCAAAGGAGTGGCTGGAAGGCTTGGTGGAATCGCTTATTACGGCTCCTCTCCCGGCCCGCAGCTTGGTGGCTGAGCACGTCATCATCATTGGCAGGCAGGTGACTGTTCTAAATTAGCACCTGGCTCATTCTGGAGGGCTCTAACTCTTCCTGAGCTTTTTCCAAGAACAACTTTCATGACTTATACCTTCTTATACCTTTCCCACGTTATCTGTTTGAAATGATCCACGGGGCAGGTGAATTACGTGTCATCTCCAAGACTCTTGTTTCTGTCGGGCATGTCTTAAAGACACACACACATGCAAAGGCTATGAAAATGCGACCCCCCAGACCTGGGAAGCTGCAGCCCGTGGAGCCTCAGGGGCAAAGGGAGCAAACTGGCTTGTGAGGGAAGAGCTGCTCTGGTCAGCGGCTGTTGTGGGATGGGGAGGGAACAGGGTGACCCAAGGGGGCAGGGGCCTGGTGCCATGTCTGCTCATGTGCCGCCCTCCTTGTCTCTGGGATCTGCCCCCAAAATGCAAGAAACGCGTAAGCCCACTGTAGCAGATATGGAGAGACTCCGGGGGATTTTCCTTTACCTAACTACTCTGCACCTCTGCAAGGGAGAGCATTATGGTTTGGAAGAAATGGAAACGGCATGGAAGTCCCATGTGGGCAGAGCCTGCACACCAAACCCTTCTAGACTGCAAAGGGTTTGACTCAGCCCAAAGAGGACTCTGCCAGGAAGCTGTCAGGCACCTGAGGCCACCTGCCTCTCCTCCGCTTCAGGAATAACCATCAGTACTGCATCTTGGCTCTGAGGGGCACTGGGCATCACGATGCCCACTCGAAGCAGCTAGGGCACGTTGATCTCTGCATCTCCATACAGATGTCCGAGGAAATGATCCCATAGCCTCATCTCTGTTTCAGAGGCAGAGGCAGAGTCCACCATAATCTAGCCCATTGCTCTCAACCAGACAGAGCGCACCTCCTGGCCACTAGGTGAGCATTTGTCTTTCAAGGTTTATTATTTACAGAAACTGTTTTCCCATTGGTTTTGTTTCCTTCCCCCAAGGTAAGACAATGCCCGGAGAGAAACTCCATTGCTAGGGCATTGGCAAAAGATTTGCCAGACCCTGACACCTGACTCAACCTTGCTCTCCTCCAATCGGTGCCTCCAACTGCACCCACCCAAGAGAGTGAAGACCAAAGTGCTTCTACCAAGAGGGTACAGGTTCCTAGCCTGGCTCTATTTTTCAGAGGGAAGCATTGTTTCTGCGGGGACATGCCTGTTCACTTCCATGGCACTGCTGACTTGTGCTCACCCTATGACGCCTCGCCCAGAGCACAGGAGGACAGTATCCACTGCGGGGCGTTCACCCCACGCGAGCGGGGACAACAGGTCTAGCCCTAAACAACTGCTTGCCTGGCTATAAGAGGAGCCTTGTCTTTTTTTTTTTTTTTTTCTAGATTCCAGAAGATGCAGTATTTTTCCTAAGGCAGGAGAAAACCCTAGTTCATAGACAGCCAGGATAAAAACCCTGGAAGACCATGAGCCAAGGTGAACGAAGAGGAATTTTCTAAATCTTGGGGACAGAGAATTATGTTACATCAAGGCAGCCATGCCAATAAAATGGAAGGCTATGAAAGCAAGCAAGGCACAAGAAAACCCCCATTCCACAGAGAGACACAAGTGTTCTATTTGGTGAAGAGTTTGGTGCACAGACAGACTGCATCCTGTGAAGAGGTGGCCCTTGTCAAGGCTACTGCCGCCAGGAGGATCTTTGCATCTTTAGGATGTGTCACTAGCTCATCGAAACTATTTCTGTAACTCTCTGCAAGAGCCAATTTAAGCTGGCGTCTCAGTTCCCTCTGCACTCAAAAGAGACCAATTTCCAATTCCTCCTCAGAGTCCGTGAGACCAGATGCTACAGCAAATGTTCCAGAGAAATGAACCTAGAAAATGATCCCGGGGTGCTCCTTGCGGGGGAACACAGGACTCCTCAGCTCTATCTCTGTGGCTTTAACATACATCAGTTTCAGGGTGAGTGCTACCATTGCCCCCCGAGAGTGTTTCTGATGGGACATGCTTTCCTGATAGCACAGGGGATCTTGGGGGACAGAAGGTTCCCAGTAAGGCTAGGGGGCACGTGACAGATTGAGAGTGTGATCATGTTTCCAGGTGAGACCCTATTGCATCTGGCAGCCCGAATTGGGCAACAATTCCTGCAAATAAGAAGCCACTGCTCTTGTTAGGTAGGTCATCGTCCCATAAGCCCCACTCGGAGCGCTGTCATAAAAGAAGTGGCAGATTCCTGTGGCTTGGTCTTTCTCCAGGGTGTCCATGGCACCAATTGACACCTGCAGTAGGAAAGGGCAGAGGGGACAATAAGCGGAGCCCCCACTCCCCGTCACGCTTCTGCGTGGTGGTGGCAGCGGGTCAACATGGGCAGGGGTGAGGGTTGCTCTAGTAGAGCCTTGGCCTTCTGAGAGGCTCCAATTCTGAGGGCATGAGGGCACGAAGCCAGCGCTGCCAGGGGGAATGCCCTACCTCTCTGGGCACTGCACTCTGTTATCACGCACCCTAGTTTGTAGCTCCTGACTATAATGAGGACTACTCTGTTGAACTTGACTTTGTGTACAGGGTAAGGGGTTCACCCATGGTCACATGTGTTGCAAGTGGTGGTGTTTGGACGAAAACCTGCATTGAGACAGGCCTATCCATCCCCAAAGGTCTTGAGATTTCCCAAGTGGCCACTGTACCATTTTCTAAGCAAGTGGTTGACATTTTTTCCCCATCATCTGTGATGACATTTTCTTGGTTCGAGTATATTCTTTCCTATTGGACACAGAATCTCCAGCCTCAACAGAGATAAATGCCAGCCAACCCAGCTCCCTGGCACCCCCACCTGGTCCTGCAAGAACAGCTGACTGGCCATCTGCACGATCTGGTCCACGTGGATGATGCCCCCGATGCTGGTCATCTCCGTGTCCGAGAGCAGCGTCAGCACCATGATGGCTTCCACCAGCAGCTGCCGGTACTCGGGCTGCGGCACGCGGTTCAGCACCGATTCGACATGGACAGCAAACTTGATCTCATGCGGGGTCATCTACCAAAGGGACAGGCAGGCAACCACCAGTGAGAGGACAGATGCAGCCCTATCAATCAATCACCGAGTAACCAAGGGTGACCGTAGCAGTGCCTGGGCTCGGGGCTCAGCGCCACTGCTGCCCCTTTTCTGGCCACTCCCTGGATCCTGCTGGCAGTGGCCCTCAGAGCAGGAGGCTGGAGTATGCCTCCAGGAGCCAGCCTGTCCTCGCCTGATTTATCTACCCTTCCCCCCATCGACTACAGCTTCCAGGGAGCAGGGACCATTTCTGGTTTCTCTTTCCTCTTCATTATTCCTTCCAGCATGAAGCATGGTGCTTTGGGTGGGGTAAAACTAAAAAAAAATCCATGTTAAAAAGAATGACAAATCACCTAGGGACGATTACTGTTTTTAGTTGGAGAAAAGGGCCGAGAAGGCTGCCCATGGGGCAGGCCAGGGTGGCATGGAGATTGGCTCCTTTCTTTCACCAGGGTTCTAAGGGGTGTCTGGCAAATGCAAAGAGCTTGCTAGCCCAGAAATGCTGAGTCTCAGGTGAAGAAAAAGGCTGATGCCAATAAATGCTGGAAAGACATTTTTGCCAAATATGAGGGTGAAGGGGCTAGACAGCTCAGAGCTACAAATGGCCTGTCAATTAGAATGAGCCCAAAAGGAGCACAAGAGGTCAGAGTCCATGCAATGAAGCCCTTATTGTGAACCCACAGAGGGGCCCGCCTCTGCGTTTTTCTCATCGTACCTCTCGGGTCGTCGAGGATGGGAGGACATAACCATCGATGGAGAGACCGTGGCACTGGAGGCAGAATAGAGCGCATTTCAGTCAGATTCCAGAATGGGATAAGCACATGCATGCACACACAGGCGTGCATGCACACACAGCACCCTCTGCCCTGGAAACCCATATGAGGGCTGGGACACGCCAGACTGTCAGAGTTATTTTTAGAGAGCTTGTTCTCACTGCCCACAGGCTGTGTTTTCGATGGAACAATTCTAGGGAACCCAGCAGGCATCTTTCAGATCTCCCCCGAACAATGCCCTAGGGGGCTGCCGAGTCCTCCCGGGAGGCTCCGCATTGTACTTGGCAACTGGGCCCGGGCGGCTGCGAGGCCCCTTTGGTGCCATAATAAAGGGGGATTTTCATGGCTCCTGCTGGGGAAGGGATGCTTCTGTGCCTTTGCAGGCATCTATTTTTGAGATTTCTATAATAAGCACCAATCACAAAAGCCTCCAGCACATGCACAGACATGCACATGCACACCCATGTATATAAATATCGAGTGCCAGCTCAACACAAAATGCTTTTTCATAATAGAAATATCTTGGTATTGCGCCAGTGAGTCCGAGCGGAAGCATGTGATGCCCCAGGAAGAGTGGGGAAATTTTCTAGGAACAGCTTGTTCTAGTCTAACTGGCCACCTTCTAAATCCCAGCACCCCGGCCTGGAGCGTCCCCAGTGGGCTGAGGGCAGAACAGCAGTGGACACTCCCACCCCCTTAAGAGAGGCGGGAAGTGGAGCAAGCACCATGAGCCCCTGCAGGATCCTGCCTGGGTCCCAGGAGTCCAGCTGCTCGGGCAGGGCCTGCTCCGACCTCCTCACATCCCTCTGCGGTGGCCGTGAGGAATACCTTGGGGCCCATGAAGCACAGGGGCCCCTGTTACAGAAAGAACCTTGAGCAAGTGGTGCCATGGCTTTGGGAAGGGGGCTGTTGTATGCTGTCACTGGGATTATTTTTTCTCTTCTCTCCCACTGTGAAATGAACTAAAAAATAGTTCTGGGGGGAAAAAAATGTCTTGGTTTGCACAGCTTTTAAGCGAGGCACACTGTCCTTCCATTCAAGGGAAAAGACAGGGAGGGCCTGGTGCAGCCCAGGGAGCTGCATAAACTCTCTCGGGCTGATGCAGAAGGGAGACACTGGGGGGGTACAGAGAATGCTGCCCCCCTCCTTGACAACAGGCGCTCAGGGAGGTGCTCCTGTGCTCAGGTACAGGCACCACAGTTCCCAGGGACAACAGCTGGGGAGACGTGAACGGCCCCAGGCAGATGGGAAGCGCAACAGCCGGCTGGCTGAGGGGAGTGGGGCCCCAGGGTGTGAGGGAGATTGTGCCTTCAGGGCACACAGGACCTGGGGCTAAACTGGAAGCTCTCCACCTCTGTACACCTTGGGACTGAACACGGCAGGTACCCTGGGAGGGTGGGGCTCAGTCACATCGCTGAACAGCAGGGACACTACTCCTGCCTGGATGTGCGGGAGGCTGGGGGGCTGGCCTACTCCAGGCCCCTCCTGAACTGTCATTCCAGGTTCCAGGCCTGTAGGTGCTGCTCTGGGTGGTTTTACAGGGTTTTCATCTGAAGCCTCCCAGCCTTTCCCTGTTCTTCTATGTTCCTAAAATACGTCCAAGTTGGTCCCACACAACCACAACCTAGACTGCCACCTTGTCTTACTTGCTGTGGTTCTCAACTGGGTTGATCTGCCTCCCACGGGATGTTTGATAATGCCTGGAGACACTTTTAGTTGTCACACGGGGGTGGGGTGGGGAGAAGAGATGGCTGCTGGCATCTGGCGGGTAGAGGCCAGGGATGCTGTAGACATCCTACCACGCACAGGCCCCCTAGCAGAGAATGCCTCGGCCCCAGGTGCCAACAGCGCTGAGGCAGAGAAGCCATCCTCAGGGCTGTGTGTTTGCTCGCCTGGAGGTGCCACCATGCCTTGCCAGGACAGTAAGGGGACGGTTCACTTCCCCAGGAGCTCGCGTCTCGGCTTACCTTCTGGAGGATCTTCCACACCCTCTGGTAGAATCCCACGGGGACCCTGTTGATGGCCCCATCCAGCCTTCTCCTGCGCAGCCACTGGCCCTGCCGCTCACCCCAGCCGATGTGATGTCCTCCCGAGTCTGAGGATGACGTGCCAGTGGGCGAGGATGGGGTGCTGGACCTCTGCAAGACAGACAGCTTGGGGCCTCAGAAGCCACGCAGCAGGTGCCCCAGGGAAAGTGCGCCATCTCGAAGGGCGGCCCTGCGACCTAGGCACAAATGCCAGAACACCACTCGCCAGAGAGGAACACGGTTCCTCCAGTCCACCTTGTCTGTTTCCTCATGTGAGATGACTCGCATACTTTGGGTTGATCACTTCATTCCATGTTGCACTCTGCCCTGCCCCCCGAGAGGCAGTCCCACCCCCAAAGCTAGAACCCATAAGGAGGAGGCCGAACAGGGCGAGCACGGGCTTGGGGGTCAGACTGCCGGAGTGCTAATCCCCACTCAATGCCAGCGGTGCCAAGGACACACCCGAGGCCGTCTGGCCCTGCCATGAACACTGATTCTGGGCCTCAGTCTCATCTGCACAGTGGGGACACAGTCAGGCATCCTATAAAGAGCTGCCCGGAAGCCTTCACCACGTGGAGACACAGAAGCCCCTGAGGCATACCTAGTGTGCGCTAAGTGCCCATGAGGGGCAGCTGTCACCCGCACGTGGCGCCTGTGCCACTGCAGTGGGAGAGCTTTGAGGGTGACAACGGGCCCTCGGAGCAGGCATCCATGGCTCAGGGAGACAAACTCCATAGTGCCCACTTCATTGCTGCAGTGCCACAGAGAAGTGACAGACACGTTTCCACAGGACAGGAACCACAGAGAAGGCAATACATGACACGGGGGAAGACAAACAGTGAAGCCCGCGTTTAGTGGCGAGGACCTCGCAGATCAGGGTCCATCCACCCACCCTTTGCAATCCCATTTCCGGCTTTCCCTATTCTTGGCACTGGGCTTTATCTTAATTTGGGGCAATGGCTGCCTCTGAACTGGGGCTGACTTTGCTGAAGTGAGGGAAGAGGGCGCCATCTCCTTCCCACCTCAACATTGGCTGGACTGATTCAGGCTCCAGAGGGGGACACTGTCTGAGAGGCTCCCCACCGCTGGCGGGGCGGGCCTCTGTGAGTGGGGGCGCATCCCCTCCCTGCGGCAAAGCTCCCAGCCTTCTGTCTTGCCCTGCGGGGCTTCTAGCTTCGAGACCTCCAGGTCGAGAAGGGATAACCTTCACTCTCACACATCTCTTTGCCTGGGACTATCTGGCACTTTTGTTTCTCGATAGTGCCACACATCAAATGTGCACAGTCAAATGTAAAGGGTTAAAGTGAAATCCTGAAGTGTGCTAGCAGGGCAGGAGGTGGAGCTCTCCTTTCTGCAGCAGTTGGATTTCAACAGATCTTATTTTGAAAAGGCAGTTCGGCTGGGTTATTCCATTGGGCTCATTACTGCCACTTAAGGCAACAATTAGACACAAATAAAAGTAATTACAGCTGCACTCCTCAATGACTCAGCTGATCCGGGCCCTCCAGTTTCAGGAGGAAGATTCAGCCTCTGCTCTGCGGTGAGCTCAATCCGAGCCCTGCACGAGATCTGGGGCATGGCAGGTGCAGAGTGCTAGTTGGCACATGTGGGCAAGGGCTCACCATCCTGGCTCCATAAAGAGGCATGGAACTAATGCCCCGAAGTTTCCAGAAGCTCTGGGAATTGGTGAGAAGGAAACTCCTCACCCACACTGTGCCAAGGAGCACAGGCAGAGAACTGAGAGCTTAAGACGGAGAACAAAGCTCAGGGCAAGCACTTTGGGGCCTTCTTTCTACCCTCCTCAGAATTCCAGTTGGAGGAGCCTGTGAGCATCCCGCTGAAAACACTTCAGCCCTGCTCGAATCCTCAGAAGTTGGGCATGAGGTGGGAGCATGAGGAAGGACGCGAGGAGGAGCGGGGACGGACACAATAATCCCGAGGCACTGTTACCGCAGACTTGGAGGAATGCGCACTGCTGGACGCGGCCTGGCCCACAGAAAAGAACTACAAAACAAAAAGAATCCACTCAGTTGACAGCAATGACACCAAGAGACACAGCAGAGAGGAGGGTCATGGAGCAGCATCCGAAACACCCACAGAAAGCAGCAGCAGAGAATGCGGGCGCAGAGAAGGTGCCACAGCAACGCACATAGGCAAGCTCAGGTGCAGGGGCACCTGCAAGCACCGCTCTGGGCTTCGACTCCACGTGAAACTTACTAACTGCTCTTTTTAAAAACATGAACTGTTACCATTGAATGTAAACATTAAATGTTCCTGTCATATGTGGAGGGTGCATCATCAAGTTAGGACACTATTTATTTTCCAAACTCACAGCCATGAAATGCTCACATTTTATGGTAAGAATTGTGAAAATCTACAGATGAACCAAATACCTACAGCTGACACTAACATGCT
Organism: Homo sapiens; assembly: GCF_000001405.40. Classification (NCBI taxonomy): domain Eukaryota; kingdom Metazoa; phylum Chordata; class Mammalia; order Primates; family Hominidae; genus Homo; species Homo sapiens. The sequence goes on from NC_000023.11 coordinate 18,899,638, forward strand.
GCACCTAACATTCAGTAGATATTCATTAAATGAATGAATATGATGATCGGGCTGATACCTTTGGCCACATAAGTATTTCCTCGTCTAAAATCTAGAATGTACCCTTAATTTGCAAGGGTACAGTGTGCTATCTACAAGGTATTCTTACAAAAGAGACTAGAGATTGAAAATACCATAACACCTATTACATTTTTGGAACAAATAATATGTTCCTTGACGTAAGTGGTCAAAGTTTGTACTAGCTAGGTGACTCTAAGCCCAGCAAAGAACAGAGGTGATCACTTCATCCCCGTAACACGCAAGAACAGCATGAAATAGAGGCGGAAGGAACCACTCAGATTCACCCACGGTCAGGCCATCGGGATGCGGGGACAGAGGGACGGTGCCACCGAGTGGCTGGCAAGGGAAGATGTTTGAAAAGGCAGTTCCCTACTTGGAAACAGCATAAACTAGGAGAGATAAAGCATGTTTTACCTCTGGGCAACATGTGGAATCGGCCTTTACATGTCATTAAGATGTCTCTAGGCTCTTGTGGTAATACACATCAAAATATTAGAAATGCGACTCCAGTGTCCCAGAGGGGGGTGGAGAACATATGTCACCAGGGTGATATAAAAGAAGAGCACCCTTACATGTTTTTCCTTCCAGGGTTAAGTCCCCCCAGGCGATCTGAGGACAGGAATAGCAGCATTCTTTCTACTGATATAACCAATGACCGCATTTCCCCCCCATTTAGTTTTCTATTTAGTTCCCTCTTTTTGAATAGAAACTCCCACTGAGGCAGAGCCTGGATGATCTCTTTCACAAAGTACCCTACAAAGCCCAAGAGTTTGAGAAACAGATTATTTTTAAAGGCATGGGGCAAGGTCGTCTCTCCTGCCCTCGAGTCCTGCTCTCTGCCTGTGCCCCAGCCCGTTTGCTGGATAGAGCCGCCCTCTACACATTCACACGCTGCGGAGTCACAGCCTCACTTTCCACATTCAAGCCAGAAAGAACAGGAAGTAAAGGACGAACAAGGCAAAGGGGTGTCACCTGTTCATCAGCACTAAACCGCCTAGTCATCTGAAAGCAAAAATACATCAGGAAATCAAAACCAGCTTTGAGCCAAGAACGCGTGCTTCTTCTATTGCCCTCTCTCTTAATCCAGGGCCGTGTTGGTCAAACCGCAGGGGGTGACCCATGAGTGCATCATGGACTCCATTTAGTGGGTCATGAACAGCATTTAAAATGGAGCAGAAAATTCGAGTGCATTTCTCATGGTCAGAGGGAAACTCTTTCCCAGCATGGATCCTGGGCAAGGCCTAGCACAGCACCCAGCACGTTAAGACTCCGATGTTGAGCTGTGGCCCTGTGCGGTCAGTTCAAAAGGATTTTTTTTTTTTTTTTTTTTACCAGGAATTAAAGGTGAACTAAGAAAAGAGACCCCTGTGGCTGGTGGAGAATCCAAGTATCATGGGCATTCTGGTCTATTTCCAGAGCCCTCTTGCTATTTCGTTTGAAGGACACAGATGATTCGGTGACTTTTTGCATGACTCTACTTTTTCAATGGCTGTGGCCCACTCCTAAGAGTGGTTCTCGGGAACAGAGGCAAACATGGACAAGGGTATTTTCTGGAACGTTCATGAGAACATCACGTTAAGGTTAAGGATGAGTGGGTAAGGGTGCGCATGACCGGCTCTGGAATATCTATCTGGGGACAGGGGTGTGTTCAGATCCCAGACAGAAGGGACCTCCCACTCTACAGACAGTGGGCTGCAGCCTCATGCCCTAGGTTTCTGTCGCTTTCTGGGGTAAGCCCAGGTAGGGAGACCACCACTCATCCCTCGCTGCCACTGAGGTGTTCTTACCTGTTTCATTTCACTCCTCAGTCTGTTAATGCCACTCCTCTCAGTTTTGGTGACTCCGGTATGGCCCACCTCGTGGATGGAGATGGTAGGGCTGGATGTGGAGGAGTGGATAGGGCGCACTGGGTGGGAAACACACACACGTGGTTCTCAGGAACTCTACAGCATCCAACCCGAGGCAGGATCTGCCCCTGTCTCCCCCACTTGACAATGAGGGCCTTCTCTGCCTGGCCAGCGCTGTGTCTCCAGCACCGAGAGCAGCACAGGTGCAGCACTCAGCTCTTAAAGGAGTAAACGGAAGTGTGCAGAGTACTTAAGCACCATTATAACACAGTGGCCAGGAAGCCCCGACACAGTGAGATATGTTTTTTTTTTTTCCGAGACGGAGTCTCACTCTGTCGCCCAGGCTGGACTGCAGTGGCATGATCTCGGCTCACTGCAACCTCCACTTCCTGGGTTCAAGACATTCTCCTGCCTCAGCCTCCCGAGTAACTGGGATTACATGCGCCCGCCATCACGCCCGGCTAATTTTTGTATTTTTAGTAGAGGCAGGGTTTCACCATATTGGCCAGGCTGGTCTCAAACTCCTGACCTTGTGATCCGCCCACCTTGACCTCCCAAAGTGCTGGGATTACAGGCGTGAGCCACTGCAACCAGCCATGTTTTTTTATTTTTTTTGAGACAGAGTCTTGCTCTGTTCCCGAGGCTGGAGTGTGCGATCTTGGCTCACTGCAACCTCTGCCTCCTGGGCTCAGGCGATCCTTCCGCTTCAGCCTCCCAAGTAGCTAGGACCACAGGTGTGCGCCACCATACCTGGCTAATTTTTTGTATGTTTTGTGAAGACAGGGTTTTGCCATGTTGCCCAGGCTGGTCTTGAGCTCCTGGGCTCAAGCGATCTGCCCGCCTCAGCCTCCCAAAGTGCTGGGATTACAGGCATGAACCACCGTGCCCACCCTTGCTTTTGGATAAGTAAAAAATTATTCTAATAAAACATACCCGGCCAGGCGCGGTGGCTCACACCTGTAATTCCAGCACTTTGGGAGGCCGAGGCGGGCAGATCACCTGAGGCCGGGATTTCGAGACCAGCCTGACCAACATGGAAAAACCCTGTCTCTACTAAAAAAACAAAATTAGCTGGGCGTGGTGGCACATGCCTGTAATCCCAGCTACTCGGGAGGCTGAGGCAGGAGAATTGCTTGAACCTGGGAGATGGAGGTTGCGATGAGCTGAGATCGTGCCATTGCACCCCAGCCTGGGCAACAAGAGCCAAACTCCGTCTCAAAAAATACACAAACAAACAAAAAACATACCCGAGGCCAGGCACGGTGGCTCACACCTGTAATCCCAGCACTTTGGGAGGCCGAGGTGGGAAGACTGCTTGAGCCCAGGAGTTCAAGACCAGCCTGGGCAGCATGGTGAGACCTCGTATCTATATTTAATTAGAAATAAATAAATAAACAAAAATTTAAAAAAAACCCAAAGCACACCTTCCTTGTAGAAAACTGAGACCACTGAACTACAGAAGCTAGAACTAACATCTCTTGATATTTTAGTCATGATTCTTCCAGTTTTTTTCCCTATGACTGTGTATGTTTTTAACTAACAAAACAGTACCATCACATACATACGTATAGATACAGAAACATGAGATGGATACATACATTCTGTGGTATGGTTCTGTGACCTGCCTTTTTGTACTTGTATCGTGAATGTCTCTCCCTGGCATTAAATATTCTATCACATCATGTTTCATGACCGCATGGAGTTTGATCTGGTGAGTGTTGACTGGTCAACAATATACCCAATCCTATTTGTATTAATATTTTTCTAAAGGGTTCGTCATGACTAATGTGTAGGACCCACATGGACCTTGCTGGGCTCTGTCCCCAGTCCCGTGTGACTCTCGGAATGCCCCTGGAAAATGACAAAACTGCTGTGGGCCCGAGGGGCTGGCACCCCGGGCAGCTGTGGCCGTGGGCTGGATGATCCAGAGGGCCTCCTGGTGCCAGGCCCTGTCTGGGCAGCAGATGCAGGTGTGAATGCAGGAGAATTCAGTGCCACAGCGGGGTCTGGAGGAGAGCCCATGCCCAGGCCTGAGGGCAAGGTGCCAAATGAAATGAAGGTGGCAGCTGGAGAAGGGCCTCGGGCTGGAGGGGGAAGTGCTAGGAAAGCCAGGCTGCCAGGGGCTGGAGGTGGAGGCAACCAGAGGCCACTGATGCACTGCACCAGGCCACCACCTCTCACTCCCAACCTATCGCACCAGCCTCGGGGCTCAAACCGGTCCCTAGCCCCACCACCCACAAGCCTGGCCTCTGTGCTGTGGTAACAGCAATCATTCTAAAAGGCAAGTGTGATCGTATCACTGCCCACTCCAAAGCCTCCCAGGTCTAGCTGTCTTCAGGACAAAGGCCAAACAGTCCTCCCAGCATCACCTGAAACTCTACCAACTCGAGCCCTACCTCCCCTCAACTCCCGGCCACCTGCACCGCACTGGGCATCTGCCTGTGCTGGAAGGCCAGGCCCAGCTCAAAGGTCACCTCCTCGGGCAGCATCCCCTGCAAGCCTCACCATCCCACCTGACCCCAATGGAGCCATGGGAGTGGAGGGCACTGTGCAGGAGGAGTAGTGACAAATAAGGAACTTGGGGACAAGAACATTTAAAGGACAGCAGAGAGGCAGGAGCCCATAAGGGAGACTCAGTGATGAGCTGGGGAGGGAGGACAGACCCAGGAAAGTGGAAAACAGAAGGAGAAGGGTCTGGAAGCTACAAGAGGGGCTGTCTGGGGTGGGTGTTCGCTGGAAACATTTATCTCAGACATCTCAGGATTTAATCAAAATTCTAAGCCTATTTGGGCTTCCTAATTTACAAAAATTGAGCAATTACAAAGGACAGCTAACAAATGATGTTATATGTTAAAAAGACAGCATGTCTTCTGCTCTTGCTTGCAATCGCACATATTTATGACTTTCAAATGACATTACTCAGTTCCTAGTTTCATAGCATCTATAGCTGTACATCTAATGACAAATTTTTAGTAATTATCTGTGTCAAGCCATGAATACTATAATGATGAGCAGAACACATTAAATATTTATCTCGTACATTACCATTTCAAGGACTCTGCCTTGGAAAGAACTGGAAATTACTTTTGCAAAAGCATTCTGAGCACCCCTCCTTCGGGAAAGGAGAAAAACCACCAAAACACATCTGACTGCACGATGCTGTCTTTGTTTGCAGCCAGCACATGCTCAGGAAACATACAAAGTACCCAATGTCCTTCTTATTAAATAATAAAGGAATGATAGCCCACAGTGCATTTCTTTGGCTTGATGAAATAAATTCACCAACGTGCCTGCAAATCATTTAGCTTTTTTATGAGGAGGAGAAATGATAATTGCTTCAATTATAATTAGGGAACATTTGAGAACAAGAATCACGCCAGGACTTGGGTGATTATGTTTCCCAGCACTGCAAGCAGGGTTCCGGTTCAGATAAAAACAGAGTGAGCGAGGCAGGACAAAGCAAAATAAGTTAGCTCGAGCATGCTGAGGTCACAGAGGGGTCTCCTCCCTGCCCTGTGGAGGGTGATGTGAGGCCGGGTTGAGAATGTTTTTACCCAAACCAAAGGGCAGGATGCTCAGGTGGTGTGAAAGGACAGCCCTTTCACCCTGGCATTCGGGGTCCCCCACACTTCTAACACTTTTTTTTGAGAACAGAGTTTTGCTCTGTCGCCCAGGCTGGAGCGCAGTGGCGCGATCTCAGCTCACTGTAACCTCCACCTCCCGGGTTGAAGCAATTCTCCTGCCTCAGCCTCCTGAGTACCTGGGATTACAGGCGCGCGCCACCACGCCTGACTAATTTTTTTTGTATTTTTAGTAGTGACGGGGTTTCACCACGTTGGTCAGGCTGGTCTCAAACTCCTGACCTCGTCATCCGCCCACCTCAGCCTCCCAAAGTGCTGGGATTACAGGCGTTAGCCACCGAGCCCAGCCAACACTTTTGCGTAAGTGATGGTGCCAGGTGCTTACGACTACAGGAGGCGGTATACCACACCCACATGCTGTGCCAACCTGGGCAAGAAAAGCTCGCCCAGCACACTGCGAGCAAGTCTCAAAGCCCCCAAAGCAGGAAGCTTGAGCCTAGGACTCTGTCCATCTCCTTCAGGTAGGAGCCTTCTCTTCCCACATTCGCTATGCCCCACAGTGCTGGTTCTAATGTCTGCTGCATGTAAAGGAGGCAGCTCCCTGAAGACGTTAACAGGAGCATGGAACTTACCACTTCTTTCAACGCCAAACTCTTTCCCACTTAGAATATGGTGCAGGAGATTTTTCATATCGAAAGGGCTGAGGTTCATCAAACTTTCAGAAGCCTCTTCTCCTAAAAACAAATATCTTGTAAGTGTCCCAAACACAGGGCTGGTGGCGGGTAAAGGTAGGGTCAGGTGGACGTGGGTGGGGAGGGAGGTGATAGCAGATGCCATGGCAGGTCCCCCTGTTCAGGAGAACCTCACTATTGCTTTGGGGCTGAAATGCACTGTTCCGTGGGGATTCTAAATGCTGCCGTTTAAATCATGTATCTGCTTAATTCTTAGACACATGATGTTTCACAATGTATGATCCCCAACGTTGGATGTCTCATGATGGATTTTTATATTCAAATTGGTAGGGTTTCTCCCAGTGAAGGTGTTATAAAATGGGGGTGACATCTCATAGCAAGGGCATCCAGGAAGGAGCTTAGATGTCGGGTACAGGGCGGAAGATTCCACATCGCCTTTGAGGCTATAATGGTAAACATCACCAGAGCCCCATTCTCCCTGACTTATGAACTTCAGCTCTATGCCGCATGGATGGGAGTTCCATCTAAATGAGAGAAGCTGGTAAGGCCTGAGCTTGCCACAGGCTTGGATGCTGGGTTCGAGATAACCTAAGCAGTTCTTCCCCTGAGAGTGGAGGCCGTGGCCGGGTGGTTGGGGTGGGGTGCGGCGGGAGCTGCAGGAGCTGCGGGCATCTCACCTGAGCAGTTCAGGCTCCGTGCCAGCTCCGTGGCCATCACCTGAATGATCAGTCCAATCCGGAGTCTCAGCATCTCCACAAAGAGGCTGGGCTGCGCCCTGACATACATGGCCAGGTAAACCACAATCTCCTGAGGCAGACACACACGGAGATAGGGTTTCAGAGACAGGGTGAGTGGCTGAAGGGTCCCCTCCACTCTGAGGAAGGCTGTGGCCCGACCCCTCCCACACCAGCCCCAGACCTGCGTGAGGACGGCAATGCTGATGTCCTGCCCACTGGCCTCGTAGATGAGTTTTGTGAGCTCCTCTGGGGGAAGGGGCCTAGAAAGGAGCATTGTGTCACGAATGTGATGAGGTGTCTTGAGACAGTGCCTCCTCGCCCTCCATGGAACACCCTTATTTTCTGTGCTAGACGCATCCATGTGACAGAGTGTCTTTAAAAAGCCCCTCCTCCGAACACTGGGAAGCGCTGTTTTCCCCATGGCTCCCCCGCAAACCTGAGGTCCCCAAGGCTGAGGACTTACGCAGAGATGATCTTCTCCCGGGGCTCGGGCGGCAGGCCCACGGTGAGCTGCTTCTGGTGCGAAAGCAGGTCTGTGCAGGCCTGCGCAGTTAAGGGGAAGGGTGAGAGGCAGAGCGCGAGAGAGATACTGGCAAAGACGACAGACAGGCAGTGGGGAGGAGACACTGCCAATCAGATCGTACATTTACCTTTACAAACTTAGTGACCCATGTTGCCCTTGATCTGAAAAATTCATACCTAGACCCCAGACTAAGCAACCCAGACAGGGATGGGTGTCTGTGGTCTCTGTCTCCAATGTGTGGCCCCAAGCCTGGCTCCGAAGGGCCCGTCAGTGGGCGTTTAATGCCCATCCACTAGCAAACACATTGGACTCCCTGCTATTGAGTGAGACAGGGATGAGTCCGAAGATACCGATGGTAAGAGTTAATAACCATATTCAATTCCTAAGTTACCCGTTTCCCCATTATTCACATCTAATAAATGCCATCATCTTACCATCATGACACTGAACTCGAGTGTCTTAGAAAGCAGCTCTGGATTTTGCCTGGCCTTGGGGTTATAAATATTAATGATCACTGTACTGTGGATGTGTGAAAAAAAGAGAGCTCTAAGAGGCTGCCAGGCCACAGAGCACTTTCATTTGATTTCCTGGCGAGACTTTTTCCGTAGCCAAGAAAGAACAAAACCAATCCACTTGCATTTCCTTCCCTCTGCTCGCCTTCCTGGAGCAGCAGGCAGGCAGGAGAGAAGGGCCCGCTCCACCTGTGGGTTAAAGAATGGGGCTCCTTCACAAGTAAGAGGTATAACTGGGAGATTGGAAGTGGAAGAGGAAGGGGGCACGAGCTAGTGAGCACACATGGGCAGCCTGCACAGTCGCACTGACCTCAGCCAGGACCTCCACTTTCTTCCTGAGAAGGCCTGAGATGTAGCGAATCAGACCCCACTCCTGGTTCAAGCCGGCTTTCCCATAGAGCTCACCAAGAAGGTTTTGAACGGTGACCCCGTGCTGTCCAGAGAGATTTGTGTCCCAGCTGGGACCCCTGCCAAGAGGTAGAAAAACCCAGAAATATGGTCCAGAAAGTTTAGACTGGGAGAGGAATGGATCACTGTGCATTTTGCACAGCACTTGGGCTCTCCCAGTGCCCCTGAGTCTCACTGAGAGGGTTACGCCCGACCAAAGCTTCCCTATGTCCTTTGAAACAGAAGCCTAACATCAGGACGTGGTGGCCTCCTGGCCTCACATAGCCTTCTCATGCTGGGGGACCAGCATCAGTAGGCAGAGAAGGGGATGGAAGTCTCATTCCTGGTGATCCTGGGTAACTGGGGTGAATATAATCATGACCTGGGCTGGCTAGAAGGCCAAGAATACTACGGAAAAAATTAAGGAGAACTGAGAAAGCTTAGCCTAGTAAAGACCATAAACTTACTGCTACGGCTTGAATGTCTGTTTTCCCCCAATTCCTATGTTGAAATCTTAACCCCCACAATGATGACATTAGGAGGTGGGGACTTTGGGAGGTCATCAGGTCAGAGGGCAGAGCCCTCCTGAAGGAAATGAGTGCCCTTATAAAAACAATGCCAGAGAGCTCACTCGCCCCTTCCACCATGTCAGGATGCAATGAGAAGATGCCATCTATGAGAAAACAGGCCTTCCCAGACATCAAATCGGCCTTGAGTTTCAACTTCCCAGCCTCCGGAACTGTGAGAAATTCATTTCTGTTGTTCCTAAGCCAATCTGTTCATGGTATTTTGTTATAACTGCCCGAATGGACTCAGACACTTACTTTATGACATAAAGAATGTACAGAATGTCTGCTTGGTCCTGTAGGTTCGAACAATCTTTTAGCTGCTCAACCAGCTTCTCACAGTCCACGTCACCATGGTCATCTCTGGGCCACTGAAAGTCACTTTCAGGAACCTGTTCATACAAGAGCCAGAAAGCAGGGAGATGGGCTAGGCATGGAACTTTCGGAAGATCAAGAAGTGAAACACCAATCTGGTCTTGGAACTCTATTGCTGTGCTGTGCTCCAGTTTTCAATGACTTTTTGTACCTCTTTATTTATAGGCTTTTACTATTTTTGATCAGTGAATCACTGTGCTGGTCAACATTTGCAAGAGACTGGACTGAATAGGTTAAAATATATGTGAGTTTTATTTATGGAAGGTTCACAGACCAGTAGAACTAACCTCTGGTGTTAGGAATCATGACAGCAGTTATCTCTGGACCAGAAAAGGAGAAAGAGATGGGAGGGGGGCACAGAAGGTGGTCATTGATCCAGGTATACTGGCTTGGTGATCATTCATTGAGCTGAAGGTGTGAAGGATGTGCTATCCCCAAATATGCCAGATTGGTATATTGACAATTTTGAGTTGAAAACATTGGAAAAATTGTAGTTTCAGAAAGGGGTAGCTGACCTGTCTCTTTCTGCAGGCAGCAAGCCATAAGGATGCCTCTGGGAGGGGTACACTCCTAGGGCGTGAAAATAGCCCATATCACCAGAGCCCAGGAACTGGGGGCGGCAATGGACCTGTATAAATACACTTACCCAAGGAAACCTTATCTTCCACTAGTTTTACACACCCTGTGTATATATCTCCTAGTAACTGCCTCTAGCCAGATTTTCCTTGTCCTGTCCTAGCTTCTCAAATTTATCACTCTTTGTTTAAAAAGTAGGAAAGCATCTTGCTTTGACCACTTCTTCAGACTTCACTCTCTTGTGAAGATCCCCATGTACCCAGACAGCTAATCACCTTTGTATGCTTTTTCTTGCAGATGCCTGGTGTCAAGCGGCTTCTAGACGGAGCCGAAAAGCCCTCACAAGAGCTAAGGAGGGGTTGGAGGTGACCTCTCGCTTCTCTATTCCTGCTTTCTGCACCATGCTGCATATATGGTATAGTTATTTGGAAGCAAAACAAACGCAAAAAGGATGTAAACAACCTAAAATTGAAATCAGGGTAAAATCTTCTCCAACAGGCACTGAGTGTGCCACTGAGTCTGTTCGTGTGGGGTAGAATCAGGGAAGAGTCCTGGATAAAATAACAAATTGTGGGAATTAATGGAACAGGCTGAGATTTTATTCTCCTGAGCAATCTTATTTTTAAAATTTTTTTATGCCCATCTTTTTCCTGCAGTATCCTAAGGAATCTTTTACTGTTTTTTCTTACATTAAGAGCATTAGGAGCCAGGTGCAGTGGCTTGCGCCTGTAATCCCAGCACTTTGGGAGGCTAAGGTGAGAGGATCGCTTGAGCCCAGGAATTCCAGACCAGTCTGGGCAACATGGTAAAACCCTGTCTCTACAAAAAATACAAAAATTAGCTGGGCATGGTGGCGCACGCTGGTAGTCCCAACTATTTGGGAAGCTGAGGTGGGAGGATTGCCTGAGCCTGGAGGTTGAGGCTGCAGTGAGCTGTGATCACACCACTGCACTCCAGCCTGGGTGACAGAGCGAGACTCTAAGAAAAATTTAAAAAGGCCATTAGGAACAAAGAGTCCTGTACTCTGTTCCCCAAGTAGTCCCACCTTGGCTGGCTAAACAGTTAGGCGGGGTTAGGTAGTGAGCTTTTTCCTCTAGTGGCTACATAGACTCTGATGAGTAGGCAGCAAGGTAGTAGCTTTTTCTACAGGCAAAATGTAAAGGTTTGCATCAAATTCAATGTACATATTGATGCAAGTCAGATTCCAGACAACGAAGTGATTGGGTTCACACCCAAGCCCAGAGCTTCTAAACTGAAAGGTCCCTGATATCGAGAAATATGCTGTTTCTTTTGAGTTTAGCCATTTGGAAGAGTTTGGGGACTCATCCTGCATTGTAGAACACCATACTTTTAAAAAAAGCTGTTCCATATACTTTACCTTTTCTAGGAGTGGCTGAGGAGAATCAACAAGATTCAGTGATTTACGGTGGGCACTTAGAACTTTAGTCGGCAAAGTCATGGGAACAACTGGAAAACAAAAGAATAAAGAGAGTTATTCTGAGGAGGAAGAACAACACTTTTTTTTTTTTTGAGACAGAATCTCACTCTGTCACCCAGGCTGGAGTGCACTGGTGTGATCTCGCCTCACTGCAACCTTTGCCTCCCGGGTTCAAGCGATTCTCCTGCCTCAGCCTCCCGAGTAGCTGGGATAACAGGCACGTGCCACCACGCCCAGCTAATTTTTTTTTTTTTTTTTTGAGACAGAGTTTCCCTCTTGTTGCTCAGGTTGGAGTGCGATGGCGAGATCTTGGCTCACCGCAACCTCCACCTCCCAGGTTCAAGTGATTCTCCTGCCTCGGCCTCCCAAATAGCTGGGATTATAGGCATGTGCCACCACGCCTGGCTAATTTTGTATCTTTAGTAGGGACGGAATTTCGCCATGTTGGTCAGGCTGATCTCGAACTCCCGACCTCAGGTGATCTGCCCACCTCAGCCTCCCAAAGTGCTGGGAATACAGGCATGAGCCACTAGGCCCAGCCTAATTTTTATATTTTTAGTAGAGACAGGGTTTTGCCATGTTGGTCAGGCTGGTCTTGAACTCCTGACCTCAGGTGATACAGCCGTCTCAGCCTCCCAAAGTGCTGGGATTATAGGCTTGAGCCACCGTTCCCGGCCAATACTTCTTTTGAGAAGTATGGCGGCTGCTCCTTATCTAACACAAACCAACAGAAGGAAAGATCACTTATTTAGTTTAGCTTCAACAAGAATTTATCATGTAGCCACCTCATGTGCTAAATCTGGGAATAAGAAGTGAGCAGGCATAGATCTTGCTTTGAGAACTGGATTTCGCTTTTCCCTCCTGGAATTCAGGAAAAATGATACAACATCCCAGGACTGGAAAGAAGCTCAGAAGTGATTTCGCCTGACCTCTTTTTCTTTCGGATGAGGAAACTGAGAGACCCAGAGAGGGCAGACCATTTGTCCAAGGTCACTTCCCATAACCAAGGTGTCTTGGCTTCCGGTCCAGTATGCACTTCACTCTGCCACTGCTGGGCAGTAGGGCTTGTTTTTCAACCACCTCTGGATATTATCATTATTGATATTTATTCATTAAGCCATCCCTGTCTTCCAGGCTATATCATGTCATCTCAGGAGAACAAGAAGTTTTCAAGGTAAAGATGATGCATATTTAAAAGGCATTTATAGACCTCCAGGTTATATTTGTGAATTGAATACACACTGTAATTTTAATTCCTTCCAACCCTCCACTAACATTACAGAAAATATATACAGTCATGCATTGTTTAATGACAGGGATACATTCTGAGAAATGTGTCATTAGGCAAATTCCTCACTGCATGAACAGCATAGAGTGTACTTACACAAACCTAGATGGTACAGCCTACTACACACCTAGGTTGGATGATAGAGGCTATTGCTCCTAGGCTACAAACCTGTATCCATGTTCCTGTACTGAATACTGTAGGTAACTGTAACACAATAGTATTTGTGTGTCTAAACATAGAAAAGGTATGGTAGAAAGATGGTATAGGCCAGGCATGGTGGCTCATGCCTGTAATCCCAGCACTTTGGGAGGCTGAGGTGAGAGGATTTCTTGAGCTCAGGAGTTCAAGACTGGCCTGGGCAACATAGTGAGACCTCATCCCTACTAAAATTAAAAAAAAAAAAAAATGGTAGGCCAGGCGTGGTGGCTCACACCTGTAATCCCAGCACTTTGGCAGGCTGAGGCGGAAGGATCACCTGAGGTCGGGAGTTCAAGATCAGCCTGACAACATGGCGAAACCCCATCTCTACTAAAAATACAAAATTAGCCAGGTGTGGTGGCACATGCCTGTAATCCCAGCTACTCCGGAGGCTGAGGCGGGAGAATCGCTTGAACCTGGGAGGCGAAGATTATGGTGAGCTGAGATCATGCCATTGCACTCCAGCCTCGGCAACAAGAATGAAACTGTCTCAAAAAACAAAACAAAAACAATGAGCCGGGTGTGATGGTGCATGCCTGTAGTCCCAGCTACTGGAGGGCTGAGGCAGAAGGATCGCTTGAGCTCAGGAGACTGAGGCTGCAGTAAGCCCTGATCGTGGCACTGCACTTCAGCCTGGGTGACAGAGCAAGACCCTGTCAAAAAAAAAAAAAAAAAGAGAAATATGGTATATAAGATGAAAAATGGTTCACCTCTATAGGGCCCTTGCCATGAATGGAGCTTGCAGGACTGGAAGTTGCTCTGGGTGACTGGGTGAGTGGTGAGTGAATGTGAAGGCCTAGGACATGACTGTACACTGCTGTAGACTTCATAAATACTCTACATTCACACTGCACTGAATTCATCACACAGTGTTCTTTAATATTAAATGACCTTAGCTTACTGTAACTTTATAAACTTAAATTTTTAAAAATCTGACTTTTGTAATAACAGCTTAAAACACAGATCGTACAGCTGTACAAAAATATTTTCTTTCTTTTTTTTTTTTGAGATGGAGTCTCGCCTTGTTGCCCAGGCTGGACTGCAGTGGTGCGATCTCGGCTCACTGCAACCTCCACCTCCCTGGTTCAAGCGACTCTCCCACCTCAGCCTCCCGAGTAGCTGGGATTACAGGTGTGTGCCTCCACGCCCAGCTAATTTTTGTATTTTTAGTAGAGACAGGGTTTCACCATGTTAGCCAGGCTGGTCTTGAACTCCTGACCCACCCACCTGGGCCTCCTAAAGTGCTGGGATTACAGGCATGAGCCACCACAGCCGGCCCACAAAAATATTTTCTTTACGTCCTTATTCTATAAGCTTTGATCTATTTTTTAGTTTTATTTATTTTACTTTTTAAACTTTTTTTAAAAAATGAAAACACAAACACACACATTAGGCCTATGCAGGGCCAGGATCATCCATCACTGCTTCCACCTCCACAGCTTGTCCCACTGGAAGGTCTTCAGGGGCAGTAATGTACATGGAGCTGTCATCTCCTAAGATAACAATGCTTTCTCCTGTAATCCCTCTTGAAGAACTGGTCTGCGGCTGTTTCACAGTTAACGTTTTTTAATAAGTAAAAGGAGTACACTCTAAATACGCAAACCAGCAACATACTTATGTATTATCAAGTATTATGTACTATACATAATTGTATGTGCTAGACCTGTACACGACTGGCAGCGCAGGAGGTTTACTGATACTGGCATCGCCACAAACATGTGAGCAGTGCATGGTGCTACAAAGTCACTACAGCTACGATGTCACTAGGTGACAGAAAGGTTTCAGCTCCATTATAATCTTAGGGGACCACCGCCATATATGCGGTCTGCCATTGACCAAAAAGTTATGTGGTGCATAACTGTATATATTTTTTTTTAAAAGACAAATCCTTGAGAATGAAGAAAAACAAGAAAGAAGACGACAGGAACAGAATTTCAGAAGCGGGAAAGCTGACAGATGAAAGATAAGTGATTTAGCTGACACAAGGCAACCAATTCCCAAGTCTGCAGTGGAGAAATCCGAGAGCTGGTCAGTTACACCCAAGGCTCATCAGAAGTCCCTGGGGCCTGCTGCACTATGTGCTTCTGGAACTGGGGCCTAGAAGGGGTGTCCAAAACAAGGAAGGCTGGGGAGAAGCTATCTGAGAAGCAGTGAGCTCCCTGGACATCCGCTTCAACTACACCCAGCTTGATGACCACCTCACTCACTCTGACAGAAGACTGGAGGGTCTCTCAGAAGAGGGTAAAGGAGGAAGGGGCTCGAAGAGAGAGGGGCTGCTGATTAGCACATCTGAAGGCGTAGATACATTCCTTAAGGGAATTATAAGTAACTATATAGCTCCAGGCAACCAGGCCCTAATCCTTGAAATAGGAAATCCACTAGGAGATTGTAGAGTATCTCTGGGAAATCAAATAACTCCGAGTCAACAAGCCCCACCCATGGGCTTGGAGATTCTCATGCATGACCAGGTAAGCGAGGAGGAGCAGGGCATTTGAAGGAGGACGCTCATGTGGAAGACAGAAACCTAAGCAAACCGGAAAAGGTGACTTGGGGGAATGGAAACCATTCAAAGAGTAAAAAGGGTATATACAAACCAAAACAAAAAGCCCTGCCATTAATATTCTTAGAATAATAACAAATTGCCAGGTATGGTGGCTCATGCCTGTAATCCCAGCACTTTGGGAAGCCACGGCAGGCAGATCGTTTGAGGTCAGGAGTTTGAGACCAGCCTGGGCAACATGGTGAAACCCTGTCTCCACAGAAATAAAAATAAAAATTAGCTGGGTGTGGTGGCATGCACCTGTGGTCCCAGCTACTTGGGAGGTTGAGGTAGGGGGATCGCTTGGGCCTGGGAGGTGAAGGCTGCAGTGAGCCATGATCATGCCACTGCACTTCAGCCTGGGTGACAGAGCAGGACCTTTTCTTTCTCTCTTTCAGAAAAAGAAATTATACTGTATTTTTACTATTTTTTTGAGACAGGGTCTCGCTCTGTCACCCAGGCTGGAGTGCAGTGGCATGATCATGGCTCACTGCAGCCTCAACCTCCCGGACTCATGCGATCCTCCCACCTCAGCCTCCCAAGTACCTGGGATCACAGACATGCACCACCACGCCTGGCTAATCTTTTTTTTTTTTTTTTTTGTACAGACAGTGTCTTGCTACGTTGCCCAGGCTGGTCCAGAATTCTTGGGTTCAAGGAATCCGCCTGTCTTGGCCTCCCAATGTGCTGGGATTATAGGCATCAGCCACTGCGTCTGGCCAAGAAATTATATTGTAAACGTGAAACAAAAACAGACACAATTTGGGGAACAAAGATTTAAAACATGATAGCAAAAGTGGCTAAATTGAGGGGATGGAACAAAAAGTTGAGACAATGGCTTTCAGGACAAGACAGAAAAATGGAAAACAGAGGGAAAAAAATGATAAAGTCTTCTCTAGGAAGTCAACTTTGGAATCATAGGAACACCAGAAAGAAAGAACAGAGAAAATGTTGGGCAGGAAATGAGTCAAGAAACTTTTTAGGAAAACTTTACAGGACTGAAAAACAAATTTCCAGATTGGAAAGGCCCAGTGTGTATCCAACACAATGGATGAAAACACACCCAGATAGAGATTAAGGTGCAGCACTGAGATGTCAGAAGCCGGGAGCAGAGAAGATCCTAAACACTTTCAAAGAGAAAAACAGCTCATATTTGAAGTATCAAAAATCAGAATGAGCCGGGCACGGTGGCTCACGCCTGTAATCCCAGCACTTTGGGAGGCCCAAGAGGGCAGATTGCCTGAGGTCAGAAGTTCAAGACCAGCCTGGCCAACACGGTGAAACCCTGTCTCTACTAAAAATACAAAAATTAGCCGGATGTGATGGTGGGTGCCTGTAATCCCCGCTACTTGGGAGGCTGAGGCAGGAGAATCGCTTGAACCCAGGAGGCTCGCTTGAACCCAGGAGGCGGAGGTTGCAGTGAGCTGAGATCGAGCCACTGCACTCTGGCCTGGGCGACAGAGTGATACTCTTGTCTCAAACAATCAGAATGGGTTTAATTTCTGATATGGTTTGAATGTCTCACTCAAATCTCATGTTGAAATGTAATCCCCAGTGTTGGAGGTGGGGCCTGGTGGGAGGTGTTTGGATCATGGGGGTGGGTCCCTCATGAATGGCTTGGGCCATCCCCTTGGTGATAAGTGAGCTCTCACTCTGAGTTCACAAGGGATATGAGATCTGGTTGTTCAAAAGTGTGTGACCACTCTCTCTTGTTCCTACTGTCGCCATGTGAAGTGTCTGCTCCCCTTTTGTCTTCCGTCATGACTGGAAGCTTCCTGAGGCCTCCCTAGAAGCCAAGTAGATGCCAGCATCATGCTTCCTGTACAGCCGGCAGAACCCTGAGCCAATTAGACCTCTTTTCTTTATAAATTACCCAGTCTCAGGTATTTCTTTATGGCAATGCAAGAATGGGCTAATACATTTTTTTTTTTTTTTGAGACAGGTTCTCGTTCTGTTACTCAGGCTGGAGTGCAGTGGTGTGATCACAGCTCACTGCAACCTCAACCTCCCTGAGCTCAAGTGATCCTCCTGCCTCAGACTCCCAAGTAGCTGGGACTACAGGCATGTGCCACCATGCCTGGCTATTTTTTCTATTTTTTGTAGAGACAGGGCCTCACTATCTTGCCCAGGCTGGTCTCAAATTCCTGGACTCAAGCGATCTTCCTGCCTCAGTTTCCCAGATTGCTCAGATTATAGGCATGAGCCACTGTGCCTGCCCAGGTTTAGATTTCTCAACAGCAACACCAACACACTGATAGCAAGAAGACAATAAGTCATACTTTCAAAAATCTGCAAAAAAATGTCTTTTTTTTTTTTTTTTGAGACAGGGTCTTGCTCTGTCACCCAGGCTGGAGTGTAGTGGCACGATCTCAGCTCACTGCAACCTCTGCTTCCCGGGTTCAAGTGCTTCTTCTGCCTCAGCCTCCTGAGTAGCTGGGATTACAGGTGCAGGCCACCAAACCTGGCTCATTTCTGTATTTTTAGTACAGACAGCGTTTCACCATGTTGGCCAGGCTAGTCTCAAAGTCCTGGCCTCAAGTGATCCGCCTGCCTCAGCTTCCAAAAGTGCTGGGATTACAGGTATGAGCCACCACGCCCAGCCAAAAAAATGTATTTTTAATCTAGAATTCTATACCCAGCCAAACTCTCAAATGGGTCTGGAACATTTGTAGACATTTTTAAAATGGCAAGGTTTCAACAATTTTACCCACCGTGCGCTGTTTCTCAGGAAACTACTGCATGTCCTCTATTAAAATAAGAGTGAACCAAGAAAGAAGAGTTGGGATACAGAACACAGGAGAGCCATCCCAGGAGACAAGTCAAGGAAGCCTCCGGGGAAGATCCCAGGGTAAAAAGCACCTCAGACACTGAGGGCAACCAAGCCAGAAGGGGGCAGAGGGCAGTGCAGTTCAAAAACAAGTAAGTCGAGAGCTGTCACCACCATGCCCTCTTCCACTTCACTTTTTTTTTTTTGAAACCTACTGAAACTATTCTAGAATGTGCTCCACCAAAACAGAAGAATACATTGAGAAAGGGGAACACAGCAGATTCAGGAACCACGGAATCCAACTAAGGAGACAAGCCAGGGAAACTCCCAGGATGACACATATGCAACAGGCCTAGAGCGCAGTCAGCACAGATAGAAGGAGACTCGTGGACTCTAAGAAAGGCAGTGGAATTGAGAGATTCACCGATACGACTGAGCTTGTGGAAATTTGTATTGCGAGGCCACTGGAAGATGTAGAAAGAAAGCAAAGCAAATGAAAAGCCAGGGTAACTTTACCTTTCGAAAAAACAGAGTAAAAATGGGAATATAAACAGAGTATACTATAATGCTCAGTTGGAAATATTTGTGTACATACAATGATATAAAGAGTGAATACTGATTTAACTAAACTTTAACCCCTTGGTGGGTTAGGGGGAGTGAAGCAGAGGAGTGGTGATTTAAGACAGCCAGATCCTTACCCACTTAATCGAAAGTCAACAAGTACCGAATCAAGTCAATGCATGTGAAGACAGCAGTATGTACACATTATTTGAGAAATATGGAGATATGTACATACCAGAAGAAAGAGCTAAAAGAGTTGAAAGTGGTTACCTCTAAGTAGAAGCACGTGGGGGGCATTTTGTTGTCTTCTAGGATTCTTTGGCTTTTAAATTATGTCCCTGCATTACTTTGATAAAAGAAGGTATTTTAACAGGCAGAAAAGAGTTAATAACATACATGGAACTTCCAAACCCTTTGCTTTTGCCATCACAGAAAGTATGTCCCGCGTGGAGTGGATAGCACTGAAGACATGGCGGTCTTCTGTGTTCTTACAAAGAGGAGGCAGATAGGACCTCAACGATGTGCTTTGCAGAAGGTGGTTGATATAATGGTCAAGTTCGTCTTGGCTTTCTGTAATTGGACAAGCAAGAAAAAGAGCCAATGAAACCAAGCTGTAGAAATATGACTACACAATAGTGACCATGGGTAGCAAGCAGCACTGAGTAGGCTTAGCAGATGACAACACTGAGATATCGATATTTGCACTCCCACTCACCCCTGAAGAGTAAGAAGAGATTTACAGAGATAATGTATGTGTGTAGAAATTTGCTGTTTGGAAAAACTTTATCCCAGGAAAAAAAAACTACCAGTCAAGATAGTGTTTACATCTCGTCCTCCCAAGATGAACTGAATAATATGTAAGACAGCCTGAAGGATAGCAGCCGAAGTCTGGGCTTTTTGTTTTAATTTGTCATGAGTGAGCTAAGCCTTATGGAACTCCCAGCCCTAATTCCAACTACTATCTAAAAGTGAAAAACAGATCACCTCAAAACCTTATTCAGACTGACAAATGTTATATACGTAGGGTTTCATCACTCATATCCAACCAAACCTAGATCATTCTACCACTCCTTTGAAAATTCAAGCAGTATGTTTCTGTCTTCAGAATGTATGTATTCTGTGCAAAGTCCCCATTCCTGGCCAGCCACGGTGGCTCATGCCTGTAATCCCAGCACTTTGGGAGGACGAGGCAGGCTGATCAGTTGAGCCCAGGAGTTTAAGACCAGCCAGGGCAACATAAGGAGACCCCATCTCTATAAAATATAAAAGAATTAGCTGGGTATGGTGGTGCTTCCCTGTAGGCCTATAGTCTTAGCCACTTGGGAGGCTGAGGTGGGAGGATTGCTTGAGCCCAGGAGGTCGAGGCTGCAGTGAGCCATGATCATGCCACTGCACTCCAGCCTGGGCAACAGAGCAAGACCCTGTCTCAAAAACAAACAACAACAAAAAAAAAAAAAAAAAAAGAGAGAGAGAGAAGAAAAAAAAGAAAAAAAGTCCCCATTCCTGAAACTCTTTGTCCTTCTAGGTTTAAAAATGCCCCACTTTCAAGGACATCATTTGCAGTTTCGGTTTTTAAACGGGCATTTTATTCATTTTAATATATGCAAGTTTCAGAAGCCTCTTTTTTGTTTTTCCTTGTTTTTAATTATCAATCATTGTCTATATTTGAGTCTTAGGGCAATTTTATCACAATGCTAAAGTTTAAATAAATTCAGCGAACTACCCACAAAAGCATTCCAAGCTGTACCTTGATTACAGGTGTCTTCCAGATATCCTACCAAATCTGAATCACTATCAGGACTGAAAGTCCCTTCGCTGGCATTGTCAAACAACTTCTCATCACAGTCTGGATCCAGAAAAGTCAGATATGTGTAGAACGATGTGGTGAGAAATTCCGAAAGGTTCCCTAATTTTACTCTGCCAAGAAGACACCGTGTTAGGGACACAGGTAGTGTGTGGATAACCTTCCACTATGAATCACTGAGAGACTTTTGCACAACCATGTGGTGCTTCTGCCAGAATCAATACATATATCACTCTGCAGATTGCCCCATATAAGCGGTCAGCCAAGACATTCAAACAAAAATTCAATAGCAAGTATGAAGTGAACGCGCACAGCATATTAAAAGCCAAATGAATCACACTGACTTCTTACTCCCAACCCAACACAAATACGACTCTATTTTACTGAACCAACCAACAGTTTGACAAAATATATTGCGCAAACTACTTTTAAACAGAACCAACCCATGTTTTTGTTTTGTTTTTTCCCCCAAAACGACTGGCCCAGAAGCAGTGATTCTCTGGGCACACTCGTTCCATTATTTATGAGTCCCTACCACGAAACACTGTCACACAGGGACAGGGGTGCTATGATGGAAGAGGTCAGGTTCCCTCTAGAAGGAATTCAATGGGGAAGCCATCCCCAGACTGGAGCAGAAGCCCTGAGTGGCCCTATCACCTTAGGCTGGGCACAGTTCCACTGAAACCTGGACGCTGGGTTTGGCAGCCTGGGGCCTGAGGTTCTGCAGGTCCAACCCCACACGCTGGGAGCGATTTGCACATACAGAAGAAAACATTCTTAAAAGGTTACACCGGGGGAGCAGAAAGCAATGGATCCCTCCCTCAGAGTTATCAGCACCAGATTGGGATTTAGTTGAAAAGGCTGAGAAACGTTTAAAGAGTCAATTGAGGCATATGTAATGCAATAGTATCAGAGGTGCCAGAGCTTCAGCCTCAAAAGGGCTATAACCAGAATGACAGCCCGAGGGAAAGAAAAGCCTTTCTTTAATTGAGCACCCCCCCCAAGTGGATCCAGTGGGTATGTAGGGTGAGTTCAGCTTTTAAAAAACCCTCAGAAATAGGCTGGGCACCATGGTTTATGCTTGCAATCCCAGCACTTTGGGAGGCCAAGGCAGGTGGATCACCTGAGCTCAGGAGTTTGAGACCACCCTGGCCAACATGGTGAAACCCCTCTCTACTAAAAATACAAAAATTAGCAGGGTGTGGTGGCAGGCATCTGTAATCCCAGGTACTTGAGAGGCTGAGACAGAACTGCTTGAACCTGGGAGGTGGAGGTTGCAGTGAGCCGAGATCGCGCCACTGTACTCCAGCCTGGGCGACAGAGACTCCGTCTCAAAAGAAAAACAACAACAACCCTCAGAAATAGAGGAAAAGCCAAAACTGTGACTCAACTTATCAAGAACTTAATTATCTTTGCAATATAATTTTTATAACACTGTGTTACATAGTTATAACTCCTATATGTAATCTATAAATCATATACTAAATTATAACTATATTAATTTTATTTATAAAGCTCTTAATGATCATGAACTGAGCAGAAGTAGCCTAGGCATTCCAGTCTCTTCTAAGGCTCTCTGAATCATCTGCCATGGTCTATAACCAAGGGGCCCTCCTGACACCAATAAGCCCTCATCCAGCTCAGCACCAGGGCTTAGAGGCCGGGTTCTGGGTTCACACAGAGCTGCTGCACCTATTCCTCTTCTGCCAATGGCTCTCTGAGTCTACAGCTCCTTGTCTATGAAATGGGAATTCACCCCAAGTCAGAAAGTGAAGCCTCAATGAGACAACACATTGAATACACGGCCAGTGCTCAGTGAACTGCAGACAATTTCCTTTTTACAATGATTAGATCTCAATAAAAGGATTTATTTTGCGGCTGGGCACAGTAGCTCACACCTGTAATCCCAGCACTTTGGGAGGCTGAGGCAGGTGGATCACCTGAGGTCAGGAGTTTGAGACCAGCCTGGCCAACATGGTGAAACCCCGTCTCTACTAAAAATACAAAATTAGCCAGGTGTGGTGGCACATGCCTGTGATCCCAGCTACCTGGGAGGCCGAGGCAGGAGAATTGCTTGAACCTGGGGGGTGGAGGTTGCAGTGAGCCGAGATTGTGCCACTGCACTCCAGCCTGGGCAACAAGAGTGAAACTCCGTTTCAAAAAAAAAAAAAATTATTTTGCAAAATGGTTAATTATAGGCCTTTGGTATTCTCTCTCAGTTATGATGCCATGCACCAGGTGGTAACTGAAGCAAATTGGAGGTAAAATGTGCAAAAGTGGATGCAGATTGCTGGTATGGCACTAGTCCTGAAAGTGTATACAGCAAAACACTGGGGACAGTCTCGCGAGAAAGGCCAGGAGAAGCTTGGATCAAGGGCCACTTCAAGTCTACAGCAAAACCTGCAAGAAGCTCTGTGGGCAGAGGGACCAACCTCAGCGGGCTCTTCAAATCGCTCAAGGCCAGGGTTAGAAATAACAGGGACTTAACTTTGGGGACATCATGTGAAATGAGCCAGTCACAAAATGATAAATGTTGTATGATGCCACTTATATGAGCTATCTGGAGCAGTCAAACTCATGGAGGCAGAAAGGCTGGTGGTTGCTAGGGGCGGGAGGAGGGGGAAGTAGAGTTGCTATTAATGGGTGTACAGTTTTACTTGTTGCAAAATGAAAAGAGTTCTGGAGATTGGTTGCACAACAATGTGAATGTACTTAACACTACTGAACTATACACTTACAAATGGTTAAGGTAATGTTATAGGTAAATTACCATAATTTTAAAAAAACGACAGTGACTTTGCTGTGGTAGGAGTGTCCCTGGGGTGAGAGGATGTGAGAAGAAAGGGTGGGCTTCAACTCCAAAAGTTTTAGCAACTGGAATTCCATCAGGGACCAAACAGAAGCCTCCCTGAGCCCTGGAAAGGCTACACCAGGGCTGAGCTACACAGTGAGATTCTCCTTTTTTTTTTTTTTTTTTTTGAGACGGAGTCTCATTCTGTTACCCAGGCTGGAGTGCAGTGGTATGATCTTGGCTCACTGCAGCCTCTACCTCCTAAGTTCAAGCGATTCTCCTGCCTCAGCCTCCCAAATGGCTGGGACTACAGGCGTGCACCACCATGCCTGGCTAATTTTTGTATTTTCAATAGAGACAGGGTTTTGCCAGGCTGGTCTCAAACTTCTGACCTCAGGTGATCTGCCTGCCTCAGCCTCCCAAAGTGCTGGGATTATAGTGTGAGCCACCGTGCCTGGTCCACAGCATTCTCTTGGGGCCCTTCTGGTATATCCTAGGGGATGGAAGAAGATGAGAGAATAGACACTACAGAGAAGACCTCTGCCTTGTGACAGTAGAGGGCACAAAAATGGAAGGGGTATTCCTGGAGGGCAAGCCCTCTATCACTCAAGGTGCTTAAGCATAATACCTGGGTACGTCTTCCCTACTTGGGGCCTGTAAACCAGAAGGGGGCTCATTCCACAGAAGGTGAGGGGCCAGTGACCTACACAGACTCATTCAGGTGCTCTGCTGTGAGGGCTCTAAGGAATTTGCCAAGTCCTGCAAATGAATCTTAAGGTGATAGCATATTCAAGTTGGTGCAAGGAGCATTTATTGGGCACCTGCAGGATCCCAGGCAGAGTATTTTCTTCCACACCTTTTAACAGAAATATACACAGAATTCCATACATGCGTTCCAAGAAGAACAGATGTTTCAGAGGGACTTGATGGTTCACCTCCCTATGTCCGAGGCCTCCTGGTGCCTGTAAAGCTTAAAAGATATCAGCCGAGTGCTGTTTCAGAGATGAGCCAAGTTTCACACGGGCGACTGGATTAGAGAAGTGTTACCTTCCTGCTTACTCTAAAACTGCATGCTTTTAGGTTCAACAATTAATATGAAAAATGGGACAAGGGCAGCAAAGGACTTTAAGAAAGGTCAGTGCTACTCTTATATTTTTTAAAAAAATCACAAATTACCTGGCTCCTCCAAAATATCCATCCTCTAGTTTTCTAATTGTGGAGAGCACAGCAGAATGAATGTCTGAGCCATCATTTGCTAAGGAAA
This sequence comes from Homo sapiens, assembly GCF_000001405.40. Taxonomy (NCBI): domain Eukaryota; kingdom Metazoa; phylum Chordata; class Mammalia; order Primates; family Hominidae; genus Homo; species Homo sapiens. The sequence goes on from NC_000023.11 coordinate 18,924,144, forward strand.
AAAAGTGATGAATTAGTTTAGTCTGGGCAGACTTTTTTTCCGTTATGCACTGAAACATTTTCATCAACACCATCTAATTAAAATATTTCTGGCATAGAAGATTCCCGAGATAAGAAACCAAACTGCTAAGAAGCCCCTTCAGTGCTTAGTTCTGGCCATGGGAGCCATTTTAAACATTTGTAAGAGCCCAAACCACCCCTGGGGCAGGAGGGAGCCTGCTGAAATCCCTGGAGTTACTGAGCATGGTGCGACTGATGGGGAAGGTGAGTGTGGGTCTGCCCGTCATCCTCCAGCAGGTGCACAGGTAGGCCAGCTCGATCCTTAGCATCTCCACGATCATCTCATTGTCGAGGGCCAGGTAGAAGTGATGCTGGTCGGTGAACTGAAAGTCAGAGGAGGCTGGGTAAACGGCCACCCTTTCTTTACCTGGAAACACCAGCTGACAACTCAGGTCAGCACTAATCCTGGGGTTTTATTGCCAGGCAAGAGGCTCAGTACTCGTTTCAATCCACCCAGTCATGGGGCTGCCCTGCTCAAGATCAGACAAATCAGTCTGCTGCCTGCCCGGGAGCTGTCGCTGTAGGGTGGAAGGGAAAGGTGCACTGCTAGATTTATTTCCAGCTCCTCAGATGGGGATTTAAGCATCTTGCCCAACACTGCTGTCTCTGAAAGCAAATCAATAACTCCTTAATTCCTGATCCTTCCAGGGCTATGGGTTCGAAGATGCTTTCCAAGTGGGGGCACTGTGAGCAGGTGGGAGGTGGACACTCTGTTTACCTGATTGATGGCTTTGGTTAATGTCAACTAAAGACACTGCTGCCTGATGTTGAGAACAAATCAAACTGTTCTCTTGGCCTCTGGACTAGTGCATGCTCAGCTCTGGACTGAAATTTGCTACTAAGGGAAATAGCTCACAAGCTTTCTGTGAGCAGCAGGGGCTAGGATGAAACAGCAGCTTGACCCAAGACCCCATGACCAACCCTGTGCCCAGGTAAGCAGGGATTGTGCCCTGCACTGCCAAAGCGATCCCACTGTTGGTCTTTCTAGCTGCCCAAATGGGTGAAAAATATTTTCTATGTACTTCCACAGGACTAGTTTTCTTTGGAAACCAAAGCTCTCCAGTAAGTTCCATGAGTACATTCAGTATCCCAGTAAGCGAGGGTGTGGCCAGAAAATCAGCCTGGCTGTGTGTTACACAGAGGGTCTGATGACAGCTTGCACAAGGGTCAGAGATGATTGTGATTAGGGGCACAAGGGCTGTGAGTCAAGTGACATGTCAACAGCAAACTTCTAAAGCAGTCTGAATTTCACTAATATTCATGACTGGAAGTGATGGCACGCCTGTCTCAAAAAGCATTTACCGAGCACCTACTACGGGCAGACTTGTACTAGGCTCTTGGTATCATTTCATATGTCTCTATTTGAACCTATGCATGCAGAATTCTGTCATATTCACAGGAGAAAAGCTTACCAGACAGCAAAGAGAACTTAAAAAAAAGATGCTCGTTGGCCTGCTCTCCTCACCTGGGGTGTAAAAGTAAAGATTTGGTTCCTAATCACATATAGTTTAGAGGTTCCAAGGACACCAATATGTCGATACGGTCGCCCACTCAAATTCATATTCTTATTCCGTCCTGTTTGAGAAGTAAAAGATAAATTGGAGTTAGAGGAAATACGGTTAACAAGTAATCCAGGCAACTCAGGCTAAGACTGAGCTTATTTCTAGATTAGACAACCCATTTTGGGGCTTGGTTCTTCTACTGCCATCATCCTTTAAAATGGCACGAAGCTGAATATTAAAACAAATCCCGCCCCCTTCTTTTCATGAATGTATATGAACAGTACCCAGTTGGAACTGCATGGAATAAAACTACTAAAAGGACTATAGAACATTTACTTTCGATTTACTTAGTATTGAACCATAATAGTAAACAAAGTCAGATTGTAGAAAAAGCATAGAGAACCTCCTCCCATTTTAATGTGTAAATGAGCATTTTCTGATACTAAAGGTAAACATGAGAAGCATTATCAAGACACAAATGACTTTTCCAATTGTAAATTTTTCAAGGTGGCTCCTTATTTTACAACAGATCCGGCGAATGCTTGGCCACCTGTGACGGTGCCCACTGAACGGGTGTGAGAACGTGCTGGTTTGCCCGTTCCTCTTCACATCGAAGCGGTGGAACCGCCTGCTTTAGTTTTTGTCCAAGTCTTTAGAACTTACGTATATCACAGTCTCCCTCAGACCCCAAATCTAGAACCGAGATGCCCCCATGCCAAAAAGGCCCAGGTAATTTCCCCAAACCTACCAAGCTTGGCATATATGTGACTAAGAATCCGGCCCGGCTGGACTTGAATTGGATGAATGTCCGCGATACTCTGGACGTTCACCCCGTGTTTCCTCAATAAGTCCTTAATGTGATTGTTTTCTGCCAAAACAGTAACTGTGAACAAGAACACAGAATGAGCGTTAGCTCATGACTCTTGTCTCTTCACATGGACACGTGTTCCTTACTGCCCTCTTCTGCCTGGTGACATACACATCAGCATGCTCTTCCATGCAATGACTGGCTTTGGAAATGACAGTGTTCGTCCTGCTGCTCCTCCCCATTCTGTCCTTGCCACCCCTCAACAACCTCAACGCCTATTTATCAAGTGCCTTCATTGTGCAAGATAGTCTGATAGGAGACTTCTAGAAATTGTCCTCAATAAGTCCCAAGCCAAACTGCCCCGTCTCAAGTAATGTCTTGCCTCCCTCTGGGTCTGCATCTATTCTAAACCTGCCTGGTGTCCCTTTTTATGCAGGGTCAGGAGTGGAAACAGCTCCACTTGGGGGATGCCAGAAGCCTGTGCCCCTGCTCCCAAAGGACGGGGGAAAGAAGAGTAAGATGGGGGCGCCTGCTGGCAGGGGATGTTCTGAGGGGACATCCTTCCCTCTAGAGAAAGCAAAGTAGGTCTGTGAGTGGGGATGCTGGCGGTAGTGGAGCAGCCTGGCCCATTCAGAACCCCCGCACAGGGCCCCACCGGTGGGGAAAAAGCACCCCAGGGCTGGCCTGGGCCCCATCTCTGGTGGGAGAGGCTGGGCACCTGGCTCTCCAGCAGGCGGGGAGCTGATTGTGCCTGGGACCTGGGGGCCCATGGAGGAGGGAGGCCATCACCGGGGACAACCCGGGATCGGCTAGGCTGCACCTGCTGTACTAGTACCGCTGGCCTTTCTGAGAAGGGACAGTGCTTTGGCAAAGGGAAGGAGTACAGGGATGGGACTGGAAAAGGGGAGCACGGCCACAGGGAGAGAGGTTGGTGCCATGTCCAGCTGCGGCCGAGCCCCCTGGAAGCTGCAGAGGCTCAGGGCAGCGCAGGATTGGCTACTGTTAAGTACAATCATTGTACTCACAGGCTAGTGGGGCCGGAATGTACAATACATATACATGCAGTTGAGAGTTGAGTGTCACCTCTTTATATTTACACAGCACTTGATGCCTTTTCAAGTATTTTAATATCCATTATCTCATCTGACCTTCACAACAAGCCCCCAGGGAAGCCTTGCATGCTCAACTGGCCAGTTACAGCTGCACGTGGACTGAAACCTAATCTCCCAGGCCCTCAGCAAATGGGAACATCAGCCATGCAGGGCTGGCTAGGTGGCTTTCCTTAACACCTGTCTCTTCTAAAGCTTCCAATGACAGGCATGACTCCACATTTATCAAAACCCCAGCAGCCACTCTCTGTAGGAGTAACTCCTTTAGTGCAGTGGTTTTGGGGGAGACCTGGGAGCCTCATGATCTGTGCAGCTGGATGTGGCTAAGTTTCTGAAACTGCACTTCCCCTACTCTGTGCCTGACCTTCTGGGAATTTCTACACTGTTCTATTAAACAAATGCTGGTCAACACCCATCAAAGTGTCCCAGCCTGCAGGTGGAAAAACGGTCTTAATAGATTCAAGGGACTAATTAGCAGGACATGCTCTGGCTTAGCGCAGGCACAATGAGTCCAGCTGGATCAGTCCACCTGGAAGTCAGGAATGGATTCACACCTACAGCTGCCAGCTGTGGGTCCTTGAGGGAGTGGGTTAACTTCTAAGCCTCGTGTGTAAGGTGGAGATGATGATCATCATCTCAAACTTTACCTAATCAGAATGCTGTGACAGGTGTATCTCATGGCTCTATTGACTGGGTGATATCAGCTCATCTCACCACAGCATGAGCCCCCGAAGCAAAATGAGCCAGTGGCTACAGAGAAATGCTTGTCATTTGTTCAATCACTGTTTTCAACGTATGGGTGCGTATGTGCCAATCAACATAGAAACTGCAAGAATGATATAGGCCTTGTCATTAAGAAGTGTACAGTCTCAGGGGCAATATGGTGTACACACAACATGCTATGACACTAGCTGGTGTGCTCTATGGGGCACAGAGAATGTTACTGGACTGCCAGGAGGTCCTCCCTAAGAAGGAAGGTAGGAAGAGAACTGCTCCACCCGGGTGCACACCACAGGCCAGGCACTACACCAAGCGCTTTCCCACTGCAGCCTCAGTACATCTTAGGAAGCCCCAGTCAGGGAGCTCAAGTCCTGATGACCCTGAGGCACAGAAGGGTGAAATCACTTGGCTAGGCGGAGGGCAGCAGCAGCCTGGGCTGGTCTCGCCCCTCTCCAGAAGAAGGGCTGGCTGGAGAGGAGGGAGAGGAAAGGTGGACACAGGTGAAAGGCGGAAAGATGTCAGGACTCCAAGGGAGGAATGAATGACCCTCAGTTGGGTTCTGAGTTTTCACCAGGCTTAGGCTCTATTTTTCAAAGAATAACAATGATGATAAATGACGCGCAACGAATCACTTGTGCCCCAGTTGCAATCAAGGTTTATATTCAAGACAACAATTGCTTTGTAGAAAGTCATTTTGTGGTTGGGAAGAATTCTGTTGCCTTTGGAAGCCACTGAGTTATATAAGGCATCTCACACAACTGCTACATGCTAAAGCATAGGCACATACACACTTTAAAAAAATTAAATAAGAAACTAGGCAACAATTTGAATTAAAATAACATTGGTTTTACAAAGTTAAATATGAACAGTAAACACGCTCACAAACCTTGTACTACAACATCAGGTTTGACTGAAGTGGAAAATCTTCTATTTAAGGGATCGATTTCACCAGCGGCAAGGAATCCCTATGAAAAGAGGAGCATTAACACTATGAAATATTGATTAACTAAAATTTCATCTTAAACTGAAGTGTGAAAATGAAATATTTTGGGGCTCAACATATTCAAGACTTTTTTCTTTATATTTTTCGAGTCAATTGCTTATTTTCTGTGAAACAGAGTAACATCATTCAAACTGCCACTGATAAACGTATTACATTTTTGCACCTAGCTCTCTAGGGCTCGTCGAATATGCCACCATCTTGTATGAGCAAAAAGAATGATAACCAATACTTTCTGAGCTCACAGTAACATGCCAGGCATTGTGTTGAGCCACTGTATGCGCACTGTCATATTTATGCCTCCTGACAGGTAGGCACTACTTTTGGGGCTCAGAAAACAACACCCCCAAAACAAAGACCTCAGCAGCAGCCTCAGAAGCATAAGTTTTCCTCTGACCTTCTCCTGCCTCTCTCTCTCAGTCCATTCTTCTGGAGGCGCCACAGAAACTAGAATTCTTCTTCCCCAAGGTGGGCATAGAAACCAGAATCCCTTTTCCCCAAAGCCAGCCACAAAACCTACAAATATTCTCTGTAAAAACTGGCCATAAAAAATTCCCTCACCTACCTTGTTTGGCTGTAGGTCATAAGGGCCCCACTCTAGGGAGGGACCTGCCCCACACTCAGAAGGAAAGAGCGCTGCACAGAAAGGCCTCGCTGGGTTTCCCCACTTGGTCCATTAGCATTCATCAGGCCCCTTTTGTCTAATCACATTTCTACACAGCTGTCCATATTTTGTTGAAACTATGCATAAAAACAGAAAATTTCCCCTAGATCTTGGGGTATTCATTCTGAAGGCTCCCCTGTATACATGTTAAGTATATCTGCATGCCCTTTTTTCTTATTAATCAATCTGCCTCATGTCAGTGATTTTTCATCAGACCTTTAGGAGAACACCTTGGCCCCCACGCTACCACCATCACCACTGTACAGGTGGGGAAACCAAGATAATGACCCAAGGGAAGTGGCTGAGTGGGGACTTGGCCCCCACAACCCCACTCCCTTGCAAAGTATTCTCTTTGAATATGCACCTCCTTGCACTTTCTACAAATGACACGAACCCCGAGAGAGAGGATCAAGGTGTTCTGGGAGTTCTGAGGAGCAACTGGACCTAGCGCTGGGCCCAGAGAAAGCCTTTACATCAGAGAGGAGAAAGCAGGGGAGGGGAGTTACTCGTTTCCCATCTCACTGATACAGAAATCAGAGCTGGAAGGTCAGAGATGATCAAGTCCATCCTTTTCATTTTACAGATGAGGAAACCGAAGCCCAGAGATTAGAGACCTGCCCGGGATCAGAGAACTAGTGAGAGACAGGGCTGGCTTTCAAAGGAGATATATGCGTTTTCCCTACTAATAAAGACAGGAGTGGAAGACACAGCCCCTACTCCAAGGACATGACCATGACACTGGGGAGTCTTGAGGTACCTGTAAAACAACTGTTTCAGCTCGGCAGGTAGTGTTCCTGAGGGCTGCTTCCACGGTGGTATCTTTCATCCTGGGCTTCAACACTCTAGGAACCCGGTGGCATGCTGACCCACCACCCCTTCTGCCTTTTCTAGAGCCTGGCAGCCCCTCAGCCCTTCCCTGGGCTCCTTCCCCTCCCTGCCTCCCCGGGGTCCAGCCGAAGCACTCAGCTGGGCAGGACCCTCTCAGGAACGACAGCCCATCTGATAAGGTCACTCATACTGAGGAGTGGGGGATTCATTTGAGGCGGCTCCAAAGTATTTGCATATTAAAACAAAAGCCTGGGGACAAGTCAATGGTGAACAAAAAGAAAGGTGTCAAGAGGCAGTTGTCTGCAGAAGGAAGGGTGCTGCAGGTTGTCCGGGGCAACACCTGACACAAAATTCACCAGAGAAAATCCGGCCCGCCACCTCTTTCTGTAGAGATCTGTGGCCCTTGTGCTTCCTGCTCCTAAGACTGGGGCAGGGGCACCTAGGGGCCAATCTAGTCATTTCCCAAATCTTGTATCTTCTAGGATCAGATGTGCTAACAATCCTGGCCCAGAAACTTCCAGCTCCTCTGACCATCAACTGGAACAGATTCTAGCCACAGAGGAAGAATGCTGGCAGGGGGTGATGGGGAGTGCTGGGCCCTCATGGACCTGAGCTGGTTTAATGGAAATATGGACACACAAGGCTGAGAGTCAAGCCCCGGAGCCAACACGGTCCAGTTGACCTTAAACGAATGAAGATGCAAAAGACATCCACACGCACGCCTGGCAGAGAGTCCCTATGCCCTTCTGGGGTTCCCTGAACCTCCAATCACATGGTTTCCAGTCTGTGAGGCCACTAAGCCCCTACCTCTGCCAACAGCGAGCTGAGGATGTACAAGGATTGGCCCCACAGATGAGGCACCTTCCCCATAGGAACTCGGTCTACTGTGTGAGGATTCTTGTACTCTTCATCTACCTGGAAAGAGAGACAAATCCAAAGTCAGAAAGTCAGAGGATAAAATGGCCATGATACCTGACCATGGGGAATGCACTGAGGATTTATGAAATGGTACTCATCCTCCAGGCCAATTCTGTGCAGGTGCCAGGAGGCTGGGGAGCAAGCCCCTTCCTCGGGGCTGCAAGGCTACAAAGCAGCGGAGGTGGAAGTCAAATCGCGGCCTGGTTCTGGACAAGCACTCTTCCTACAGGCACACGCAAGGCCACGAGCACCGGATGCCTGGCCTGCCTGCTTTGCGCACAGCTCTGGCCATGAGAACTCTCATGGCTCATGCTTACAATTGGCTGCATGATGGGTGAAATGATGGAAAACATCAGCCTCCAGCTGTGGCGGTGCATCGCTGGAGCCATCCCTAGGGGTTTATAAACTGTGCGCCTAATGCAAGAGAATTGCCAGAAGGTGGCACTATTTACCGAGGAAAAACACTTGGACTACTAGCCTGTAACCCCTCCTTCAGGGCCTCAAAAAGCTGAACCCACTGGGGGGCTTCTGTCTCAGCAAAATAAACTTTGGTGTTCTTTCTGGAGGACAGGGCTGGCTGCGCATTGTAAGCTAGTCTGCAACTTTCTCTCTTTTAAACTCCATGCTGGACTTTGACATTTCAGTCATCACATCATTGGTTGGGGGTAATGTCAGTGACCGCTTTTGTCTTCCAGAAAACGTAAGTCAACCAAAGGAAATAGGAAACATCCTTCTCCCAAGGGGAACATCACACCATGAGGAGACTCATCTTCTGCTTGCAGATTAATCAATGATGTTATTAACATATTTAGTAAAATTTAAAATTTTTTCAATAAGAAAAACTTTAGTGCATGAACTGAACAGAATTAAATGTCATTAGTAATCAAATAATCCAATAGGACAATAGTGTGGAAGGAGATTCTCCAAAATGTCATAATCTTTGGGTGGTAGAATTAGAGATAACGTTTTCTTCTTTCTACAGAATCCTAGATGTTTTGTCGTGCACAGAATTACTTGTATGATAATCAGGTAGTATGTTAAAACTATTTGAAATGTAAGTCGTGTTAAGAAAGACTGAAAGGTCAGGCATGGTGGCTCACACCTGTAATCCCAGCACTTTGGGAGGCTGAGGTGGGCAGATCACCTGAGGCCAGGAGTTCGAGACCAGTCTGGCCAACACAGCGAAACCCTGTCTCTACTAAAAATACAAAAATTAGTCAGGCATGGTGGCAAATGCCTGTAATCCCAGCTACTCAGGAGGCTGAGGCAGGAGAATCACGTGAACCTGAGAGGCAGAGGTTGCAGTGAGACAAGATTGTGCCAATGCACTCCAGCCTGGGTGACAGAGTGAGACTCTGTCTCAAAAAAAAAAAAAAGACTGCAGAGATGTAGAATGAGAAATATTCAATAGAGAGCAGACAAGGTGTCCAGTTTACAAGACAGCCTGGCTTTGCACTCCTCCCACCCATGAGCCACCTCCTGCCCCGCATGGAGGCATCCCCCTCTGCCTCTCTGCACACCGGTCCTTCTGAACTGCCCACAGGTCCTCAAAGGTGCTATGCTTTTGCTGCTGCCACTGCCCTCCATCTCATGGACCAGCTCGTCTGGCCCCTGCTAACCTGCAAGCTCACAGGGACAGAGCTGGCGCTGTAGCCACCCTTGTGCCCCAGTAGCTAGCCTGGTGCCTGGCACGGAGTGGCTGCTCAATCCATGTTTGCGGGGACACTTTCATTGGTCTCCAGCTGTCCACAGAGGGCCTTATGGTGCCCTGCACAAGCACATCTGGCTGAGGAAATGAGTGGGGCTCACATCCAAGCTGCATGCCACCCTGGCCCAGGGCTGCGGCTACCCTGATGAGGCCTTTTATCTAATTTGCACACAGGTGCCACATGGGCCTGTGGTGGCCCTGTGTGCAGAAATCCTTCCTGGTGGTCTCTACATGTTATTGATGTGACTGATAAACCTTCCCAGCTGTCATCTGGAAGGAGCCAACACAAAATGCAATCAGTGTCAAAGAGTGTGCAAAATCAGTGCCTAGCACACCAGTGTAAACATGCTGAGGACATTGTAATGACAAGCAGAAACCCAAAGGTCAGTGTGGAGTTTAGAAGACAGAAAGTCACAGAGTAATTTTTTACAATGTGTAGTCAGCACTGTTCATCAGAAAGAAAGAAAAGCGTAGCTCTTAACACCTGGCATTTACTATAGTCAGTAAAACGTGCCCTCTAGTAGAACTGGACGGCTCTTCTCTACCATAGAATAAGTAAAATACCCCTGAAGGCACTTATTTTCCCTTGCTCTGCTTCCAGGTTCCAAATTACCTCTCATTACCAATTCGGTTTTCCCGAATGCCTCAGTACTGGGAAAGGAGCGACCTGAAGCGGGATATGAACATGTAGCTGCTGGAAGGTAACCCAGCCCCCACTGCCAGCCCTGCCCCAACCCACATACCGCAGCACGCGTACTAAAAGGAATACATTTATTTGCAGGGGATCTAGGCTGAGGACACTTAGAAGGAACACAGCCCTAGCAGGCTCCGTAGACTGATCTGCAGAGTGAGGGAAGACTAGTTCCTCTCCAAAGTCTGGCCCTTAACCCTGGAACAAAATCAGTCCTGAGAGAGCTTGGATGATGTGGGCTGTCGGTTCATGTTGGGATGAGGGGCCATCAACATTCCGGAGCTCAGGGCTAAGGGTCCAGGCTGGTGGGGCTTGGTGAGCCCACCTGGAGCAAGCAGCCACCTCAAGGGGCCCAGTGAACAAGATGGGCTGATATAAATGCAAAAAACTGAATGCTTCCGGCAATGGCACATTCTACTTCTCACGGAAACTCCTTCCTTTGATTTTCTACTTGGTTTAACTGGTTCAGTGATCTAACACGTAATAGTTCCTTTTAGATGAAAATAAGGCTCAAAGTGATACACGGTGGTACCTTTTTTGCCATAAGGATCAAGTATCAGATTGCTTTAAAATTTATATTCTATGGAAAAGTAAAGAAGTCCACTATACTATTGCTTTCAGAAGCCTAGTGAGAGCATCCACTGTGTAGATACTTCCATCACACAGAAATGTACCACCCATTAGGAGGCAGTGTGGGGTGGCAGCAAGGCCCTGAACCTGGGGTCTGGCCCCAGGGCGGAGCCCAGTGCTGTGTGAGCTCTGACAGGTTCCACAGCCTCTCTGAGCTGAGGCAGACACTTTAAAAGGCCCTGCCAGTCCTGTGGCCATGTGTGTGTGGGCCTGATTGAACCACAGAACACCTAAACCCAAGTTGCCATATGCCAGGCCTCTGCTGGCTTACAACCTCCTCCAGGCCCTGGCGATTTTGGGGAAGACACGGTCCTCTGAAGGCCTTTTCATCCCACAAACACAATAATCAAGCCCTGAGGCACCAAAAGCATCCAAGGGACAGCCAGGAACCAAGAATTCTTCTTCTAACCATGAGATATTGACAGACAAATCTTCCTGCCAAGATAATAGGTCCATCATGACCCAATTTAGGAAACTTGATAGAATAAAACTATGTTTGGGCATTTTCTTGGAACTGGACTGTTTTTCTCTCCCTGATGTAGAATGGCTTCTAAGTGATTACTCAAACTCTAGCTTGCAAACTGCTTGAATCAAAGGAAGAGATTCTCAATACCCCTGTACATTGGCCTTCGTCTGTGGAAGTGTGTAAGAACACGGTGCACAATGGGTTTACGCTCTTTAGAGAGCCTGTGTCAGGGTTCGGGGAGGGACAGGTATCATTTGAAGGTCTTCAACTGCTGCCTCCCCAGGATACCCATGGTCAAGCGTGTTCCACATATTTTTCCAAAGTCATGATTCCTTGGGATAGACAGGAACACTACCTAAGGCTTTTTTTTTTTTGAGATGGAGTCTCGTTCTGTAGCCCAGGCTAAAGTGCAGTGGTGTGATCTCGGCTCATTGCAACCTCCACCTCCCAGGTTCAAGCAATTCTCCTGCCTCAGCCTCCCAAGTAGCTGGGACTGCAGGCATGTGCCACCATGCCTGGCTAATTTTTGTATTTTTTTTTTTTTTTTTTAGTAGAGATGGGGTTTTGCCATGTCAGCCAGGCTGGTCTCAAACTCCTGACCACAAGTAATCCACCCGCCTCAGCCTCCCAAAGTGCTGGGATTACAGGCGTGAGCCACCGCGCCCAGCCTACCTAAGGCTTTTGAAACCATGTTTGGAGAAAAAGTGTTCATTAGTTCGAAAAAGGGGATAAAGAATACCAACAGGCCAAGCAATGAGTCACTTATTTCTAGATAAGCGGTGCAAAGGGCCCTCTGCCACTGGGTTACCTTGTTAGGCGGGACAGCGTAGAGTTCAGGCACCAGGCGGATCCCATTCTTGCCTCTGATGAGTATTCCCTCCAGGGCCTCTCGGTATTCTTGGACCTGGAAAACAGCCCCATCATCCATGGCAGGAAGGAGGTCTGGTCATGATTGCTGTAACAGCGGTGCAACATAGAAAAAAAGCTCTCATGGCAACAGATTAGAGTTCAGACACAGGGCAAAGAAATGCACAAATACCCTCAGCTCCAGGAGTGCAGGAGGCACACTTACAGTGTTAGGAGGAGCTAAACACGATCGGCTATTCCTCTCAGGAGTGTATCTAAGCTCAGCCCTGCCTGTCTTGCTTCCAGAAAGAGAGACAGAGCACCCATCATACAGTAGCTGTTTCTTCCTCAAAATTCCTCTAGTAGTCATATCTACACTGTGTATCAGATGTCTTTCCTGTTCTGTCTTTAACTCGTCATGTAATTATTTCATTCTTAACCCCTCATATATTTAAATTTTGTCTCAGTAACCGGATTATAAACTTCTTGTGGGGGAAGCTATATCTTAAGCAGTGTACCCATTTCCACCTCTTGGTAAGTTTTCCACTTAAGAGGCATTCATTACTATTCAGCCATAAAAAAAGAATAACATTCTGTCATTTGTAGTAACATGGATGGAATTGGAGGTCAGTGTGTTAAGTGAAATAAGCCAGGCACAGAAAGATGCCACATGTTCTCACTCATGTGTGGGCGCTAAAAAAGTTGACCCCATATTAAAAATGTCATTGGGCAACAAGTGTGAGCGACAGCAAAGGTGTAGAAGGGTAGTAGATTCCATGAAGCTTAATCAACAAGACGCTAAACACAGTCATTTTCCTCTCCTGAGTTTTCTTCCCCCCATCATTGTTAAGCCTATTCACAACTGAAATTCTAAGTCAATTCTTTTGAGATCTTTCAATTCTGGGATAAAATGACAGAAAACCTAAGATAATCACTGAAGCCTAAGAGAAAGCATCAACAGTGGGGAAATATTAACATTTCCAGCTGACTGCTGGTTCTGAAGCCCCCCAGCATTCCTGAGCAGGAGAGCTGTCAAGAGCTAAAGTGAATCTCTGATTGCTCATCCCCACCCCCACCAAACATGTGATCAGAACCAGTTGAAAAAATGGCAAAGCATCTGCGATGTCAGTCATTCATGTAACCTGCACAAAGACAGGTCGGTTCTGTTCAACAAAGTATGCTCAGGGCTCAGCACAGAGCATGGTACCAAGTAGAAGCTAAAGAGATAGGTCATGAACAAATGAGAGTTGCATCAGTAAATGTTTACTGAGCACATACTATGCACTAGGCACAGGGACTATACCCGTGAACTGGAGAGAGATGGCCTCTACCAGCGTCCTTTGACAGGTAAGGGGGAGATACAACATAGTGTGACCCATGCTGTTATAGTTGTGGGTCGTAGGAGCACCTGCCCCAGCTTTTAGGGTCAGAGAAAGCTTTCTGAAAGAAGACACACTTACATTGAACCAAGGGAAGGGGGAGGGGCAATTGGGGAAGAAAAGAATGTCCTCGGCCTTTGAGAAGAGAGGAGGGCACATGGCCTGTTTAAAGGACTGAAAGGATTTCATTGTGCTTGGATCACAGAACTCAAGAAAGAAGCACTAAGAAATGAGGCTACAGGGGTGAAAGCAGGGATCAGATCATATGGAACCCCACAAAACGCATGAAGTGGTTTTCAAGCAAGCTTTCAAGCAAGGCAGTAGCATAACCTAATTTGCCTTTTAATAAGATCACTCTGGCATGGGTGAGAAGAATGGAAACAGCAGGGAACCAGGCCGGAGGCTGAGATTCGAGTGAGGAGGCTGTTACATGAAGTAAGATGTTATCCAAGAGCACCCCAAACTAGGGCTAAAGACAGCAAACCACTGGCTGATCTGGAAAGAACAACAGCAACAACAAAACCTGTCTGTGATGGAATGTTCTTGCTAGACCCCAGTGAACCACGCCTCCTAGTACTCATGCCCTTGTCTAGTCCCCTCCCGCTTGAATATGGGATGGTCCTTTAGCCAACAGAATGTGATGAAAGTGACATTTTGTCAGTTCCGGGCCTAACACTTATGGAAGCTTGGCAGCTTCTGCTTTTGTGTTCTGAGGGGAAAACAACCAACATGTAAAATTAATGGCCCAGAGACTACAATATTGTGAGAAGCCCAAGCTAGCCATGTGGAGGAGAACCAAGGCCCCCACCAATAGCACAGCTGAGTTCCCAGCATCAGCTGCTAGCCAGCATCAATTGGCCATGTGAGTGAGGCCATCTTGGAAATAGATTCTCCACTTCCATGGAACCATCCCAGCTGACAGCAGGTAAAGCAGAGACAACCTGTCCCTGCTGGGCTCTGCCCAAATTGCAGAATCATGAGCAAATAAATAAAATAGGTGTTGCTTTAATTCACTCAGTTTTGGGAAAGTTTGCTAAGTGGGAACAGATAACCGAAACAGTGACCTAAATTCTTGCATAACCCTATGTTCTAATAATAATCAGTATACCAGTGGAATGAAAATAATTATCAACGTAACACCCAGCATTTTCTCACCTGAACAGCATCACCACTGAAGACTCCATCTATTATAAAATATGTCCAAAACACAGGCCACTCACATTCAATGTTTTCGAAGAGCTTGAGTTCAGCAGGGTCATAATGCAGTCGATTAGGGTCCTAGAATCAAATAAGTCAAACTTTTAAAAGGTGATGTCAGAATACATACATAATACCATTGTGCCTCATGGGGTTTCCCATGCTTGACTGATTTTTACAGCTTTGAAGTTGGCATGAGTAGGATTTTACTATAATGAGATGCTGTTTTTGGCAGTTTGCCATGGTAATATTTCAGAAAGTAAGTCAGAAACATACACAAGACTCCTTGGTAGTTTATTATACTAAAGCTTCCTATAACTCTAACAAAGAAATAGCAATATGTCTACCACCAAGTTTGGCAGAGGATCTGATTTATATCATTATATTAGTCAGTGTGGCAAAGAAACCCGAGGAGGAGGCCACAGTCGGTCTTTAAGAAAAATGTGTGAGCCACAGAACCAGTTCTCCTTGTCTACAAGCTGGTTTTATTTATTTTTAAAATTTTAAAGAAATTTTTATTTTTTTGAGACAGGGTCTCACTCTGTCACCCAGGCTGTAGTACAATGGTGTGATCTCTGCTCATTGCAGCCTTGACCTCCTGGGCTCAAGTGATCCTACCACCTCAGCCTCCTGAGTTGCTAGGACCACAGGTACATGCCATCACACCTGCCTCACTAATTTTATTTTATTTTTTTTGTAGAGACAAGGTCTCACTATGTTGCCCAGACTGGTCTCGAACTCCTGGGCTCAAGCAATCCTCCCTCCTCAGCCTCCCCAAGTGTTGGGATTACAGGCCACTGCACCTGGCCTACAAGTTGGTTTTTTGTTTTTGTTTTTGTTTTTGAGACGGAGTCTCATTCTGTCACCCAGGCTGGAGTGCAGTGGCGCGATTTCGGCTCAGTGCAAGCTCCGCCTCCCGGGTTCACGCCTTTCTCCTGCCTCAGCCTTCTGAGTAGCTGGGACTACAGGTGCCCGCCACCACACCCGGCTAATTTTTTGTATTTTTAGTAGAGATGGGGTTTCACTGTGTTAGCCGGGATGGTCTCGATCTCCTGACCTCGTGATCCGCCCACCTTGGCCTCCCAAAGTGCTGGGATTACAGGCGTGAGCCACCGCGCCTGGCCAAGCTGGTTTTAAATGACCAGCTCACCGTCCCTACTAAAGATACTATGCTATTGCCTGGCTCCAGGCTTGCTGACTCCAAAATTAATACTTCCCTTTCCAATATTCCAACATAAAATTATAATCAGCAGAGGGAGAACAACACATTGGCAACTTAGAGATGAAACAGTTGAGGAAAGATAAGAAACAATATTTAAATACAACCTCTCTTGGAGTTTTATAACCATCTCGAAGGAAGCGACAGCATCCATAACGCCCCTAATAAGAGAAAGTACATTCGATGAGCTCAGAGAAATTTTTTTGCCTTTTTAATTCAAGTCAGCCCTGCACCCTCTTTCCCATGAATCTTTTAGTAATGAATTTTATACCAAGTGTTCTTTGCTGTCAGTATAGTTATTAATATATTTAAGTAATAAGCAAAATCAATTCAGGTTTGATCGGTACTTGGAAGGGAACGCCAAAACATTCCATCAGAGTATCAGGGCTGCAAGAGTTATTACCAAGAGTTCAGTGAACGACCATGCCTTCATTCTGATTTACTGTATTACACAGAGACCTAAAAGGACCCTCACTATTTAGAAAAGCCACCAAGGCAGATACTTGGATTGGTTTGCTCCTACTTGCAAGATTGGAAAGCTGCAAGGACATTCCCCAGGCTCCTGGAAGTTAGGCTTTGGCTGCAGAGGAGGCTCTAAGGTCAGATGCACCTCCACAAAGATTAGCAGAAAGGGAGGGGGCAGCTTCCTGTGCTTAGGACTGTCGCTGCTGGTTTTGGGCTGCAGGCTCCAGGGTTCTGCCCCAGCTTCCTGGATGCTACGAAAGGAGGGCAGGGGCAGCACTCTCTTAATCTGACGCCCTTAATCCATAGATCACAGCTTTGGGTGTCCATTCTCCAGTTCCGTAAGTATGTGGAGGCTGCTACAGCAGATGTGGCTCTCGCGAGGGTCATGGAGGCAACCACGTCCCTAGCCCTAGCGACCAGCACCGCACTGTCCTGGGAGTCATCCCAGGAGGCTGAGCCTAGAACCCGCTCTTCTTGTAAACACTTCATTCTCTGTATTCATTCCCTTCCTACTTCAACTACCTAAAGGGGTTCCCTTTTTCCCACTGAACCCTGACTGAGACAGCTGCTTTCTTTTGGGAATATGATTGGAGACATAGGGACTCCAAGGGACAAAAGCATTTTTCATGGAACCTAAGTAGGACAATCAATCTGCAGATTTCAGCTTAGGGAAACTTACATTCTTTGATAATTTTACCGATAGTTTCAACTGGCTGGAGTATTTAATATTCTCAGTTTAGTGTATCACGGTTACTGCATTTCACCTCAAAACAGGGATTATTTTAACCTGAAGGTAACTTTGGGATTGGCAAGTCCATTGAAATTGTGTGTAAAGTTTGAGGATATTGGGACATATGCATTTTTTTTTCTGGCAGTGACTCTATACACTGTCTGTGACCTCTAAAGGGTTAAGTAGCTCTGCCTTAGAAGTATGGTACTGGTACAAACTGGGGTTCAAAGGTGCCTGCCTGAGTGCCAGTTCTGCTTCTCAAGGAGAGAACCAAGCCACTAAATCACTCGGAGACTTTGTTTTCTTGCCTGTAGACTCAGCTTTGAACGCTGTATGCATCTGCTTAGATAAATCAAGCAATTAACCTCATGGGGAACTGAGGCATGGGTGAGCTGCTCCATGCACATCACACAGGACAGAAGGGCACCAGCATGACTAATGCTTACCTGGAGCTTAGAAATAATTTCATTTTTGGTCACATTTACAAGGTTTACATCTTCCACTGCAAAGGCCGGGAAGGAAATAATGGAAAGAAGTCCAGCATCAATTTCTTTAGATGTCGACGCTCTTGGCAGCATGGAGAACAGAATAGACTGAATGAAAAACAAAGAGGTGGTTTAACCTGGAGATGCGCTAATAGGCGCAGTATCTAGGGACCATGAGCTCGGCCCCAAGGGAACATTCGAATACGGTTGCCAATTTTGAGTAGAGCTTTGTCCTACCAACATGGCCCCTGCTGGCCAACACTGTATATCCAGCCAATGATTCCTATTCCTCAGGCGAGAAGTCAGGGCTTGGGGAGAGCATGGTACTGTCTGAAGCCCACGCTAAGAACTGCTTGTCTCCCTTCCTTCCATGCCCTATTGACTTTGCCAGACCTTTAGGACATGTAGGGGAGGAACTATAGGGCCACCTGTGTCAGTAGGCTAAGCTGTCTTGGCTATGAAGACAGAGACCAGAAAAGAACACATACATGGGGCCAGCTTGGAGAAATGTCTGGCTTCTGTGGAATGTGACCAGTTGGACTGGGTGATCCAGAAACCACTTAAAGGAGGAGTCAAATCCAGAAGATCTCATGAACACTCAGACAAAATGGTAAACCACAGAATTAGTTTAGTCCTAGAATCTTTCTAGGGTTACTTAGAGGCACTATAATATGGCCTCAATTATAAATAAGTGGCTGGATTAGGCGCTGGAAACTTGTAAAGGAGTTGAAATTATCAGGAAAAGTTTGGGAAAGGAAGGAATTAACACTGAGATCTAACACGTACAGACATGGGGCTAGACCCCTGCAAACATAAGCTCATTGAATCTTTCATATGAAGAAGGACTTAGGGTACCATGTCCAATTCACACCTGAGGACCCTGAGACTTCGAGCAGCTAGTAAGTGACAGAACTAGGATTCTAACTCAGGCCCAGCTGGCTGCAAAGCTCACGCATTTCCACTGGATTACACATCTATTAAGATGCACACCACGTCCAGGCACAGTGGCTCATGCCTGCAACCCCAGAGCTTTGGGAGGCTGAGGTGGGAAGATCACTTGAGGCCAGGAATTGGAGAACAGCCTGGGCAACAGAGTGAGACCCTGACTTTACAAAAAAATTAAAAAAAAATTAGCTGGGTGTGGGTGACACGTGCCTGTAGTCCTAGCTACTTGGGAAGCTGAGGCGGGAGGACTGCTTGAGCCCAGTAGTTTGAGGTTACAGGGAGCTATGATTGCACCACTGCACTCCAGCCTAGGCGATAGAGTAAGACCTCCTCTTAAAAAAAAAAAAAAAAAATAGACTATACCCCAAGAAATACCGGGACTACCTAAAGGGGAAAAATTGAGTGAGCTGGAAGATAGGGTCAAGATGGGTGGAACCCTTCAGCTTCAGAATAAAGCTTTATTTTCTATAGCCAACTGAGCCCAGGGCCCTGTTCTGTAACTCACTCTTCCCTAGGGTTTCTCTGCCTGGAAACACAAACTTCTACCAAAGCTCTCCATTCACAAGTCTTTATGTATCTGACCTTCTTTAGCCCCAGCAACGTACTTGGCACACAGCGGGCCCTCGCTAAATAAGAGTTTGCTGAGGGCCTAGCAATTGATGACGTGCACTCTGCTCAATAGAATCCTCCAATCTGTATTAGATCACTCCTTTCTCTGACCTGTATTTCACAGAGGTTGTACTAATTTCCCATCTTTCCCATCTCATTTCTTCTCCACTACCTATTTCACCCATCCCCAACCCCTCACCCCCAAGTGAACTAGTGCTTGCTCATCATTCAATTTGGGGGCACTGTGAACTAAACCTGAAAGAAAACCATCTATGTGCTCAAAAGACATAAAACAGACTTTGCCTCTTGCAAAACAAGGCTGCTTGGATTGCTGATTCCATCTATACAGCATCATGGTGTCTTATACTTTTCTGGCTTACAAAGTGCTTAGACAGACTAAGTTGACTGATTCTTACAACTAGCTTGTGAGGCCAGAGGGTCCAGGATGCCCATTTTATGGGTGAGAAAACTGAAGCTCAAAGAAGCAAAGTATCACCAAGCCAGCAAGGTGGGGAATCTGCACTGGATCCCAGGCCTTCCATGCCAGGACTCTCCTTCCCTGCTCTCTGAAATGCAAGAGGCTATTACCTGGCAGTGCTCGACCTCATCTGGCAGAACATGAATCACTGACTTGCGTCCTCCATGGGCTCCAAAAAGGTCCAGTTCATCAATTGCCTCAAGAGCTGCCTACAAACACAGGTATGAGTTACTTTTTCTTTCTAATAAACATACACTCCAATATCTGGTGTTCCTTTTTCATTAAGCAATCTAGTATACATGTTTTCCCAAAGGTAATGAAACACATTTTAAAAATCCAGCTAGACTCCTGTAGTCATGTTCTAGTCTTTTTTATTCTTTTCTTTTCTTTTTTTTTGTAGAGACAGGGTCTCGCCATTTTGCCAGGGCTGGTCTTGAACTCCCGGGCTCAGGTGATCCTCCCATCTCGGCCTCCCAAAGTGCTGGGATCACAGGCGTGAACCACTGTGCCCGACCCTATTCTTATTTTCAGTGGATCAGAGCTCTCCTGTACATTGCTGCTCATTATGGAAACAAGAAAGAGAAAACAGAAAAACATTTTCCCAAGTGAAGTTAGTGTTCTACCTAAAAATGAATTAACAAGTTCATAACGTTGTGTGTGTGTGTGTGGGTGTGTGTGCACTAAATTCATGGTCGTCTTTTCTCTCACATGTTTTAACAGTTAACTTCAAACATCTGGCACTTCAGAAAGTTAATTCTTTTAGTAATAAGTACACTTTCTGTCTGTTTACTTCAATAGAGCATATTTTTTGTTGCTTTAAAAATTATAGCCCTGGAGGCTCTACTCTGTCCAAAAAATACATTACATTCTGGAGGAGGGAGGGAAGGAGGCACACCATATGTCTATGGCAAGAGAAGCAAACTGGTGACCCACAGATCGAATCTGCCCCATAGGTGTGTTTTGTTTGGCTTGAAGAGTATTTTAAATGAGTTTGAATCAGAGTACCTTCAGGGAAAGTTTCCCAGTGTCCCCAATTCCTCCCCTGACCCCCACCTTGCTGTCTGGCTAGTTTCACTTCGTACTGTTATTTGACTGACCTTGTAGACTTTTGAACTTGTGAGTCCAACCTACAAAGTGGTGATATTCTCCAGTCCTCTCTGTGACCCAGAAAAGAAGACTGGACATCACACGTGCAGCTTCTTAAACAACAGCAAGAGCTTAGACCCATGGGTGATGGCAGCAGCTAACCAGGACGGAGCACTCTTACTTTCTGCCATGGGCAGATTTCAGCATTGGAAACCTACCTTCTTTACCTAGAATTTCAGGTGGCTGGGGTAACTGTGCCACTTGAATTTCACATCCTTGATGCTGACTTTTGACAAATATGCTAATCAGATTAAATACAAACTCCTGATGAAGGGAACCAAATCAAAGCAGTAAAAACATGCAGAAGGAAGAACAAACAGGACAACTGTCACCTTGGCCATTCCTACGGAGCTTGCATTCAATTCCGGGATGCCCTGATTAGTCTTATCTCCACGCTCCCACATTCCATAATCCTGGGGGAGAAAAAGGTGGGAATCAGAGGGGAGAAAGAGGTATATAAGAAGTGCTATGGGAAAAATGCTTCCTTTATGTTCCTGCAGCCACACTGAAACATAAGTGGATCTTCTCGGAGGCTTTGTAGACTCATACTGTGCTCTTCCTCAATTTCAGTTCATGCGACCTCTGTGCAGAATTTTAGAAGAAAATATTCAAGTGGGACAAAAGTGCATGCCACAACACTCTCAAATTTCTTATTTCTTATTTCTAGAAGGTATTCATTTGTAAGAAACTCTGGATGTATGGAGAACAAAATATTTTATCTTCTTAAGATTGAATAAAATGCTGCCTCTCTAGTCAATGCCTTTGAACTTATATTATGTTGTAAAATGGAAGACAGAAACTTTAGCACATGGGTCATAACTAGTCAAAGCCAGCAAAAGCATTTAAAATAATTTAGTACTTATTTTTAGCATTACCTCTTGGGGAAAAAATGCTCAGCAAGTAACTGGAGCCAAAGTCACAACTGAGACACAGAACACTGAACCTACGTGGTATTTACAAACCGATTACTAGGGATTGGCTCACAATGCTGGCACCCAGAGGACTTGATACATGTGTACCTAATGTATAATTCATATTTTCATTAAAAAATCCACATATGGGATGCTGTTTTAAACAATTCTATGTGTACTACTGAAAGCTGACCACCCAACACACACAAGACTGATGCCAACATTTCAATCTTTATTTTTTATCTCCAAAAAAGAATATTTTCTTTTTTTCTTTTTTTTTATTTTTATTTTTTGAGATGGAGTCTGGCTTAGTTGCTCAGGAGTGCAGTGGCGCGATCTCAGCTCACTGCAACCTCCACCTCCCAGGTTCAAGCAATTCTCCTGCCTCAGCCTCCCGAGTAGCTGGGATTACAGGCGCACACCACCACACCCAGGTAATTTTTGTATTTTTAGTAAAGACAGAGTTTCACCATATTGGTCAGGCTGGTCTCAAACTCCTGACCTCAGGTGATCCACCTGTCCCAGCCTCCCAAAGTGCTGGGATTACAGGTATGAGCCACCGCGCCTGGCCAGAACATTTTCAAAATATAGAGATTGAGACTCGGGCATCCTAGAGCAACTTCCCTGCTGAGCGTGCCTGGTGACTGAGCCTGGGCTTCTTCCCTTGAGCACTCTTCTCATCTGCGCCTTCCTGCAGCCCAACCCACCTTTCCTCCAACCCCGGCACTGGGTGATTCATCCTCAAAAACTGCTTTGATTGCTGCTTCCCCTTGTTTCAGGGTCTAAAATGACAAGTGGTGTATTTCCTAGTGGATCACATTCACATCTCTCTCTCTGAATGGCCATATGCCCCATGATTTGGCCTCCTTAGACACACCCACAAGCTGAGAGTGGAACATAAGATCCACTTATGTTCTACTCTTTTCCAATGTCAGCTTTCCTCCTAAATCTACTCCTTTCCTCTGTACCCTTTTCCTCAAGCACCCCCTAGCCCACCCAGCCACACTCAGAGCCTGTTCCTGCCTCTGGGACTGCACAAGCTATTCCTGCACCCAAACTCCCTATCTCCTCCCTTCTGCTGATCTAGACTCTGCTCAGCTTCCAAGGTCCAACTCAATGCCCACCCTTTCCACAAAGACTTCTCAAGTTTCTTCAGACCAGGGTTTGTCAACTTCAGCACTATTCCATTTCGAGCCAGGTAATCTGAGTCATTGGGGTGGGGGGAGGGGGGCCTGTGCATTGTAGGATGTCTAGCAGCAGTCCTAGTCTTGGCTCACTAGATGCCACGAACACCTACTGACCAGGTGCGACAACCAAAAATGTCTCCAGACATCGCCAAATGTCTCCTGGGAGGGCAAGATTGCCTCTCGTTGGGAATCACTGCTTTAGACCTGGGGTCAGGGAACTCCACCCAGTCTTTGGAACAAATCTAGTTTCCCACCTATTTTTGCAAAGTCTATCTGGGACAGAGCCATGCTCATTTATTTACGTGTTGTCTATGGCTGCTTTCATGCTACAAAGGCAGAGCCAAGTAGCTGCGACAGAGACCCTAGGGCCTGTAAAGCCGACCATATTTACTCTCTGGCCCTTTACAGAAAACCTTTGCTGACCTTCCTTTAGACCATAGTGGCTTTTTTAAAACCAGCCTTTACCTTTTCCCTCCTTCCCTGAGAGCTTTACACACTGGGGTTGTTGTGTAAAGGTGCCTCAGGCTTTGCCTTCCAAACCAGACAGAAGCTCGGAGGAAAGGGGGTTTATACACATTTATACTCAGCAAATCTGGCCCAGGCTGGGGCTCTGCCTGGCTCAAGCCCCTCTACCTGTGGCCTGGTTGGGGCGACGCTCATGGCATCCCAGCTCCCACCAAGGTGCTAATGCTGCTACCTCTTTAGCCCCAACTCAAGCCAGCACATATGCATCCCGTAGGACATGTTAGGATCTTATTTCAAACAAGCATAATGGGAACTACCATTTAATCCAGCAATCCCACTCCTGGGTAACTACCCAGAGGAAAAGAAGTCATTAGACAAAAAAGACACTTGCACATGCATGTTTATAGCAGCACAATTCACAACTGTAAAAACATGGGACCAACCAAAGGCCCATCAGTCAACGAGTAGATAAAGAAGCTGTGGTATATATATGATGGAATACTACTCAGCCATAAAAAGGAATGGATTAATGGCATTTGCAGCGACCTGGATGAGACTGGAGACTGTTATTCTAAGTGAAGTAACTCAGGAATGGAAAACCAAAGATCATATGTTCTCACTCCTAAGTGGGAGCTAAGCTATGAGGATGCAAAGGGATAAGAATGACACAGCGGACTGTGGGGACTCAGGGGGAAAGTGTGGGAAGCGGGAGAGGAATAAAAGACTACAAATAGGGTGCAGCGTATACTGCCCGGGTGATGGGTGCACCAAAATCTCACAAATCACCACTAAAGGACTTTAATGTAACCAAACAGCACCTGTTCCCCAATAACCTATGGAAATAAAAAAATTAAAAATAAAATAAAATAAAACAAGCATAATGGGCCAGGAGTGGTGGCTCACGCCTATAATCCCAGCACTTTGGGAGGCCGAGGCAGGAGGATCACCTGAGGTCAGGAGTTTGAGACCAGCCTGGCCAACATGGTGAAACCCCGTTTCTATTAAAAATACAAACATTAGCGGGGAGTGGTGGCAGGCACCTGTAATCCCAGCTAATCAGGAGGCTGAGACAGGAGAATCACTGGAACCTGGGAGGCAGAGGCTGCAGTGAGCTGAGATCATGCCACTGTACACCAGCCAGGGTGACAGAGCGAGACTCTGTTTAAAAATAAATAAATAAACAAAATAAATAAAAAAATATAACAAGCATAATGGATTCAGACAGAGCACAGAGTACATTCCAAAAACCTGAAACCCCCAACTCTATTCCAGGACAAAAATATGCAGTTTGTGTGTGGAGGTGACACAATCTCATAGCGCTAGTCTCGCTAACCTTTTGGTGAGCCCCAAACAGCCTGGCCCTCAAAACACTGTATGATTTTTATTCTTTTTGTTGACTGGAACATCTGAAAAGACTACCAGGGTTGATACTTACAGCGACTTTATATGCAGCTTCTATGTAAAAGACAAGATTCTGTATGAAGGCCACCTCATCGAGAGTGAAAATGATACGTAAGCCTAGCAAAGAAAAACAATGAGGTTATGAAGCCATGTTGCAGAGAGCTGCCAGTCACAAATTACAAATATCACACTAGGAAATAAACCCTTTTACCCTCATTTTCATTTTTCTTCCAAAGGCATCAAAAATGAAGTCTTAAGTAAGGCATAACAGTGAGTGTCTAATCTCCGAAAAGAGGGAAGGAAGGAGGGAAGGAAGGAAAATAAGGAGAAGGAAAGGAAGGGCTCCACTTTCCTGTGTGTGCCTATGAGTAGAAAGGGATGAGAGAGATTTGGGACCTCTGGTACAGGTTGGATTGATGCGGGGAAGGTTCCAACAGAGCAAGGATTTTAGTCCAGAAGAACCAGAGACACTGTCTCTATCTTTGAGAGAGCCAAAGAGAAGGGTGAATACTTTTCCCAGTGGGAGACAGGGAGTCCCCAGCTCCAGGAGCTGGCCTTCCACCCTGCAGAAAAATATAGTCAGTTATAACAAATACAGGTATTTTTAAAGTATGAATTCTGGAAGCTGCTATGGATATGATAGGAAATGGACTCTTACATCAATGAGGGCAGCTTAACTAGTAAGCCAGATTAGAATTTCAATCAGAACTAAGTTTAACTAGAAACTGAAAACAATTTGGCAATATATATGAGTTGCCTTTGAGTGATATCTAACTCTCAGAAGGAAGTAAATGAAGATGGGGTCAAAGTTGGTATTGCAACATTAGTTATAGTAGCAAAATAAAAGAAGGAAGGAATAGTTAAATTAATTATGGTATACCCACTGATAAACTCACTAAAATAATGTTTATGAAGAGCTTGTTATATCACGGGAGAAGTGCTTGTTATAACGCTACGTAATAAAAAGACTATGTTTATGTGTACAATGTGACCTTAAACATGTAAAAAATGCACAGGAAAAAAGACTTGGAGAAGATGCAGCCAAATGAAAGTTGGCAGTGGAATTTTTTTCTTTGTATTCTGTTATATTTTCCAAAATATCTACAGTGAGCTCATATTAACTTTCATAGCCAAAACGTAACTTCATAAATGTGTGATTTATTCACACAGCCATAACAATACTGCTTACTGATTTCTGGGATTTTGAGAGTTTCACACTTGCAGTCTGCAATGAATGGGAGGCCTCAGACACATCAGTTGACTGGACTGGTAGGTGATAAGAACTCCCAGACATAGCCGTTAAGTGCCCTAACCTGGGGGAGCATCTGTGGCACATGCCATTGTGAGAGAGAGACCACCTGGTGTGAGACCCTAGTGGGAAAGAGAGAGGCCTGGCGTCCAGGCTGCCACAGAGGCCAGCGGCTCTGGCTTCAATGGGAACAAGGCACACCGCCGACAAACTGTGAGCCTACTCAGCCCGCTGAGTAGCGGGCTGCTCAGCCCGCTCTGGGCACACTGCTGAGTGGCAGAAATGGTGGTGCTCAAATATAATTTGGAAAAGTGAGGGTGTGTCTAGAAGAGGGTGACCAGGGTAGTGAGTGGGAGAGCTGAAAGGACAGGGCTGCTGATCCTGGAGGAGAAAAGTCTAAGAGCAGGGGTGAGATGGTCTGCAGACAGCTAAGTGTCAAAGTTAGACCAGACCTAGGTGGCTCCAGGAACTAGGAGAGAGTGACAGTAAAGGGGTTCTGTGTTCAACAGAGGGAAGCTAAGAGAGCCAGCTCAACGGCCTTTACCCTGCTGGTGCCCAGGTGGAGGGTGACTGTCCTCTCTGCAGGTTACAGGCAGGGTCCCTGCACTCCCTGCCCTATTGCAGAAACAAATGCACAGAATATGGAGAAGCATGCTTTTCTTTTGTGTAAACTGCTGATTTATAATACTGATTGCTACGGTTTGAATGTGTCCCCTCCAAAATTGAGGTGTGGCCAATGTGATGGTATTAAGAGGTGGGGCCATAAGAGGCGATTAGGCCCTGAGGACTCCTCCCATCCTACATATCCTACATGGGATGAAGGCTCTTACAAAACACACTTCGTGGAGCCTCTGGCTCTCTTGCCCTTCTGGTCTCCCCCATGGGAGGGCACAGCAGTCCTCCTCTTTGGAGGATGGAGCCCTTACTGGACAACTGAGCCTGGTAGTGCCTTGGTCATGGACTTCCCAGCCTCCAGAACTGCGAGAAAAAGCATTTCGGTTCTGTATAAATGGCCTTGTCTGAGGTATTTTATTAAAGCAGTGAAGCAGCACATGGCCTGACACACTGGCCGCTACCTGTCCTCCTCCCACCCCTTTTCCGGATTGTCACTCCTTATACAATGGGCTCCAGCAACCCCAGCTCACCTGAGGCGGTCATCTGGGCCAGGAACAGGAGGAAGAGAGAGGTGGCATCCACCTGGAGGTGGCCCCACTGGTCGTCGCCCACCACCGTGCCACAGGTGGCGGTGTTGTACTTGGCGTGCAGGCTGTCCTTGGTGCTCTGAGTGTGTTTGAACTTCTCCACTTTGGCCACCTGAGGGAGAAGGCAAGCCCGCTCTGCATAGTTATGGGGGTTCATGGCTGGCAGAGATCACGGCCATGGCCAGCCACCTGGATCTAGAGCTCTTATCTGCTACTTCTGGGAGCCAGAGGGATGGAAGGCAGCTGCTAGGCAGCACCGCACAGAGGGACTGTGCTGGGGATTCTTTTCGCCCACTTGCCTAAAATGTCCCAGCCTGGGGGGAGTCTCATCTGCAGGAGTGACGGGTCATGACAAAGGGTGTCCTTGTCTACATATCCCCAGCTGTGACACACGGTAGATACTCAAGGAGAGATGGAGGGAGGGAAGAAGGGAGAAAAGGAGGGGAGGAAAGGAACCTGTTTAAATTTCAATTTCTTGTTTCTTAATGTTGAAAGGAAAAGAGCAACTATGTCTTTTCTTGCGCTGACTGAGAGTGAGGACTGTTTTGTCTTCGTCTTTGAATTTGTGCAGATCCTAGTATAATGTTCTGTGTGCAGTACATGCTCAATGAATTGTTTTATTTACCCCTCACTGAAAATACCACTAAACAATAATATCAAGTTTTTAAAACTCAAGCATTTCATCTCAATGAAAATATACCCTTTTACAAACATGATGGAATAAACAATAATATATGGCTTTCTAGACGTGGCTTTTAAAAAAAAATGTTTTCTTCTCCATTAAAAAAAAAGCATGTTTCTCCTTTTATCCATGTACCTCTTCAAAAGAGATTCTCAGAAACTGTCCTTTGAGACTGTGATACAATAGTAAAGTTACTGAAAATAATTTTAAAAAGAGAAGGTAGCTGGGCATGGTAACTCCTCACACCTGTAATCCGAGCACTTTGGGAGGCCAAGGTGGGAGGATCACTTGCGCCCAGGTGTTCAAGACCAGCCTGGGCAACATAGTGAGATATTGTATCTACAAAAAAAAAAAAAAAAAAAAAAAGGCCAGGTGAATGGTACACACCTCAGGTGGGAGAACCACTTGAGCCCAGGAGTTTGAGGTTGCAGTGAGCCATGATCGCACCACTGCACTCAGCCTGAGTGACAGTGTGAGACCCTGTCTCAAAAAAAAAAAAAAAAAAAAAAGAGAGAGAGAAAGTAAGCAAAATATTTTCAATTTCTCTTCCTCTTGAGAAGAAAAGTACAAAACGTCTTAAGCATGTTAACTGTCACAATTACAATGACATGGAATGCCCACTTGGCAAACACGTGTGTGGGTTCTGCCTACCTGTCTCATCATGCACTGGAGAAGACCTCGCATCAGCTTCACCACGTTCTGTGGAGATAAAGCAGAATCAGCAACACGGCCCAGGGTCCTTGCTGCAGGAAAATCACCTCCTGATCACTGTGGCTGGCAAGCCAGTGCTGCCCAGCAACTGCCCTGGAAAGGCCAGTCCCGAGCCTACGTGAGTGTTCTGATGGTTCATGTCCTCTCCACTCCATCATAAAGAAAGAAAAATCTCGACAAAGTGACTTATCTCAAATAAAGGGGTTGGATCAGATGATATCTGCCACCTCTGAAATTCAGTGACTCCTCGTTGACATCTTAGCAACACAATTTCTGTAAGTGTAGTACTCTGGAGCTTTATGTCACATTTCTTGGTAATTTATTTTTCTTACACTAAGTCCACCACGCCTGCCCAAAAGTAATGTTTGCCAACATGGCCATTTGTGAAACCATCACTGAATTACCGAGTAAAGCTCTAACAAAATGCAAGTGACAGCCAAGGTTTCTGAATAATAGGATTTATTGTAACCAATTACTAGTCTTATTATCCTCATTATAAATAACAACAATAATGCTACGTTAATACATGAGACACCATGTCACAGACGATCCACTGACCGTGAGGCCATCGAAGAATGTCTGAATCAAAGATAAATCCCAAGGGCTCTCATGCCAAGAGAATGATTTTTATATTTCAGTGCTCTCTACTTCAATGCTACCACTCAAAACACTTGGAAAATACCTCCTGTGTTCAGGGACAGATTATTTTGTTACAAACTCAGTGATGGCAAATCTTTGGTAGGTATCTTGGTTCTGGATTTTGGAAAACAATAAAAGGACTTCATTGTCCTGTATGGTGAATAATATAGGCCCCCAAATTGGATAACACCAATTTGGTTCAAAATTAAAGGGTGACCATAAATTAATAAGATTGCTTTCCTGGAATGGTTCAAATTAGAAACGTATTTTTAAGGGAAGTTTCAAAAATATTTTAAGCAGTGGCAATAATGTTTGGATAAATATCCTTCCAGTGTGACTACTCTGAAGAGTACATGCTTTGGAATGTGAAGCTGTGGTGAGGTGACTTTTAAAAAACATATCAGTTTATGATGATGTCTTGTGTATAAATATGTACAAAATGGATAAAGTACGTGTGAAAGAAATGTAACTAATTATACAAATTGACACTTTGGGGTTAGAAATGTGGATGCAGCCAGGTGCGGTGGCTCAGGCCTGCAATTCCAGCACTTTGGGAGGCTGAGGTGGGCGGATCACTTGAGGCCAGGAGTTCGAAACCAGCCTGGCCAACACGGTAAAACCCTGTCTCTACTAAAAATACAAAATTAGCTGCGCGTGGTGGCAGTCGCCTGTAATCCCAGCTACTCGGGAGGCTGAGGCAGGACAATCACTTGAAACCGGGAGGCGGAGGTTGCAGTGAGCTGAGATCGCGCCACTGCACCCCAGCCTGGGTGACAGAGTGAGACTCCATCTCAAAAAAAAAAGAAATGTGGTTGCTTTCATTTTCTATTTGGTGTGATTTTGGATGTTGTCATTGTTTTATGTGGGAATCTCCAAACTCAAACAGAAAGACCAATGTGAGGTTGAGATAATCTAAGTACCTCCCCAAAATATTCTATAGCAGAAATAGAGGAGAGGCCTACACCCAAACAGTTCTGCACACACAGCTACTTCTCTGTGGGTTTTTCAGTTCAAGGAGAAGGTGGCTGAGCAGCCGAGATACAGCTGTCAGTCACTATTACCTGCTCCAGCTCGTAGGCCTTGGCCTTGTCCTCATCGCGGTCTGCATTCTTACGGTAGGCCATGCCCAGGCCCCACACGGCCAGGATACTGTAGATGTTATCCCGCACCCAGGCATCCTTCTGCTCATGGCTGGCTGACAGCAGCCCCGTGACGGGATTCTATTAGAGAAGAGACACAAAATGGCTCAGTGCCATCCTTCATGCAGTCCCTGGGTAACAGATGCTTGTCCTAACAGGGTAGATGAGGACCGGGACCTGGAGCAGGGAGACCAAAGTTCCAGTCCTTGCTCTGCCCCTAACAGTGTGATCTTGGGTGAGACATCACATGCCTTCTCAGCACCTTAGTTTCCTCACTTGTATAATGAGGATATGTGACTAGAAAATCTCTCAGAAACATTCCAGCTCTTATGTTCTTTTGCTTTCAGACGAGACCACACTGTTGTAAGTGGTAAAACAGAAGAAACAGCAAACAGGAAAAGACTGCAAGGCTTTCACAAAGCTGCATATTGCAGACCTTAGGTCTTCTTCAGTCTTCATGTGTCCGCACTAATAGGTAAAGCATTGAACCTGTGAGCAAGAAACCTGGAGGCAGGGCCCCACTCCGCTCTCTAGCTGTGTGTGCCCAGGGAAGCCACTTTCCCTCTCTGGGCAATCCAGATACTTCATGTGCCTAAACAGAAGGTGCCAAGCAAGAGGACATCTGGGAGTCCTATTTAGCTATGATATCACGGGTATTTAAAAGGGCAACTGAGTCACTAAAAAGCCAGACCTTGCCACAAAAAATTATACACAAATGTTCATAGCAGCATTATTCACAAAAGCCAAAAAGTGGAAATAAGCCAAATACTCATCAACTGATAAATGGATAAACGAAATGCGGTCTATACAAACAATGAAACATTATTTGGCAGAAAAAGGAAGTATGGATGCATGCTACAACAGGGATGGACCTTGAAGACATCACCCTAAGTGAAAGAAGCCAGATGCCAAAGGCTACATAGTGTGTGATTCCATTTGTATGAAAAGTCTAGAAAAAGCAACGCTATAGAGACATAAAGTAGATTAGTGGTTGACTGGGCTGGGAGTAGAGGTAGAATCTGGAAGTCAGTGGCTGCTAGTAGTTTTTTTTTTTTTTTTTTGGTGATGAAAATGCTCGAAAATTGATTGTGGTGATGAATGCACAAATCTGTGAATATACTAAAAACCATCCAGTTGTACAGCTTAAATAGGTGAATTGTATGGTAAGTAAATAAAGCTATTAATTTTTTAAAAGCCAGTCCTAATAAACTCTGCCTAGAAATCAGATTAAAGAGTCACATAATGATAAAGCCTCTGTTGACATTTCCTGAAAATTTGTACATATCTAATAAAATGTATCATAACAATCAGAACCTTGTAAGCTTAAAAAAATTACATTACTGTAAAGGGCACCATATTATTTACAAGAGAGCTCATGAAAAAACTGCACTGGGTACTTTCATAGTGATACTGCCAATATTAAGTAAAAAACACTGGCATGGTTTCACATGTTCCCACCTAAGGAATTAAATATTTGACTTTCTCCTCTAACAAATCTATGCCCTCTATCAAAACATTTAAAACTCAACTGATATTACCCACAGGGGCAATGGCATTCTATATATTGACATGGTTCTACGGCCAACAACTATGAATCACTGATGTTAAAGTCAACCAGAATTGAAACCTAGGAATGACTGAAAGTACAAATCTTATTCCAATAGTGGACTACTGGTATTCTTTTTAAATAACGTATAACATAAGCATTTTGGCTGGGTACGGTGGCTCACGCCTGTAATCTAAGCACTTTGGGAGGCTGAGGCGTGTGGATCACTTGAGGACAGGAGTTCGAGACTAGCCTGGCCAACATGGTGAAACCCCATCTCTACTAAAAATACAAAAATTAGCTGGGTGTGGTGGTGCGCGCCTATAGTCCCAGCTACTTGGGAGGCTGAGACAGGAGAATCACTTGAACCCAGGAGGCAGAGATTGCAGTGAGCCAAGATTGTGCCACTGCACTCCAGCCTGGGTGACAGAGTGAGAGTTTGTCTCAAAAACAACAACAACGACATAAGCATCTTTATCTGTTCTGAGGTCTGTTGGGTAAGCCGGGGACAGGGAAACATCAGGAGACCCAGAGTAAGAACTCAACCCATTCCTTGTGTGCCCACCAACCATGAGTCTACTAAAACAAACAACCTTCTGGTGACACAGCAGTGATCGCTTACACATAGTGACAAGTGTGGTTTGGATTATGAAATATCCCTGTCCTGTTAACTGAAAGTCATCTATCTTACTCTTTAGACACGCTTAACTGTTGGAGTAGATTAGTTCATCCTCACCCAAAGCTATACTGTCTGTCCCCCTCATTCAACTACAGAGAAGCAGTCTGAATGTTTCAGGGGATTCTCATATTCAGAACCATACACATACATGCCGTGTAAAATTAGGGTGTTACTGCACTCAGCAATAGGAATATTTACTTTTTGACTTGCTTCTCTTGTTAAGTCTATAAAAACCAGTGCATTGTGTTGGAAGAAGATGGGGGTGGTTCCATTTTGATGTGATTCATAAAAACTGAAATGACCACAGATTGGCAGATACTCTGCCACTTCTGCTCTGCTGTCCTTTTTTTCTTTCTTTTTTTTGAGACGGAGTCTCACTCTTCTCACCCAGGCTGGAGTGCAATGGCGTGATCTCAGCTCACTGCAACCTCTGCCTCCTGGGTTCAAGCAATTCTCCTGCCACAGCCTCCCAAGTAGCTGGGATTACAGATGCCTGCCACCACACCCAGCTAATTTTCTGTATTTTTAGTAGAGACGGAGTTTCACCATGTTAGTCAGGCTGGTCTTGTGCTCCTGACCTCAGGTGATTTTCCGGCCTTGGCCTCCCAAAGTGCTGGGATTACAGGCAAGAGCCACCGCACCCAGCCACTGCTTTCCCTTCTAATAGGGATGACCCAGTGGTTTTGTCTTTGAGTCATTCCCTTGCCTGGAGATGGACTATGCTGCCATATCTGTACTCTCACTTACTGATGCTTATGAACCACCTGAACAGGTCCATCTCTTTGGAGCTCTGGAGTCTTTACTTTAAGTATGGCAATGGAGGAGGGAGAAAAAGGCTGCCCTGTCTGATGCCATTCTGCAAGCTAAACATAAACACAGGCAAATGCAGACCACAGGAGGATGGTGGGGAGATTGGTCCAAGCCAAGCCTATGGTTTCAGATGTGATCATTTTAACCATATGTTGCTTTCCAATCTTTGAAAAACACTATTTAGCTATATCTGCACCCACACAGAGCATTGTAGAAATACGTAACCATAAGCAGATAGATGTATCTTTTTCAGTTGTCTTTCTTCCTTCTCTTTTTTGCTTGGTTCCCTCCTCCCCTCATGTCAGCAATTCCACACACTCCATATAACAGCCTCATATATACATTTTTTCCTATGTGTTACTAAAACCAGATTATATATATATATATATATATAATTGTACCCCTTAAACAGGTGAAGTATATATACATATATATAATTATATATAAATTCCTGTTCATGCACAGGTTTTCTTTTTGAAGGTGGGGGTCACTGTTGTTTTGTTTTCTTTTGAGATGGAGTTTCGCTCTTGTCACCCAGGTTGGAGTGCAATGGTGTGATCTCGACTCACTGCAACCTCTGCCTCCCGGGTTCAAGCAATTCTCCTGCCTCAGCCTCCAGAGTAGCTCGGATTACAGGTGCATGACACCATGCATGGCTAATTTTTGCATTTTTAGTAGAGACAGGGTTTCATCATGTTGGTCAGGCTGGTCTCGAACTCCTGACCTCAGGTGATCTGCCCACCTCGGCCTCCCAAACTGCTAGGATTACAGGCGTGAGCCACCGTGCCCGGCCAGGGTCACTGTTTTTAACGAGCGGGATGGTGGGATCATATGATACACACTGCTGCACCCTGCATTTCTCTTTCAACAGGACCTATGAGGTCCCTCCATGTCATCTGGCATAATTCAAATTCATGAGTTTTAGAGGCTGCATCATATTCCATAGAAGATACCTGTAATAATGGGTATTCATTTGTTTTCTGGGATTTTTTTTTAAATTTGGCAATACAAGGACTATAATAAATATCCTTATATATTCAACAGTGCTTTTATTTCCATGGAATAGAATCCCAAAAATGGGACTGCTGGGTTGGCATATTATATGTGTATACACTTTAAATTTTCATAACTATTCGCTATCTCTGCCATAAGTTATCAATAGTTTTAATTTTTTGTCAGTCTGATGGATGTAAAGTGATATCTCATCACCATTTTTATTTTTAAAATTTTTATTTCCCTGACTACCAGTGAATTTAACCATCCAGTCATTCTTGTCTGGGAGGGAGGGCGGGCCACTGGATTTGCTCTTCTGTGAGCTGATTAAGTTTCAGTTTCTTTTGTGTGTGTGTGTGTGCGTGTGTGTGATGGAGTCTCACTCTGTCACCCAGGCTGGAGTGCAGTGGTGCAATCTCGGCTCACTGAAACCTCTGTCTCGGGGATTCAAGCGATTCTCCTGCCTCAGTCACTCGAGTAGCTGGGATTACAGGCACATGCCACCACACCCAGCTAATTTTTGTACTTTTAGTAGAGACAGGGTTTTCCCATGTTGGTCAGGCTGGTCTTGAACTCCTGACCTCAAGTGATCCACCCGACTTGGCCTCCCAAAGTGCTGGGATTATAGGCATGAGCCACCACACCTGGCCTAGTTTCTTTTTAACCAGGTACTATTTCACCATTTCTACCTACAAAGAAAGACAACCTTCCATGTATTGTGTTTAAGAGCAGGCTAGAATCAAACTGCCGTGTTCAAAGCTCTCCTATCATCCAGCTGTGACCTTGAGCAAATGACTTCGGTGTCCACCTGTCAGATGGGGATTATAACAATGTGTACACCTCATAGGGTTATTTGTGAAGATTAAATGAATTAATTCGTATCAAGCTTTTTGGACTCTGTCTGGCACACATAACTGCTCAATAATTGCGATGTTTAATATTATTCACCTGTTTGAACGGCTTTCATTAGCATTATTTCTTCTTCATATAATTACAATAATTTCAGGAAGTCAGATGATGTAGCTAGGGGAGGAATCTGCAAGTGAGTTCGATGTAACCATCATTTTTACTAGAAAAAAACACCAAAGTTTGGGGTGCCCTCTTTTATCATTACTATAAACATTACTGGTGAAGATATTTTATCACATTGACATTTTTGAAACAAAAAACCTGGCCACTCTGTCCTCTCCACACCCAGGTCTTGCCTTTCCCCTTCAAGTTTAGCCTTGAATTTTGCTCATTCATATAAATTTTCTCTGTTTACTTTGCTAAACTCTCTGTATACTTTGCCTGAAAAAAATCATGACTAAATTAATATCAGGGGCAAATTCTGTAATAATATCCACTCTCCCACTCTCCCACCTATATCAGGTGACCTGATGTAGAGTCATGAAGGACAGGAAATGGGGCAGATCTCTAGATATGGCAACTCAGAGGATAGCTAAGAATCATAAGCAGTAGGTATTACAAGCCGGTCTTAGTGGAGATAGCCTGAACCTGCACTGACAGTTAGCATCCCTGCCTCAGAAGAACCTGCCAATGATATCCTTAAACTCTATGAGAAGGGGCCACAGAGACAGAGGAGCCTAATAGAAACTGAGTTTCATCAAAAGCAAGGGGCCAAGAGCTGAACAGCTTGTCCTTTATCTCCAGCCACTTGTTCACCTCTCTTACCTTCTCCACCTCTTCTGGGTTTCTAATGTAGGAAAAGTGCCCTTGTTGGCTCCTGTTGATGAAAAATAAAGGGCAGGCCCCTACGACCTAGAATGGATTGGGCCCAGAGCTTGGCCCCTATGGTCTGGTAACAAACAACATTAACATCTCAGTGGCTTATTACAACAAACGTTTGCTTCTTGTCCATGCCTTGTGTCCACCCCTGGCCGGCTGTGGTTCTGCTCTGTGTTATCTTCCCTCTAGAAACCAGGCTACTCAAGCAACTTGTATCTAAAGCACTGACTGTTATGATGCCATTCTCATATTTGCTATAAGGAAATATCTGAGACTGGGTAATTTATAAGAAAAGAGGTTTAGTTGGCTCATGGTTCTGTGGGCTGTACAGGAAGCATGGGGCATCTGCTTCTGGGGAGGTCTCAGGGAGCTTTTATTCATGGTGGAAGGCAAAACGGAAGCAGGCACTTCACATGGTGAGAGCAGAAGCAAGAGGGAGATGGGGGAGGTGCCACATACTTTTAAACTACCAAATCT
This sequence comes from Homo sapiens, assembly GCF_000001405.40. Classification (NCBI taxonomy): domain Eukaryota; kingdom Metazoa; phylum Chordata; class Mammalia; order Primates; family Hominidae; genus Homo; species Homo sapiens. The sequence goes on from NC_000023.11 coordinate 18,960,565, forward strand.
CGGGAGAACTCACTATTGCAAGGATGGCACCAAGGGGTGCTAAACCATTTCTCACAAATACTAAACCATTCATAAGAAATCCATCTGCATGATCCAATCACCTCCCACCAGGCTCCACCTCCAAAACTGGGGATTACATTTCAACATGAGATTTTGTCAGGGACAAACATCCAAACTATATCACTGCCCATTCTGTGCACAGGAGAAGAAAGACACAGCGAACCATGAGGGTCAGTTCATCATGAAGATAAAACAATCTTAGACGTGTATGAACCTAACAAGAGGTAAAGGAATAAACACATAGATGGACAGAACAGAACAGAGTCTAGAAATAGATCCACATGAATAGGGCAAACTGATTTTTGACAAAGATCTAAAGACAATCCAAGAAAGGACAGTCTTTTTAACAGTGTTGGGACAAGTGGACATACACATGCAAGAAAAAGAACCTCAATCTCAATTCCACAGCTGTAGACCAGTTTGAAGAATACTACCATCTCAACCATATTGAGTCTTCTGATCCATGGACATGGGATGTCTTTCTGGCACAATCTGAAACATGGTTTTCATACTACAAGATTCCTAAAGGCAAAGCCTATCTTTTTTGTTTACCACTCTAGCGCAAGGTCCTGGCCTAGTTAGGTACCTAATAAATAAATAAATGAATATATAATAAATCACTATATTTTTACTGATTTACAGTCTGAAATATCTTTTCAAAGGTATTTAAAAGTATAGACATTCTCTGTCTATATATATTTGTATTATACATAGCTAATACAAGTAAATTTACCACTTAAGAATGCTCATTTTGGCTGGGTGCAGTGGCTCACGCCTATAATCCCAGCACTTTGGGAGGCCGAGGCGGGTGGATCATGAGGTCAGGAGTTTGCGAACAGCCTGACCAACATGGTGAAACCCTGTCTCTACTAAAAATGCAAAAATTAGCCAGGCATGGTGGTGCGTGCCTGTAATCCCAGCTACTCAGGAGGCTGAGGCAGGATAATCACTTGAACCCGGGAGGCGGAGGTTGCAGTGAGCTGAGACGGTGCCACACTGCACTCCAGCCCGGGTAACAGCGCAAGACTCCATCTCAAAAAAAAAAAAAAAAAAAAAGCTCATTTTATTATTATGCATGTCCTTCTGTTCAGCCTTTCTTTAGGAAACTCAAAAGAAATAAATCAGATATACACAACATGAACCTTGAGAATGACTCAAGCAGAAGCTAAAGCCTCATTTTTGCTTTAAAAGTAGAAAAGTGGACAAAACCGGGGAGCTGCTTCAAGTACAGGAAATGGCTCATTGCTCAACTCAGAGCTGAGATGGGTCAAATAGAGAACAGTAATGTCACAGGACGGAGGTGAAGTTTAAGGAGGCAGAAGTTAGGGTAGTGAATTTCAGTGGGAGTCAGGGTGCAGTGGTGGAAGCTGACCAGAGAATACAGGATACATGACTCCCTAGGGTGGTGTGTGTGTAATTTAAAAACACAGATTCAACATTATAATTTTGTATTGTAAAATGAAAAACAAAAAACTAAAGTCTTCATCACATCAGCTTGAGAAACAACACTTAAACAATCTTCTTGACTGGTGGCAATACAAAGATGATGATTCTCCAAGCAAGCAGGGGATGGGTTAGATTTTAACAACAGAAGAAGGCAGAGATGTTGAAATAGTAACATACACTGCTCCTTTGTGGGTGCGTGCATGGGCATGGAGGGGCAGGTAAGGACTGCAAAATGGATGCTGAGCCAATACTGGAACAGCAGAATGCCAAGGACTTGGACAATAGATTGAAACAAACTAAACAGCATTCAACAAGGATTTGTACATTGGGCTCACATGTTTCATAAATTTTTGCTGAACTAATTTTATTAGCCATCACTCCCACATTTGAATTGACTCAGCTCCCTTTACACATACACCCCCACCCCTGGGATCCCAATAAATCTTTAAACAGAGCTTCTTCTCTCTGCCAAATCACCTTTCACACCAGCAGCCACTCTGTGACCCAGCCACAGCTTGCCCAACACTTAGGTACAAGAAAATTCATGAAGCCAGTCTACTAAACCCATCTTATACCACAGTCAAACAAACAAACAAACAAACAAAATTCAACTGGATGATACTGACTGCAAATTTTAACAGCACCCTACCAACAGTGTGAGTACCACGTACCAGAAAGCCAATGCTGTGTTAACAGAAGTATTGTTTTCGGAACAAGGGAAATAAGAGCCTCACCAAACGCCAGCCTGGCAGAGTACATCTGGTGTACTCTGTTACCACCAAACACCATGTTTTAAAAGAGACATTCACTACCTAGAGCATAGCCAGAGGAGGGTGATTAGGGCAATGAAAAAGCTAAAAGCCACATATCATGGGAAGGAGGAAGAACATAGGTGTTAAGGGGAGGCTTCAAAGAGCTGAAAGGTTGTCCTCTCCAAGAGGGATTCAATTTTTCCCTTTACTGAACTCTTCCGATTTCAACTCAGGGTGTCCCCTTGGGCCCTTCGTTTCGTCCCTGTCCTGATGGAAATGTTGTTGCTTCTGCCTGTCCAGCCCCTGTCTCCTCCCTTTCTAGTAGTGGCCTATAATTTCCCCTGCTCTGCCCAGTGTGGCTCTGGTGGGGCTTACTTTGGTCCTGGCCCAGCTGCAGGGAAGGATATGTGGTCCAGGCCTGGCCAATCTGGGCACGGTTGAGAGATGGGCAGACAACCCAAGTTGGACCACCTGAGAGCCACGCTAAGTCAGTCAGGACTTTCGCTGGAGCCACTACAGGAAAAGCTTGCTTTCTGTGGAGGCTGCCACTCTAGAAGACTATCACCTGCAGCTCCCAGGGATACCTCTGTCACTACCTGGGACAACCCTACCAGAGAATAAAGCCCACTCAGAGTCAAACAGGGCACTGTAAAGAGACATACCATATTTGATGACTTGAGCTCCTGGATCCAGACATGCCTGAATCTAGGCCAATCCCCTGGACTTTTCAGTTATTTGAGCAATAAATTCTCTCTTGTGCTTAAGGCTGTTTGAGGTGAGTTTCTGTCATTTACAACTGAAAGAATCCTGACAAATACAACCATGAATGCTTATATGGCCATGATGAACTAGACACCATAAAACATGTGTTTGGTGCTATTAAAGACATGGAAGAGTGAGGCAATACCAGGCAAAAGACATATGCCTGATGGTAGCAGCAAACTACTTATATCTAACAGTTTGCAATTCAATTTCTAGCTGGACGGCACAGAGATGAATGTTGTCATCTACCCACCAGAAATAACACAAAGTACCAATTCCCTTTTTCCCCTACCTGTGTCCCACAGGAAAATTGAAATAGCTCCTCACTGATCTCCTTGCTTCTGGTATTGGTTCCTTCCAATCCATCCTCCTGAAAGGGTGGTCACAGAAAGACCACCCTTTCTGTGTCTCTAGGTCACAGACCTAGAATTCGAAGATTTCTGCACTCCTCAGAATTCTCCAGTGCCTACAAGATAAAATCTAAATCCCTTTGATTGCCATCCAAGGCTCATGTGTTGGCTCTTCCCCTCACATCCAGCCTGATCACCTGATCACCTGACACTCCCTCCTCAGCCCCCAAGAAAACCTGAATTAGTGTTTCCTGCACACACACTGCTCTGGCACTTCCGGGCCTGTGCACACGCTTGCTCCTCCCTCTGCCTGTAAAGCTCTCCTGGCAAACTGTTCTCCTGTGGGAGCTCCCTCCTCTGCAAAGCCTTCCCTGATCTCCCAGGCCTTTGGTTCCCTTTCCTTCACTCCATGGGACAGAGGTCAGAGGCCTCAGACGAACCCTACCCTTGGTCTTTTTTCCTTTGGATTAAGAATCGCTAAGTGCATATCCCCACCTTGCTCAGTTTCGAGGGAAGAAAGTATAGTTCAATTATTCAAATAAAATACGCACAAGAGACCAGGATAAATGTTGAAAAGACATGATTTCTTACCACCACTCTCCATTGGTAAAGCAAAAAATAGAAAGTGAAAAATCCTGTTACAATAACGCCAACAACTGGTTAAATTCACTTGTACCAGAATTCTGTTCCAGCTACTGCCTTTTGAAATATTAAAGAGGAGTGGGGAAGAGCAATGCTTTACACCTGAGATGTGTTCTAAAGGAGGAATTATAATAGCATTTATTTTAAAATGATTGCATCTACAATTGAGACTACTGATTGTATAAGTAACAGTTTCTTTTTAAGTTAGTTTAAAAGATAGATTTTGTACAATTTGGTAGGTAAACCTCAGGTGGCTTGGAGAATAATCTTTAAACCATAAGCTCTAATATGCCTCATGCTTTACTTAAAGGGATCACAGGTGTGCAATTCTCACTTTCAAATAATGTATTTTTGTCTAAATTGCTGCTTATTCGATTCTCCCCTCTGGGTTTACAAACAATGCACAAGCTGCAAGCTGTCCTGGTCCGAGGTATTTGCACCATCTGACATGATGAATGATGGCCTATAGGGAAATAAACTGGGTTAGAAGCCAAGCATTGCAGGCATCCACTTGGTGCAGCTTCGTTCCAGATCCCCACGCTCATCTTAAAACTTTCGAAACTCACACAAACCGCTCTGGGCTCTTTAGCTACAATCAAACGTGTAAACGACTTTACCACTCTCCTAGGAGACTTTAATTCTTTGCCTCTCTCACTAATTCGTGTAGTAAGGAGGGAGGATTACTGAGATGTAAGTCCTGAGCCTGGTGTTGTGGAAACATACAGAACACATTCAGCTCAGGGGGGCTGTCAGTTCCCTCTTGCCGATACCTGAAATATTAAGTACTGGTGGATTACTGGGTGCTGCGCTAGTCAACTTTCAGCTGAACAGGGGTATTACAGATGTCATTATTTGATATTTTCAATTATAAGCGTGACTTTTATTCCAAATGTTTCAGGTCGGGGTTTGGGTTTGGAGCATGAAGACACCACATGTCACTCTACAATAGGGCTCTTAACCTGGGGCCTCCAGAGGATCCGCTACGAGTCCATGAATCGCCTTTCTGGGGTGTGTGTGGGGGGTGCACATTGTGGACAGGGACACGGAAGGCTACGAGACTCCTGAAATTTTTGTGCGAGCGTTTTTTCTAAGGAGAGCATTGGATATTCAGCCTCTATCAAATTCTCAAATGGATCTGTAACCCATTTGATCAAGAACCACTTCTCTAGATGTATTTTATGAACATTAATTATGTTCTCCCTACCCATTGTGAGACAGGTGTGGTATTTATTTCACTAGTTAACAGTGATATTCAAATATAAGCGACAAGGAACAATATGGCAGAACTAAGTTTAGTGGAATATTTAAATAAATAGCCTTTTAAAGTTTCACTATTTTAACACATAAAGTAAGGAGAATGCAACTTTGTTTCATATTCACAGCAATCTGGTGTATCTCCACTTATCTGGCCTGGCCCAAGACAGTGCTTACACAGGGCTGTCAGCTCACGAGAAGAATTGACCTTGAAAAAGGTCCCCTCAACTCTCTTGGTGGTGGCTCTTTTGTTTTTTTTTTGTTTTTTTTTTTTTGAGATGGAGTCTTGCTCTGTCACCGAGGCTGAAGTGCATTGGCGCGATCTCGGCTCACTACAACCTCCACCTCCCGGATTCAAGCAATGCTCCTGCCTCAGCCTCCAGAGTAGCTGGGATTACAGGTGTGCGACACCACACTCGGCTAATTTTTTTTTGTATTTTTAGTAGAGACAGGGTTTCACCATGTTGGCCAGGCTGGTCTTGAGCTCCTGACCTCAAGTGATCCCCCCGCCTTGGCCTCCCAAAGTGCTGAGATTACAGGCGTGAGCCACCATGTCTGGCCCGTTGGGGTTCTTTAACTGTAAAAGGCAACTAAGTGATCTGACTAGATCTTTTTGATCCCTGCAAAGCTTGAAACAATTCCAAATCTCTCCCTTGTGTGAGTTATTGCAGTCCTTGATTTGTAAATGGAGGATTTGAGCACTTTTTTTCTATGAATTACTCAAATGTTTTCATCTGACACTAAATTATTTAAACGCTGTCCAGAAAAGAGCAAAAGCCTTCCTCCTGGCTGTCCCCAAAAAGAGCTGAAGTAGGAGGTGCAGAAGGCAGGGCCCTGGGTTATCCCAGGAGGGGGAAAATGTTATCTATGGAGTGATCCCTTTAACACAAAGACCAGACAACCACCTGTCAGCCAGTCCCTGTCTAACTAGGCACTAAGAATGTCACCTCTGCCCCAATTGGACCCAGTGCTGCCCGAAATGCTGGAGCTGGTCCCTGGAGAAGGGCACTTTGGCTTCAGCGGGGAGAAGTACAGGGAAGGGACTGACTGGATGCAGGAAAAAGACGGGAGGGGAAGCTACTGCAGGAGGAGGGACGGCGAGGCTGGTGGCTCAGACAAGAATGGTGGTGGTGACAGAGGAACAGAGGCAGCAGGTGGGCTTGAGGAATGTTTAGGGTGTAAAATCAACAGGGCTTGGTGATGGATTGGATATAGGTGGGAGAGGGGAAAAAAGGGGCCAAAAAGACTCCTAGGCTGCCGACTGGGTGGTGGTGCCAGACTTGTTGGCAAAGATCTTGGGTTTGCTGGAAGGAATGAGAAACTGGGGGTGGCTTTCTCTCATTTTCTCCTGGGGTCACTCTTGACAGAGAGGCAAAGTTTTCAAGTCAGTGGAGCCTGTTACTAAGCACTGAGCAGGACCCCACTGGTGGCGAGTGAGGGGAGACTGGCAGCTGCTGGCTTGGCTGCAGCCGACTCACAGAGGCTGGCCAGTCACAGGAGGGACTCTGCATTTTGTTCTAGGAGTTACGAACACTATGGGAAGGCTGCAAGAGGAAAGTAGTGTAGTCTGGTGCCTGATGGAAGATCATGTACTACTTTGGAGAGGAGAGTCTGAAAGTGGAAGCAGGGAATGAATTAGGAGACAAGAGGGGTGGTCCAGTCAAGAGATGACGGTGGCTTCGATGAGGGTGGTGACAATGAATACAGACAGAAGTGGGTGGAGCTGAGATGTGTTTCGGTGGTCTCTATCCATTAGAAAATTCTCCCCATTCAAGGTGGGGAATTTCCTTCCATTCTAGGAGGAATCAAAGCTGACTCCTACACTATGTTTAATATAGCCTTATTTAAAAAAAAAAAAAGCCTCAAACATATAGGGAAGCAAAGAGAAAGCAATATAGCCCATATCCATATAACCATCACCCAGATCCAACAAATGAAAGCATTCTGCTGTAACTGTGCCAGTCTTTCCTTTATTAAAAGAAGAAAGAAAAAGTTAAAGATCAAGTTGAAGCCTTCCTTGTGGTCTTCTCTAATGGTTCACAAACTTCCCAGCAGTTCTCAAACTTTTTGGTCTCATGACCCCTTTACACTTAAAAATTACTGGAGACCCCCTAAGAGCTTTTGTTTATATGCATTCTAGCTACTCATATTTACCATATTGGAAATTAAAACTGAAAAATTTTTAAATATTTACTAATTCGTTAACAAAAACCTACCGCATGTCAACATAAGTAAAATTTTTGTATAATTTCAAAACAAAACATTAAAAAAAAATTTTCAGGCCGGGTGCAGTGGCTCACACCTGTAATCCCAGCACTTTGGAAGGCTGAGGCAGGAGGCTCACTTGAGGCCAGGAGTTTGAGACCAGCCTTGGCAAAATAGCGAGACCTTGTCTCTACAAAAAATTAAAAAAATTTTTTTTCAAAACAAAAAAGTAACAAGAAGAATGGCAGTGATTAACATTTTAAAAAATCTCTTTAATGTCCGGCTTAATAGAAGATAGCTATATTCTCATATATGCTTCTGTATTCACTTTGTGGCAACGTTATTTCAGTTGAAGTATATGAAGAAAATCCAGCTTCACACAGATATGCAGGGAGAACTATTTTAAGTCTTTTTGGATAATTAAGAATATTATTTGATACAATCAAAACTCAACAAGTGGACGGTTTCTTAAACGCCAGTTGAAATGTGGAATCTGAAATCATAACAATGAGCTTTATGTACTCTGACGTTTTAAAATCCATTGGTCTATCTTGAGCTTTGAATGAATCATTTGCCCATGTGTGATTTTATAACATCAAGCATTGGTCATTTGGAATACATCAGTTTAGTGAGTTATGCAGTTAGCCCAAATGTTGACATATTTCATTATCCACATTTGTTAATATCACCACCAATCTCATCAGAAAAGTTTTTTAAGTATCAGGAAGCTTTAAGTCAAGTATTAGGAGCTTTAAGTCAAGCTCACAGTGACTCACAAGCTCATACATGTTTCCCCAAAATGCCGGGCAATGGCTCACGCCTGTAATCCCAGCACTTTGGGAGGCCAAGGTGGGTGGATCACCTGAGGTCAGGAGTTCGAGACCAGTCTGACCAACATGGTAAAACCCTGTCTCTACTAAAAATACAAAAAATTAGCGGGGCGTGGTGGTGCACGCCTGTAATTCCAGCTACTTGGGAGGCTGAGGCAGAATTGCTTGAACCCGGGGGCAGAGGTTGCAGTGAGCCGAGATTGTGCCATTGCACTCCAGCCTGGGCAACAAGAGAGAAACTCTGTATATTTAAAAAAAAAAAAAAAAGTTTCCCCAAAATCTCATTTCAATTCAAAGTTTAAATTTTATCACTGGCAACAAATATTGTCAGTTGTTTTCCTTGCAGCAATAGGCTCACTTTGCTCATTTTTGAGAAAATGTCTGCCAAATGCCCAAGTCTGAATGACCATAATTTGACAACCTTTCAAGCAAAAATGGTGTCCAAGAAAAAAACCAAACTGCTAGTTCAGCTCACAGCTCAGACAACTGTGTAAATGATTTTCCTAGAAGCAGCCATCGTACTTCGGTGTGCAGCGGAAGTGCTTTATATGTACTTTTCACGTCAACACACAGAATATTTTAAAGATCAGATAAAGTTTAAACTTGAAAAAAAATTTTTAATGCTCCAAAAAGGACATTCTTAAATGCAATTGTTTTTTTTTTCCTTTTCTTCTTTTTTTTGTTTTTTATAGTATGTGACTCCTAGTCTAGTTTGGAGTCCCTGCCTTGATTTGTACTAAAGCACCAGCTTTCTATTATCACTGCAAATGTCAACACAGTGAAAAAAGGCAAATCACATCTTACGAATGGGATGAAAATAGTTTTGACCTCACAGAGATCCTGAAAGGGTGTCAGGGACCTTCGGGGATCTGGGGATCACCCTCTGTGAACTGTCACACTACTCCAAAGCCGGAGTGTATTTTTCTTGTCCATGTTTTTAAAATTTTTACAAGAAAAGTATGTGTCCATAAGCAAGATATAACCATATTTCAGGTGTTTTAAAAGTTCTACATACCTAGTAATATTCTATACTTATTGTTCTATAACTTGCTTTTTTTACTCGTCTTTAAATTTTTTAATAGACAAAAATTAGGCTGGATGTGATGGCTCATGCCTCTAACCCCAGCACTTTGGGAGGCTGAGGTGGGAGGATCGCTTAAGTCCAGGAGTTCGAGACCAGACTGGGCAATACAGTGCGACCTCGTTTCCACAAAAAATAAAAAATTAGCCAGGTGTGGAGGCATGTGCCTGTAGTCCCAGCTACTGGGGAGGCTGAGGTGGGAGGATCACTTGAGCCTGGGAGGTTGAGGCTACAAAGAGCCTTGATGGTGCCACTGCACTACAGCCTAGGTGACAGTGATACCCTGTCTCATAAAAAAAGTATATATTTATCATATACAACATGTTTTGAAATGTGTGCATTGTGGCATGGCTAAATTGAACTAATTAACATATGTATTGCCCTACATACTTATTTTTGTGGTGAGAACACTTAAAATCTACTCTCTTAGCAATTTTCAAGAATGCAATATATTGTTATTAACTACAGTCAACTATAGTCACCATTCAACTTTAAATGTTTGAGGGTTATCCAGTTCGATACATGTAAATCTGGGTTATTCATTTTAATGGCTATATAGTATTCCAGTGTAGCTAGATCTCTTATTTGTCCATTTCCAAATTGAAGAACAGTCAGATTGTTTCTAATTTTCCTCTTTTATAAACAATGCTTCAACAAATGTCCTTGTACATGTTTCCTTGGGCAGTGAGTAAGAGCACATCATTAGTGTCTATATTTAGATATGGGCCTCCTGGGTCATAGAGCATGCATTGCTTCAGTTTCACCATCTCAAATTGCTTTCCAAGGTGATTGTACCAATTAACAGTCTGTAGTTTACATCTTGCAGCATAGACCACTACCTAATCACCAATCCAATTTCCTCTTCTTCCTAGGCACTTAGTTATACTATGTTTCCCATCATCCCTTGCAGTTCCACATGGCCCTGTGCTTGAGTTTTAGCTAAAGGAATGTGAATGAAAGTAAAGTACACAATTTCCATGCCTTGCCCATAAAGCCTTCCCATGAATAATGTTTAGTACTTTCCTGGTACACCAGCGGGATGTCTACATCCAGGGTGACCTTGGAAGCTGCACACTGAAGATGGTAAGGCCACTGGTAGCCCAGGTATCTGGGTGAACCGCCCAATGACCTGGACCCACAATGGACTGTTATATGTGTACAAAATAAACTTCTGTGTTTAGCCAAAGAAATTTGGGTTTTGTTTGTCATAGCAGTTAGCCTACCTTAACTAATACATCTTCTCATGAGTGACACATGACACTTACCTCTTCTTCATAACCTTGCCAACACTTAGAATTATGCTTTAAAACTGTTGCCATCTGTCAGTCTGAATTTGTTGTTTAGATTTGCTTTACTTTCTCAGATTGCTAGTGAAGTTGAGCCATCTTTTAGCCCGTTTGCTTTCTCCTCTGCACATTGCTTGTTTACATTGTAGAATATGATACTATTATAGAAATATATAAAATTACTATAAATGATGAAGGGAATCACCTTGAAGAGATACAGTGAAGTAAGTCACCTGGATTTAAAATATTTTTTTGGTTATTCTGGTACTATGTTGCATATCTCTTCTCTTTGTAATGAAAAGACAATATTTACAAACCCAGAAGCTAAACAATGATGGTACCTGCTATTTCATCAAATTAAAACAAGCTCTCAACTAAGATGGAAACCTGAATCCAATCAATTATATAAATGGCTGACTCTCTAAGGACTCTCTTAGGATTAAGCTTTTGTATTATAGATTGCTAAATAACAAATAATTCCAGAACTTGGTAACTTAAAACCAATAAACGTCTATTATCTCTCACAGTTTCTGTGGGTCAGCAATTCAGAAGCAGCTTTAACTGGGTGGGTCTAGCTCAAAGCCTCTCATAAAGTTTCAGTCAAGATGTTGGCCAGGGCTGCAGTCATCTGAGAGCTTGACTAGGGCAGAGGATCTGCTTCCAAGACGTGATTCAAAAATCTTTCCCATTCTGTAGCTCATCTTTTAGCCTTGTTTAGATAAACTTCTTGTCATAAGAGGTTTTGCTTTTGCATATAGTTGAATTTATCAATTTATTTTATGATTTATGATTTTTATGATTAGTTTAAGAAATCATTTCCTGTCTCAAGATCATAAAAGTGTTCTATTTTAAGTTTTATAGCTTTGCTTTTCACATTTAGGTCTTTATTCCCTCTGGAATTTATTCTTGTGCACGGTCTAAGAGAAAGTCAGAATTTCTTTTTATCCATATGGACAGCCAATTGCCCTAACATTTTTTATTGAATAATCTATCCTTTCTGTTCTTGAGGTCTTTCCTCTTTTCCACTGGTCAATTTGTCTGCTGTTGTGCCAATATCACACAATTTTAATGACCTTAGATTTATGTTTTGAAATCTGGTAAGGCATTCCTTCCCCTCTTCTATTTAAAATGTGTCTTGGCTATTCTTGGCCCCTTACTACAGCATGTGAATTTTAGGATCAATTTCCCTGAAAAAGTCTCTTTGGGTTTGGATTGGCAGTCTACCGAATTTATACATTAATTTGGGGAGAATATATCTTTACAACACTGAATCTTCCCATTCAAGAACATGCTGTGTCTCTCCTCATATTTGTCTTCTTTTATGTCCCTCAATAGAGCTTTATAACTTTCTCCAGGCATGTCTAGCCCTTGCATTATATTCAACAGTTTTTGTTGCTACTGTGAATGCTTTTCTAAGAAATGATAACATTTACGAATTGTTTGTGGCTGCCATAAAGGGATACCTTGATTACTGCATATAGATCTTATATATGGGAAGCTTGCTTGAAAAATGGAAAACTCTAGTTCCAGTCACTTTGGGTTTTCTGTAGCACTTTTTTCCTGCAAATAATAATCTCCATGACTCTTATTTCCTTTTCATATCTGTTACATGGGGGCACAATTACAATGCTGAATAGAGGGGGTGATAGTGGGGATCCTTCAAGTTCTTGACTTTAAATCTTTCCCCAATACATTACTTACGAGGTTTGTAGATTTATTTTCACATTACCCTTTATCAAGATAATAAAATTCCATTGTATGCCTCATTGTCTAAGAGGTGCTTTTTCTGAGACGGAGTCTCATTCTGTCGCCCAGGCTGGAGTGCAGTAGCATGATCTTGGCTCACTGCAACCTCCACCTCCCAGGTTCAAGCAATTCTCCTGCCTCAGCCTCCCGAGTAGCTGGGATTACAGGCGCCCACCACCACATCACATCCTAATTTTTGTATTTTTAGTAGAGACGGGGTTTCACCATGTTGGCCAGGCTGGTCTCAAACTCCTGACCTCAGGTGATCCATCCGCCTCGGCCTCCCAAAGTGCTGGGATTACAGGTGTGAGCCACCGCGCCTGGCCTTAAGAGGTGCTTTTAAAATCATTAATGGATACTGGATTTTATCAAATGCTTTTCTATATCTATTGAGATGATCACACTGTTTTTCTTCTTTATTAATGTGGTAAAAATAGATTAATAGATTTTATAGTAAATTTCCTTGTATTTGGGGGATAAACCACACCTGATCATGATGTTTTTTATATACATTGCTTGATTCATTTTCTGAATATTTCACTTCATGTATTTAATATCAATATTCATAAGTGACTTTCCTCTGTAAGTTTTATGTTTTAACATGCCTTGTTTGACTATCATGGGGTATTGGCCATCTGAAAGGAGTTGAGAGCTGTCTCTCTTTATCTTTTATCTGAAACAGTTTAAGATAGGGATTATCTGTTAATCCCTTGCCCCTCTGTCTACAACAATGGAGGCATTGTACTCACTGGGCAAAATGCCAGCTCTGGCTAAATCTGCCTCTGCCAACTCTGAGGGTGCACCCATGCAGCTAAACGTGGCTAGAGAAAAACACACAGCCACACTGACTGAACTCCCTTAAATTAATGACCCTTAATGCTGTCCAACGATTATCTAGAAATCCCTTGTCCATTCATTCCCTTTTTCTCCTAAAGGACTGTTTCGTACCTTCTCTCTCAAACCTCCAATAACTCCTCCCCATCCTCACTCTCAGCTAGTGACCGTGCTTCATATTTCGCTGAGAAGGCAGAAGCAATCAAAAGGGAACATGGTGCTGGTGTGCCCTGCTTCCCTCGTTTTGATGGATGTGCTCCTCTCTAAGGTCACCTGCAATATATATGCTACAATCTATCTGCTCTCATGCACGCCAAGACTTTGCTCCTTGCATTATCAGTTTTTCCCTGTCTACTAGATCATTTCCACCAGAAACATAATTTCTCATATTTAAAAAAACCCTCCCAACCCCATATCTCCACCCAACCACTGCTCTTATTTACAGCAGAACTCTTCAGAAGAACAATTTAAACTCAGAATCTTCAGTTTCTGTCCTTCCCTTCTCTCTTGAATTCGACTTGCCCAATTTTTGTGTCTTATACTCCACATAAACTGTCGGACATGGTCACCAATAACTTCCACATCCCCAAATCTAATGGTCAACTCTTAGTCCTGATGCTACTTGACCTTGTCTCATTATTAGCCTTTTACTCATCTGATTACTTCCTCCTCCTTGAATCACTTTCCGACTTCCATCTTAGTCAGTTTGGGTTGTTTTAACAAAATACCATAGATCGGGGGGCCTAAACAACAGAAATATATTTCTTGCAATTCTGGAGGCTAGGAAATCCGAGATCAGAGTGCCAGCAGGGTCAAGTTCCAGTGAGGGCCCTCCTCTTGGCTTGCAGATGGCCACCTTCTTGCTGTGAGCTCACATGGTGGTGGTGGTGAGAACCATCTCTCTTGTGTTTCTTCTTAGAAGGGCATTAATCCCATTCATCAGGACCCTAACCCTTATGACCTAATCATCTCCCGAAGGCCCCACCGCCTAATGCCATCACATTGAGATTAGGGCTTCAACACAGGACTTTGAGGGGACACTGACCCTTGGCTGCTTTTCCTGCTACTTCCCTGATGGCTTCTTCTCATCCCCCTTGGCAGTACCTCCCCCTCATAATCTGGATCTCTCCACTTTTGGGGGTCTCCTCTTTGAACCTCATCTCTCTTCTGTCTGTACTTGTTCCTGTGATCTCGTCTCGTCTCGTCTCAGGGCCTTTTAACTTCCACACATACACCAATGACTCCCACATTTCTGTCTCTAGCCCAGACCTCTCCCCTAACTTCTAGACTCACATATTCAACTGCCTACTTATCATTTCTACTTGGATACTGATATGATTTGGCTCTGTGTCCCCACCCATATCTCATCTTGAATTGTACTCCCACAATTCCCACATGTTGTAGGAGGGACCTGGTGGGAGGTAATTGAATCATGGGGGCAGGTCTTTCCCATGCTGTTCTCGTGATAGCGAGTAAGTCTCACGGGATCTGATGGTATAAAAAGGGGAGTTTTCCTGCACAAGCACTGCTCTCTTTGCCCGCTGCCATCCACATAAGATGTGACTTGCTCCTCCTTGTCTTCCGTCATGACTGTGAGGCTTCCCCAGCCACGTGGAACTGTAAGTCCAATTAAACCTCTCTCTTTTGTAAACTGCCCAGTCTCTGGCATGTCTTTATCAGCAGCATGAAAACGGACTAATACAGATACCTAACAGACACCTTGAACTTAACAAAACTCTATCTTCCACCCTAAACTTGCTTCCCCACAATTTTCTCCATTGCAGTAAATGGTAATTCCATCCTAACAGTTGTTTAAGCCTAAAATCTTGAAGTCATTCTTGACTTTTCTTTTTTCACACACCCAATATTCACTCCACCAGTAAATCCTGTTGTCTCTACCTTCGAAATTTACTCCAAATCTCACCATTCCACACTGTCTCCACTTGAACAACCGTTGTCTGAGTCATCATGCTCCAACTGCAGAAGCTTCCTAACTGGTCATTCATTCTGCTTTGCTCCTTGGTCCCCTACAGTCAATATTCCATGCAGCCAATGGAGTGACTCTTTTCAAACATGATTTGAATGATATCATATCATTCCCCTGCTCAAAACCCTCTCAGGGCTTCCCTTCTCACTCAGAATAAAAGTCAAATTCTTTTTTTTTTTTTTTTTTTTTTTTTGAGACAAAGTCTCACTCTGTCGCTCAGACTGGAGTGTGGTGGCACGATCTCGGCTCACTGCAACCTCTGCCTCCCAGGTTCAAGTGATTCTCATGCCTCAGCCTCCCGAGTAGCTAGGATTACAGGTGCCTGCCACCACACCCGGTCAATTTTTGAATTTTTAGTAGAGACGGGGTTTCACTATGTTGGCCAGGCTGGTCTCAAACTCCTGACCTGAGGTGATCCACCTGCCTTGGCCTCCCAAAGTGCTGGGATTACAGGCGTGAGCCACTGCACCTGGCCCAAATTCTTTAACTTCCAAGATACATAAAGAAATCAATCTCTAAATGTTCCTTGGTCCTTCTCTGTAAAAGCATCTTGGACTAGGACTTTTTGGACTCATTCCATTTCTTTAAAGGTTACAGGTCTAATCAGGATTTAATTTTTTCTTAACACTGGTAACCTTTATCTGGAAAACAGCCCACTCTTAATATAGTAGTCCTTCCTTATCCGTTTTTGCTTTCTGTCATTTAGTTACTGGTGGTCAACTGTGGTCTGAAAATACTACATACAATAAAATATTTTGAGAGAGAGAGAGAGGCCACATTCACATAATTTTTATTACAGTATATTGTTTTAATTGTTCAATTTTATTATTATTGTTCTTAATCTCTTACTTATAAACTTTCTCATAGGTATCTATGTACAGGGAAAAAACACAGTTTATATATGGTTGCTACTATCTGTGGTTTCAGGCACCCACAGGGTCTGGAATGTATCCCCTGTGAATAAGGGGGACTCCTGTATTATTCATTTGTCCCTCCTCCCTCTCCTGATCCCTCTCACCAACCCTGCCAGAAGTCTGCCTATTTACTAGTCTTTTCAAAAAATCAGTTTTTCACTTTGTCCATCTTTGCTGTCTGTTTTATAGTACATTAATTGCTGCTTGTACCCTTATTTCCTTTCTTCTATTTTCTTGAATACACTCTGTTGTCCTTTTCACAACTGTGAGTTTATTAATTTTTAAATCTTTCTTCTTTTCCAATATATACATGTAAGGATATAAATTTCACTTCAAACCCCACTTTAGCTGTAATCCCATACATTTTTATTTGGAATGCTTTTGCTGTCATTCAGTTCTAACTCTTTCATAACTTTCCTTATAATTTCTTTTTTGATCCATGACATATTCAGAAGCAGGCTTGCTAAGTTTCCAAACATATATGACAGGCATCAGCAATTGTTTGTTATTGCTTTCTAATTTTCTTGCATTTTGGCCAAAAAAAAATGTGGCATGCATAAAGTTGATCTTTCAGTATTTTTTGACATTTCCCTTATATTCTAATCTGTCATCACTTTTTGAAAAAATATCTTGTGAAGCTGAAACAAGTAAGTATTTCCTATTGGTTCAGTGCGGAATTCTATGTAAGTGTACTTAATCGAATTTGTTTCTTACGGTGCTCCAATTTTCTATGGCCTAATTATTTCTCTGCTTGATCTAACAGTATCTGAGAGAGGGGGTTTAAAAACTCTCACTAAGATTATGGATTTGTCAACTTCTCCTATAGTTAGGTCAAATTTTGCTTTACATACTTTGAAGCTATGTTGTTAGTATTCTGCAGATTTAAAATTGCTATATTTTTCTTAGTGAATTAGCCCTCTGTCATCTAGCAATACCATTCTGTATCCCTAATATAATTTTTAAAAAATTTCAAAGTCAAAAAAAAAATTTTCAAAGTCTACTCGGTCTGATATTCATACATCAACGTATTTTTGGTTAGTTTTGTCCAGTATATCTTGTCCCACTATATTACTTTCAACCTCTCAGTATCCTATGTTTTAGGTTTTGTCTCTTACAAATGACACACACCTTTTAAAAAGTTTTAAAAAAATAATTTCTATTACCTGGGCCAGGTGCAGTGGCTCACGCCTGTAATCCCAACACTTTGGGAGGCCGAGGCGGGCAGATCACCTGAGGTAAGGAGTTTGAGACCAGCCTGGCCAACATGGCGAAACCCGTCTCTACTAAAAATACAAAAATTAGCTGGGCATGATGGTGACTGTAATCCCAGGTACTCGGGAGGCTGAGGCAGGAGAATTGCTTGAACTCGGGAGGCGGAGGTTGCAGTGAGCCAAGATCATGCCACTGCACTCCACCCTGGGTGACAGAGCAAGACTCTGTCTCAAAATAATAATAATAATAATAATTTCTATTATCTGGTGGATTTCAACATTTATACTCGTTGTGACAGGTGGAGATACTCACCACTATACTAATGAGGAAGACTCTTGTGATTACTAATACTGTATAGTTGGATTTATTTGCATCTTATTTTGTACTTTATATTTACCACACTTTTTTCTTTATTTCCTACCCTCCCCAGCAGCCTTTTCCTCCCTTCACTCAGATGATCAGATTTTCTTTATTCTGCAATCGTTTTTAAAGTTATATATTCCAGAGGCCTGGCGCGGTGGCTCACGCCTATAATCCCAGCACTTTGAGAGGCTGAGTAGGGCGGATCATGAGGTCAGGAGATGGAGACCATCCTGGCTAACATGGTGAAACCCCGTATCTACTAAAAATACAAAA
Source organism: Homo sapiens (assembly GCF_000001405.40). Classification (NCBI taxonomy): domain Eukaryota; kingdom Metazoa; phylum Chordata; class Mammalia; order Primates; family Hominidae; genus Homo; species Homo sapiens. Next base: position 18,978,562 of record NC_000023.11, read on the forward strand.
AATTAGCCGGGCGTGGTGGCACATGCCTGTAGTCCCAGCTACTCGGGAGGCTGAGGCAGGAGAATCGCTTGAACCTGAGAGGCAGAGGTTGTAGTGAGCCGAGATCGCACCACTGCACTCCAGCCTGGGTGACAGAGCGAGACTCTGTCTCAAAAAAAAATTAAAATAAAAATAAAGTTATATATGCCACATATATTAATGGTAATGCTTAAACACAAACTCTTATCTTAAAAGCTAGGATAATACCTTCATCCTCCTTCTTAATGGGATAAGGCCCTCAGAATGCTTTCACTCCTGGCCGGGAGCAGTAGCTCACACCTGTAATCCCAGCACTTTGGGAGGCTGAGGCAGGTGGATCACTTGAGGTCAGGAGTTCAAGACCAGCCTGGCATGGTGAAACCCCACCTCTACTTAAAATACAAAAATTAGCCAGGTATGGTGGCACACACCTGTAATCCCAGCTACTCCAGAGGTTGAGGCAGGAGAATCACTGGAACCCAGGAGGTGGAGGCTGCAGTGAGGTGAGATCATGCCACCGCACTCCAACCTGGGCAACAGAGCAAGACTGTCTCAAAAAACAAACAAACAAACAAACAAAACAAAAAAACACTTTCACTCCAGTCTCTTCCTATTCTTCTGCCATATTATTATTTTCTAATACTTAATTATATCTTTTTTAACTCTCTCCCAAATTCCTCTTTATTATTGTTACTATTTGTTCCATACTCCATGTTTTATTTATTCCATTCTTCTCATTTTAAATTCCGTGGCCATTAAATAACAGTATTTACTGTCCCAGTCTCTTAGTTATTTGCTTTATTATACCAAATAATCTGTCGTTACAGTGAACACTGCCTTGACCATTGTTTTTCCTTCTGATCCATATTCTCATCACCATTTCATACTTAATACTTTTATTAAGGAGCCTTCAAACAGCTGTTAGTGAAAAAAATGTACAAAGTTCATATTTCTTACCTGAGCCAAAACAATCTAAGAATTTCTTTTAAAGGCAACAAATGTTTAAAGATACTTCCTAGAGTATATATATTTACAAAATCAAACCTGCAAAAGGACCTTTTTGTAACCATAGCTCTTTCATTCTTTGCATTAAAGATTCAAATAATATTTAGCAGCAAGTATATTTGGCAAATGACTAATGGGAAAAGTTCTTCTCTTTCACAGATACAGGAAAAGGAATTAAGATGTTAGCTTAACTAATAATTTAATTTAATAATTAATAATTAATATTAAATAATTTAATTAATTTAATAATTTCAGCCCTTACTGAAATTATGTGAACCAACTATTACCTCTAACAGAAGAATGATTGTAGGGAAAAGAAAGAGAGATCAGACTGTTACCTGTGTCTATGTAGAAAAGGAAGACATAAGAAACTCCATTTTGATCTGTACCCTGAACAACTGTTTTGCCTTGAGATGTAACTTTAGCCCCAACCTTGAGCTCACAAAAACATGTGTTGTATGCAATCAAGGTTTAAGGGATCTAGGGCTATGCAGGATGTGCCTTGTTAACAAAATGTTTACAGGCAGTATGCTTGGTAAAAGTCATCGCCATTCTCCATTCTCGATAAACCAGGGGCACAATGCACTGCGGAAAGCCGCAGGGACCTCTGCCCAGGAAAGCCGGGTATTGTCCAAGGTTTCTCCCCACTGAGATAGCCTGAGATATGGCCTCATGGGACGGGAAAGACCTGACAGTCCTCCAGCCCAACACCCGTGAAGGGTCTGTGCTGAGGAAGATTAGTAAAAGAGGAAGGCCTCTGTCTCCTGCCTGCCCCTGGGAACTGAATGTCTCTGTATAAAACCCGATTGTACATTTGTTCTATTCTGAGATAGGAGAAAAACCACCCTGTGGCAGGAGGCGAGATATGCTGGCAGCAATGCTGCTCTGTTACTCTTTACTCCACTGAGATGTTTGGGTGGAGAAAAGCATAAATCTAGCCTACGTGCACATTCAAGCATAGTACCTTCCCTTGAACTTATTTGTGACACAGATTTCTTTGCTCACATGTTTTCTTGCTGACCTTTTCCCCACTATCACCCTGTTCTCCTGCCGCATTCCCCTTGCTGAGATAGTGAAAATAGTAATCAATAAATACTGAGGGAACTCAGAGACCGGTGCCGGTGCAGGTCCTCTGTATGCTGAGCGCCGGTCTCCTGGGCCCACTGTTCTTTCTCTATACTTTGTCTTTGAGTCTTATTTCTTTTTCTCAGTCTCTCGTCCCACTCGACGAGAAATACCCACAGGTGTGGAGGGGCAGGCCGCCCCTTCAAATGGTGATTAGCTTGGCATATTTAACACAAAATGATTTCTAACAAATGAAACCAATGTAAATTGATCTCAATTTAAAAAGCAAATCAGAAACAGAGTTTAGAACTTGTTACCAGCTGACACTAAAAAAAATGCCTCCTAAACATCTGCACAAAGCTACAGCAGGTGGGGAGATACAACATACACTTTAGAAACCGTTCGTGCAGCTCATTCTTTTTTTTTTAATTGTGGTAAAATATACATAACATAAAAGTGCTCATTCGTTTTTCTAGAGTAGTTAGGGGACCTGCCTAAGATTACTCAGAGAAGGTGATGAGGCCTTGAATGGGTTAGGGCTCTACAACTGTGAACACTAGTTGTGGGGGTGAATGGGTGCAATCCTGCACTTGTGGGCGCATGGCATTTCCCGGCAGAACTGTGCTGGGAGTATCCTGGTTAGCCAGAAGAGCTTGATGACACAGGAAGGGAAAAAGAGGGCAAACATGAGGGCTACTCACCAACTACCCCCAAAATAAATACAACTAAAGGCTCACACAACTTTTTTTTAATCATTAAAATGTTGGGGAGGAAAGTCCAATCTCACAGATTTGCTTTAATGAGAAGACAATTCTTTTGCTTCTGAGGGAAGGCAAGCCTGGATAGCTGGGTTATTAGGATGACTCAGGTCCTGCTGGAAGTCTTCTACCAACAAAGACTTAAGGGTACCTTTCATGCCTTTGGCCACTGCTTGATGCAAAGGAAGGAAACTGATGAGGTATCTGTACTTAGGATCTCTTGGCATCAATGGGGAGACATATTTATGCTCAAGGAATGCGGAGCTGTAGCAGGACCTTCAGGAAAGGGCGCACCATGAGCCAGAGTACTCCTGCAAGGACCACGAGGCCTGGGCACAAACGTGTGGCCTCTATCAAAATCATAACACCACCAAGAGCACCCATTATTTACTGTTGCCCAGTAGGTGCCAGACAAGATAGTAGGCACTAATTTTTTCCTTAGAAACACTCAGTGGAAGCAAGTGTTATTATCCTCACTTTACAGATGAGGGCATGGACTCAGAAGGGATCAAGAAAGGTCACACATGTCATTCAAGGCAGAGCAGGGGATTCAAACCCAGGTCTGACAAAAGAACCAAGCTTCATCAGCTCTCCTTAAAGCCCTCTCCATCACAGTCATGAAGGGAAAGGTTTTTCAACTTGGATTTTAAAACACTTTATAGATGTAATTAGAATATATTCCAAGGAAGAAGGGGAAAAATAACCTTGATTTGCCTGCCTACTTCTTCTGCTCTCAACTTGAACATCATCTCTTCCAGGACTCCTCTACTGCTCCCACAAACTGGGCGAGGGGTCCTTCCTCAAAGCTCTCAAAATAAAGACCATCATCCTTCATGTGCAATCTCAAAAGCCAGTAAGCTCTGAAAATTTAAAGTGTTTTCGTAAGTTTGCAGCAAGCTCTTTTGGTGGCAAAAGATGAGCCGAACTAATATGAAACTCTTTTCAGCCTTTACTGAAATTATGTGAATATTCATATTCTGATGTGGAAGTAATAACCTGTTTGATGAAGGGGTGCTGCCCAGATCTGGCTGCAGTTATTATGGTATATATAGTACGTTGTACGCATATTACCTTTCTAAAAGCCAAACATTTCTGATGGGCAAACCACAACTGGTCCAAAGGGTTTCAGATAATGGACTCTGAGGCCAGGTGCAGTGGCTCATGCCTGTAATCCCAGCACTTTTGGGAGGCCGTGGTGAGAGGATGACTTGAAGTCAGGAGGTCGAGACCAGCCTGGCCAACGCAGTGAAACCCCGTCACTACTAAAAATGCAAAAATTAGCTGGGTGTGGTGGCGCACGCCTGTAGTCCCAGCTACTCGGGAGGCTGAGGCAGGATAATCGCTTGAACCCGAGAGGCAGAGGTTTCAGTGAGCCGAGATCGCGCCACTGCACTCCAGCCTAGGAGACAGAGTGAGACCCTGTCTCAAAAACAAACAAACAACAACAAAGAAAACAGATTAAGGGACTTTGGACCTATACCTTATGCATAAATGTTACTGCACTACGATCATTTATTCTTGTAACCCCAGCACTTTGTAGAGTGCTTTGCATATAACAGATACACCACAAATATTTCCTAAGTGAGGAAACAAGGCTAAGAAATTAGTTAAGAAGGGAAAATGGTCAGTGCCTTGGAAATGACCATGGCTCCCAACTTGCAGGTCAGGCCTCTAACCCCTGAATGCCACTTCCTTCGTTGACTTTGAAGGCCCTATAAATAGTTGCTGTTGATTGAGGGCAAGAAACATAGCTGCTGTCTTCACTAGGAATAAAAATAGTTCAGTGGTCTTACACTGATGGACCCACACATAATTTTAGCCCAGGAATACAAAGCATAGCAGGCAAATTCATACCTCGGACCACATGGGCAGTGTCATAGGACCCTGTGAGCTTGGGAGCCTTTGGGTCTGACCTGCTACATGCAGTGACCTTTCTAGCCTCACAATTTTCTTATCTGTAAAATAGCAACCAAAGTAGCCCCTAAGGGCTTCCCAGGTGGGTCTCTACCAAGACAGCTCATGGGAGGGACGGTAGCTGTCGCCCCACACTGCAGAGTCCTGCGTAAACTTCAGGAGCTTCTTCACTCCTGTCTACTGTTCTCATTCAGTGTAGTCTGTCCAAACCCCCCACACCTCTTCTCGTCCAAAAAAAGCAGAGTCAATGCAAAAAGAGGCAGTTTGGACCCGGGCACGGAGGCGGCTCATTCTCATCCTGAACAATGGCCAAAGAATTCTGTGAAAAGTAGCCGTAGCAACAGTTAGGTCCCCTGAATCTTAAGGAGCACGGGGTGGCAATGGGGTGGTAATCACTGGCTAGCAAGGACTAGATTCAAATAGCAAACTCTTAATTGCAAGGTCTCAGGTCACAAGAGGGCCAGACCTGGGAAGGAGAATGAGTTACATGAGAGGGTAGTTCCACGCGTTCCCTGGGGGCGGTCCCTCCTTACCTGGTAACACAGGATGGTTTGCTGCACCAGCCGCGCGTACCCGTCCAAGCGGACCCCGGAATTGCTCCTGCTCCGCATCTCCCCGAGGCTCCCAGGCCGCAGCGCCCGATCTGCCGCGTGGGCGCGGGACGTCGGGGCTGTGGCCTCCAAGCGGGTCTGGTTCCCGGACACTCACAGCCTTAGTCGGTTCTTGGGATGGGACCGGGCCGGAGGAGGTCGAGACTTTTCTAAACGCTAGCCCCAAAGTCCGGTTGGAAAGCAAGCCAACCAGAGCTCCGCGCGGCGGGGAGGCGCGGGGGCGGGGACGGGGGCTGGAGCGACGAAGGTCCCGCCTCGGCCAGGCCTGCTGGGCTCCCGACGCTCGCGGGAGCAGCGGGAAACCAGGTTCCGGGAGTGGGGCGAGGACGCCCCTGCCAAGCCCCTTTTACGTCCCGGCGGTCGCGAGGAGGTCCCCCGGGCGCGAAGAAGACGCCAGCCCACCCCAGCCGCCGGGGAGATCGCCCAGGCCGCGCTCAGCCCCGCCCCTGGCTCTGCCCCCGCCGCGGAGCGGAACCCTCCAAGTCGCGGCCTGAGGAGGAAGGAAAAGGGGGCGGCCCGGGAGAGCCGCTGCGAAATCAGCAACGGGCGGGAACCAGGTTGCCTCCCTGAGTCCCTTCTCTCCCCGGCCGGCTGCCAACCACAGCCAAGGCCAGAGAAACAGGCCCTTCTGCCGCGGCCACCTGGGCGCCTTGGACCCGCCCTCCGGACTCGCCCCCGCCCCTGCCGCGGAGTGGAACGTTTGGAACCCTGAGGGGCACAGGTAAGGGGGCGGCCCCGCCCCGCGCCCTGGAACGACCTCACGGCCCCGCCCACATCCCCGCCCCTGGCCCCACCTCCGCCGCAGAGCGGAACCCTCAGAGTCGCGGCCTCGGGGGGGACGAAAAAGGAGGCGGCCCGTGGGAGTCTAGGGGAACCCGGCTTCGGGCGGCGGACGAGTTGGCTTTCCTGCGTGGTAGTGTGGAGCCCCCCGAGACGGGTGCCAGTCCCACTCGAGGCCGGAGAAAGAGGGCCGCCTACCGCGGCCGCCTGGGCACCCCTCTGAGGGCCAAGATTGTAGTCCCACCTCTGGCCCCGTCTCCGCCGCCTAGCGGAACTGGAGTAGCGGGACCCAGCCCGGAAGAAAAAGGGGGAAGGCCCGGAGAGGTGCCCCAGCGACACCTCTGGCGCCTGTGACCCCGCCCCTAGCCACTTGGGCGCCGCTTCCTCGGGCAGGTTCGCAGTTCATCTCCCACGGGTCTACAGCTTGAAACTTGGCATTCATTATAATGTTTCGTGGCTGCTGATAACCTACAGTTCACAATCTTCGGCCTGGTATTCATTGTCCACCAAAATCTGGCCCACATAGGAATTTACTGGACAGCTAGACTAATGCAATCAATTTCCGCAAGCTCTTTTCCAGTCTCCATGCATTTACTCTATGCTTGACCCCTTCGGCCCTTCTTCCTCCTCCTTGACTAACTGAAGCCTATCTTTCCCTTAACGGCCAGCTCAGCTCCTCTATTAGCCTTCCCCATTTTCTGAATTTCTGTAGCCATTGGTTTAGTAAGAGCTTAGGACTTAGAGTCAGTTCATTTTGAGTTCAAATGTCAGTTCTGTCATTTACAAGTCGTATGACCTTTGGCATCCCGTTTTACATGTTTGAACTTAAGTGTTCTCATCTGTAAAATGGAGATAATCATAGCACCTACCTCACAGGATGACTTAAGATCAAGAGGATGAATATAAAGCATTTAGCACAAGCCTGGCTAGTAGAAAAATACTTAATAAATCATAGCTAATTTCGTTGTCACTTGGCCACAATGTATTGCCTCCTGTTGTTATTTATGTTTTCATGTGTGGATGAGGCATATTTTCCTAATTGGAATGTACGTTATTCATTGAAACAGTCTTTTGGTATCTCCTACTATGCCTGGTACAGTGTTGAGCATATAGTTGGAGCTCAATTAATGTTGCTCGCATGAGTAAATGAAATCAGTCCTGCTTAGCTGCGTTCCCTTATGTTTGGTCCTTAACCAAGTTTATATTAGATATTCCAGAACATAAATCTATGGCTTTACTCTGTCACTCAACTAAAGCACCAAACCCCACATCAGCTCACATATTACTTCATATAATACTTTGTTTTCTTAATATTGGCTTTTGAATTATGCAGTGATCCATGTGATGTGCCTCCATGAAGAATTTGCTGTGGTCTAGGGGTGAATAAAACTAGACATTGTTATCACCACTAAATGTTTTGGAATCTGAATATGTACTCTTGCTAGAATTTTCATGTATTCATCTCCATCTAAAAGCTGGGATCATTGCTTCTTTTCATTGTGGCTTTTGTTTCCATTGGGTCCTTCCTTAGGAGTTGATTTTGCAGCCATATGGGAAATAACTGATGATCTTTGCTCCTTATCTGGCATTTCCACCTAGTATAGAAACATTTTCAGTTTCCTGACTTCATTCTTCGCTAATTCTGCTGTGCACATTTGCACCCCTTTTGGTGTATAGGCAATCTACATTCTTCGGCTTTGGTCTATGCGATTGCATAGCAATATATAAGCTATGTTCTTCAATAAGCTCAAAATTCTGGGATAAAACCAAGAAGGAAGGCTACTCCGTTTTAGCTTTTAAATTTTTAAAGCAAATTTTAGTGATTCATTTTGGACCAGAAAGCTGTACTATATAATAAATCAGTCTCACATTTTAGTATCCTCATATCCCTGAGGTGCAAAACCTCCATATCTTGGTCCCCATATCCATGAAGCCATTCTCTGGTTATCACCAATAGAAACTTGTCTCCAAGTCATTTCTCAAATATTTGTCAAGAATCAGATATAGTATAATGATAGGGAATGTTATTGTTTCTGAAGCTGATTCATGATCTCCATAAAAATGAAGACCCAGAACTGGACCCTGGGGTAGCACCATGTATGATTTTTCTGACCCCAGCCAGAGGATCTGCCATCATCCTGCCACAGAGACTTCAGCCCAGGTAGTTTCCAGAGAGCCCCATGTTAACATCCAAGGTGGAAACCAATAAATGTTTCTCTTGTAGGGTTCAGGTCTTTGGCTCTAAAGAAAATCACTCCATCTTTGACCCAGAAGGTCAATTCTGAATGAATTTGCTGAAAATGACCAATTCACCAAATTTAGTTATTTCTATGATAATTTAGTTGACTGGAAATCATTTTTTCGTTACATTTTAAAGAATGTTGAATTTGTCTCTGCTCCAGCTTCCTGTAGCTCGTTTGAGGCTAAGAGATAAAGAGAGGAAACACCAGGGAACATAAGATTTCTTCACAGTGAGGAATATATTTATTAAATATATTTAAAAGAATATATTCTAAAAGAACATATATTCCATTTTTGCCTGCTCTGACTTCTTGATGCTGTACCTGGAGACTAACATGAAAAGAAAGCAGTATATACTGGCCAGGCGCAGTGGCTCACACCTGTAATCCCAGCACTTTGGAAGGCTGAGGCTGGTGGATCACTTGAGGTCAGGAGTTCAAGACCAGCCTGGCCAATATGGTGAAACCCTATCTCTACAAAAAATACAAAAATTAGCTGGGCATGGTGGCAGGTGCCTGTAATCTCAGCTACTCGAGAGGCTGAGGCAGGAGAATTGCTTGAACCCAGGAAGTGGAGAGTGCAGTGAGCCAAGATTGCACCATTGCACTCCAGCCTGGGTGATAGAGCGAGACTCTGTCTCAAAAAAAAAAAAAAAAAAAGAAAAAAAAAGTATACACTGATAAGAATTCTTCAAATTGAAGATTATGTTCTTATGTCTACCCAGTCTTTCCTTTTTCCTTTCCTTCGGACTCCAACTAGAACAGCAAGGAGCAGAGACAAAGACAAACTAGTCCTTAAAATGCTGTTATGGAGACAAAATGACACCAAACAAGTCCACTCTGTGAATTGGTTATGCTGTAAATTAATCTTTGTCTAAATGGCCTTTGACAAACCGACTGACTCCTAGCTGACCTCCTTAGACATACCCAGTATCCCAAGTGAAGCTGTTTCATCGTTTTTTGTTTGTTTGTTTTAAAGACAGGAGGTCTTTCTGTGTTGCCCAGGATGGACTCCAATTTCCTGGCTCAAGCGATCCTCCTGCCTCCGCCTCCCAAGTAGCTGGGACTACAGGTGCTTGCCTGGCTTGCTTCACCATTTTCAGTAAGAACGATCATGATGCTGCTCACTGAAGTCAGCAGACTTCCTTTGTGGGGTTAATGACTGCAGTGTGTTTTGAGGAAAAACAAAACAAAACAAAAAAAAACTACTCCAATATTTTGAGGAAATACTTCTTTAAATACTGGCCTCTGCCCTGACACTCCTTGCCTCCTAATATTGGCACCACCTCTGTTTCCTTACAATAGAGTCTCAGAACATGGGATCAATCTTAGACCCAAAGGAGGATGCTTCTCAGAAACACTCTCTGTCCTGCCGTACGTCTGTCTAAAGTAAGAAAAATAGATGAGAGAATTCTGCTTAAGGACCACAGCACAGACACAGTAGGAAAAATAAGGGGGTGGGACCTAAAGGATACTGGACATTGTGCATCCTTTTATGTATATTTTGGTTATATAATCTGTTTTGGGGGATTGATTTCTGAGGTCTCACCCCTCTCCCAATCTAGAGGATCTCACATCTTCCTTTGAATTTAGTACTCGGCATCTTTGTGGGAGCTGAGGACCTTGAAGAAGAGATTGCTCAGAGACCTCTTACCAGGGTGAGGCCAGCTTCCCGTATTTGGGGATCCCACATGCTAACCAGCAATGCAGAAATCCCAAATCCTGTTCTCACTTTTCAGTAGTCCTACCTGTTTGACACTGAGGAAGCAGATACTTGGATGAGATCTGAATTGGGTCTTGTACATTGCCTACAGGCCAAAGGCAATGTGTTGAAGAGATAATCTTGAAAGAGTAATGGGAAAGGAGACCTCAGAAACTGATCTCATGAGGCAGAACAACCCTTGCTCTAATTTCATAGTCACAGGGTACCTGCTGATTTCCAAAAGATGTTACTGTTATGTTTGTCTTCTTAAGAGATGGTGTCTCGCTCTGTCGCCTAAGCTGGAGTGCAATGGCACAATCGTGGTTCACTGCAGCCCCAAACTTCCAGGCTCAAGCAGTCCTCCATCCTCAGCCTCCTGAGTAGCTAGGAGTACAGGCACACAACACTATGACTAACTAATTTTTAATTTTTTGTAGAGACAGGGGTCTCCCTGTGCTGCCCGGGCTGGTCTCCAACTCCTGCACTCAAGCAATCCACCTGCGTCAGCCTCCCAAAGTGCTGGGATTACAGGTGTGAGCCACCATGCCCAGCCAATTGTGTTTGTCTTAATCAGCATGTCCTACACCACTTCCATGCCAGGCCACCAGGGAAAGAGACTGCAGATGTTTTTTCTTTGTGAAAATTACCAAACTTAAAGATCTTAACTGCAAATTTATTTCATTGATTTTAACATTTTTGATTTTAACATATAAATACAAGAAAATTAAATAAATCAGAAAAGAAATATTGCAAAGACAAGTCAGCACTCACAGAAATGTGTATTATTACTATGGTTAGTCTGAGATCCAACATTCACTTGAAATATATGCAAGAGAACCTTAGTGAAAGACTTAACTAAAAGGGGTTTGAAATGTTCCTAATAAGGATGTACTTGAGGCACTGCTCAAGCAGATGTAGGTAGGAAGCAAGATAGACCCTGTATATAACTAGGAGCAATCAAGGCTCGATACATGTAGCAACAATAGCAGTGTAGGACAGTTCCCTGTTCCCAATAGCTACTCCCCTTGTCACTGTGCATTCTTCAAGACACATTTAAAAAACAATTATAGCTCTGGCTGGGCCAGAGTGTACCAGTCATAACAATCAACAATGTACCATGCAGTTGCCTTTTAAAGAACGGCAATATGATTTTTTTCCATATATATGTACCTTTTTAAGAGAAGGAATCCTAGTCTACTCTCCTGTTCCTAAAGGCTCTGGGGATTTGAGAAGCGGCAGTGTATGTACCTCATCTACGTTCACAATTTTCCTGACACATGGTCTGGATGACAGTTCATCCCTCTCTGTGGCCAAGGTATAAAGCTAAACATCTTGGTGCAGATTCTATAATCTGACTACTGGGGATGCGGTCAGGGGATGGGTATTCATATTGGATGCTGTGTTTGGCTGTACAGGTCGTGCACCCAAGAGGGTGAGTGGGGCTAAAATATGGTCTCTCCACTCTGTTTGTCAAACCATGAGCCCATAGGGCTGTGTCTGCCCAGTGGGGGCATCTTTTCCTAACTTGCTCAAAGGCACTGTATGAGCTAACTGTGGCACTGTCTGCTTACATTTTCTCAGTCTGGCTGGGATCATTATTTCTTGATTTCACTGAGGTTTCTGTATTTCACATCCTATATCATCTCCAAAAGGAGCTTTAGGATTTGCGGAACGAGCAAGGATTTTCTGAATTATCACGTGAGACAAAACAACCATGATTCTACAAAGGAATACATTTACACAGTAGAAAATAAATACAAAAAAATGTAGAAGTAAGATTTTTGACACATGGGTCACTAGAATTTAGCTTATATACAACAAAGGCATGCACAACTAAACTCACCAACAGGCTGAAGTCAACAGTTGCTTTATATGATGTTATCAAAGATAACTTAGCCTCTTTAAAAGGTAGCTGAAAGTTCACTACCTTTTTTTGTTTTCTTTATAGGAGTCATTCTTAGTGTATTGTTTAAAACCAACCTTCTTATAAAATGAAAGATAAGAAACCAAATCAGAAATGTCTAAAAACCATGGTGTAATGTCTTGGTTTCTTCTTGTAATAATAATCATCGCCCTTAATTAGCTTATGCTTCTCCAGATGTTGCCGAGAATAAAATGAGTTGATTTTCATACATCTCACATTGTGTAAAAGGTAAAATTGGACATTTCACACTGTCAAGCATCATGCTTTGATTTTAGAAGAAAGGAATCACATTTGCTCAATAAAGTGTAAGCTTCCCCGCTTTGAAGTCCTTCTGAGAGCCATACGGCCTTTCCCATTGCAGGAATCTTCCTTCTCGTTAAACATGTGCTGTTTTCCAGTGAAATCGTGAAGGCACACATCTCCATTCTGAACACTAAAAGAGACCCCATTCCTCTCTGTAGAAGCATTTCCTGTATAAGGAAACACAAAGCGGGTGGCATGAAGTATCCACAGAAAGCATTAAAAAGCAAACAAACTTAGACATTGCTTTATTCTTAAAGATGTATTTGTAAAATATGTTTTTAAAAACATTTGTGATATATGTTCATATTTTATTTATTTTTCATTACTTCCCTAAGGCCACTCAAAGTAAGCATACCAAAGTGGAGATTGCTTCAGAAACCAGTTCTCTATGGCAGTTTTTTTTTTGTTTGGTTTTTAATGAAACAGTCAAAATCTGAAGCAAGGTAATATATTAATAAAAGGCCCACTTCCTAACTCTGGTTGGATATGTTTTGACTTCAAGTAGCAGCATATGTATAATATAAGCTAAGGTAATACTTTGGTCTCCCAAAAGGTTAATGTTAACAGAGATCCCCATATGTACCCTTAGGAAGTTCTTGGTTCCCTAGGTTCCTATAAAATGAAACTTTGTACCAGAGAAACCAGAGCAACCAGCTACAACAGTCATGGCAAGAAGAAATCATCTCTCTTGTAGATTAAACCAGCTCCTCTGACTAAATCAGGACAGGACAAATTCCCAAGAGGAAACTACCAATTCCAACTTCAGAGTCCAGGCCAGGGAGCAGCTGGGCACTCAAGGGTAACTGTTGGTTTGGACGTGGGCCTTCCCCACCCCAAGCAGGCCCTGAGTTATAGGGGAGCACAGGTGCTGGCCTCCTCTAGTTACTTGGCACCATCCTTCTGATCATTAGACCATTGGGAGACTATACACAAAGCTGAATAATAAGCCCATTTGATAGTTCATGACATGATTATGATAACAATGATCATAACAGTACTGGGACACTTTATTATCTCATTTAGAGCCCTGCAGGGTGGGTACTACTGTTATCCCCATTTTGCAGATGAGGAAACGAAGGTTTCAGAAATTAAGTGCTCTCCCCAAGGTCACACAGCTCAGAAGTAATGGAGTTGACGTGTGATGTTGCTTCCAAACTGTGATCCTTGTGGTCCTGGGTACCAAATGAGATGGCTGCTGGTACCCCACCCTCTAAGGCAGCTCAGAACTGAACTGTGTAATATTCATGCAAACTAGGTGATGAATATGGTTAACGTAGCTCCATCTGTGACACAGATCAAATAGGGCATGTGACTGTCTGAGGCAGCTGTTTGGATTTAGGCATTTCGGCTTGAGGACATTTTGGTGCAAGAACAATTTGGTCTGGCATAATAAATCATTAAACTTCTAGCTTTTTTTGTTGTTGTTGAGACGGAGTCTCGTTCTGTCGCCCATGCTGGAGTGCAGTGGTGAGATCTAGGCTCACTGCAACTTCTGTCTCCTGGGTTCAAGCGATTCTCCTGCCTCAGCTTCCTGAGTAGCTGGGACTACAGGTGTGTGCCACCACGTCTGGTTGATTTTCACATTTTTTATTAGAGATGGAGTTTTTCCATGTTGGCCAGGCTGGTCTTGAACTCCTGACCTCAGGTGATCCTCCTAACTTAGCCTCCCAAAGTGCTGGGATTACAGGTGTGAGCCACTGCGCCCAGCCCTAGCTTTCTTTTTTGAAATTGCCAATTCCATTCCTCATCTATCCCAGATGCTGGGGCAAGGACTGAGGAGTCAGGAATGGTTATCTGACATGCATATTATGTGATATTAAACACTGAGCCATTTTGGCAGCCTTAAAATGTACCCCCATCCTCACCGTCAAGCATCAAAAGTAGCTGTGTCAAATCAGCTGTGTTAAACAACTGTGGTAAAATGTGCTGTTTCCATGAAATCTGATTTCCCAAAGGATGACAACATGTTGATAGAGCTAGGCAGGTGAGGCTTCATCTCTGAGCTCTTTCGAGAATATGGACAAATCTGGTTTATGGATTCAGAGCCCCAGATGACCCTGCTCGCTCCTTTGATGTCTCTCCTTTCAATTTGCTTTCTCACACTAACGTACTAACCAGCTGTGCTCCCCGCTGCCTCGCCTCTGTTTACCTACATTGAATCATTCCTGATAGAGCTATTTGGTGTAGAGCCCAGAGCTTGCTTTCTGGTATCGACAGTAAAGAGCTAAGGCTATACAACAGTTATTTCTCATCTTTTACAGCAGTGATTCTCAACTGGGGGCAATCTTGCTCCCTTCTTCTCCCCGCTCCCCTGGGACAGTTGGCAGTGTCTGGGGACATTTTGGGTTGTCATAACTGGGGGCAGGGTGCTACTGGCTCTAGTTGATAGAGTCCAGGGATCCTGCTAAATGTCCTGCAATTCCACAAAAAAGAATTATCCAGCCCCAAAATGTCAATTGTGCTTGAAGTTGAGAAACCTTGATTTTGAGGCATCCTATGGTATTTTAAAAGCCTAGACAGGCCGGGCACAGTGGCTCACACCTGTAATCCCAGCACTTTGGGAGGCTGAGGCGGGAGGATCACTTGAGCCCAGGAGTTTGAGACCAACCTGGACAACACAGCAAGACTGCATCTTAAAAAAAAAAAAAAATTAGCCAGCCATGGTGGCATGCTCCTACAGTCCCAGCTACTCGGGTGGCTGAGGTGGGAGGATCACTTGAGCCTGGGAGGTCGAGGCTGCAGTGAACCGTGATCATACCACTGAACTCCAGCCTGGGCAATAGGAGACCTTGTCATAAAAAAAAAGAAAAAAAAAAAAAAAAGTCTAGACACACCAGCAGGACTGCCCATCTTCAGGAAACGGGAAAACTGGTAGATGTATGAACCTTCTCACAAATTTATTTGAGTTAGTCATGAAAAGAACTAACATCCTAAAACAATGAATACAGGCAAATTCTCCATGGAAGGAGAAACTATACCAGCAGAGCTTATGTTTTTATAAGAATGCAAAAGATATATTAAGAAGCAAGAGAAGGTAAAAATAGATAAGGTAAGCTTTTATGAGTAATGAACAGCCTGGTCTTATGAAAGAAAGAAAATGTAACAGAAGTTTTAGCTAGAAATGTCAGAATTAATGAGTAAAGGAGGCATGGCAGCAATAATCTGTTCAGATATTGGTCACATATATGGTCACCAATACTGGTCACAAGTCATCTTCCAGTATTTTGACATATTCATGGGGATTTGGGTGCTGTCACAAGACAGCCACATTGTGGGAAAGAATTAACAAACATGAAAAGCAAAAAATAGGAAGGTTTAAAAGTGTTGGCTGGGCGCGGTGGCTCACACCTGTAATCCCAGCACTTTGGGAGGCCGAGGTGGGCAAATCACTTGTGGTCAGGAGCTCGAGACTAGCCTGGCCAACATGGTGAAACCTGTCTCTACTAAAAATACAAAAATTAGCTGGGCATCGTGGCGGTCACCTGTAGGTCACCTGTAATTCCAGCTACTCGGGAGGCTGAGGCAGAATTGCTGGAACCCAGGAGGTGGAGGTTGCAGTGAGCTGAGATTGCACCATTGCACTCCAGCCTGGGCAACAAGAGTGAGACTCCATCTCAAAAAAAAAAAATGTTGAACATGTATATTATGATAGATGTAATAAAAATTGCTATAGTCTTATCAGCTATTTTAGGTACTGCTCTCACAGAAATAGCACAATACTGAAGTCTTTGGACAATAGTTAAGTGAGGATTTAAAATGTTAAAATTTTTAGGTCATCATCAATTCCCACTATGAAAAACCAAATCTTAAAAAATCGTTGTTCCAGTATTTGCTCTATAATAAATCAATTTGGATTAGTAAACTTTCTCTTCTGTAAGGGAACCACATTTTGATCCACTAGTCATATATGTATTAATAGTTACTCACTTTGCTTAGCCAAAATGCCAATAAAGGATAAAACTATTTTAAAAAATAAACACTAGCTTGAGAAATACTATATTGAGACATACATACCATTCCCGCTTGCGTGTACTGAGCAATCATTATTCACTAGCAGTGTGGTGGAGTTAGTGGAGTTACTGCTTGACTGTAAGGAATTTGAAGAGCTGGACACTCCTTGGTTTACAGTCTGCTTCTTTAAACCATTAGTAGCAGTTTTACTCCAGTCTACAGCAGAATAAGCATTACAGAAAAACAGGGCAGTATGTTGAAGCTCAAACGCAAGAGACAGATCACAGTGTAACAAGTCCTAAGCAACTGATTTCTCACTTCAGGATCTTATGGAGAAGTCACCTTCCACCAGTTGGTGTGATAACATGTATTTTCATTTGGATTATTTACATTTGTCCTTCAAATGACTGTGGGGTTAAAAGTAACCTATATTCTCCTAGAACTAAAGGCCAAGCTAATTTGATTATGTCTATAAATATCCATAGAATTAGGTAGTGATTCAGAGCCTCACACTGTCTTAACAAGAACACAAATAGTCTGTGTTGTAATGACTAATTGTTCTTCACTCCATGAAAATGATTGAACTATGTGTACTGCCATTTTCTGAATACAGACTCCCGTGTCGCCCAGATACTGCAAAGGTGGTATTCATGCAAAAGGAATGTAGCTTTTCAAACAGTACTTCATTTTTCTCATTTTCTTAAAAAAAAAAAATGAGCTATTTGCTCTACTACCCAACCGGGTATATGTGAAAATCACTTCAAAATAAACAAATGTATGTTACAACCAAATGTATGCTAAAGCTTATACACAAAGTCTGGCTTACTAACAAATAAAGCAACTGACAACCAGGACCTGTGGAGAAAGGATTGAGTTGAGATTTTAAAAATTACCAAGGTAAATATTAAAAATTACTTTGGGAAATGAAAAGCATAATCTCAATAGAAAATCAATTCTAAAAATTTTACTGTTGCTTCATTGAAGAGGCAGCCAGCCCATCAATTTTATTGCTCAAAAAATTCCCAGATAGAAATAATTATTTTTTAATTCACTAGATTTTTTTTTCTCCCTAATGTTCACGATCAATATTTTCTGTTGAGCAAATTCCAGATTTGCTGGAATTCACTGATTTCTAGATTGGATTTGCTTTGGATCTTAATTTATACAATCTTTTCCTTGAGATTTAAGAGGAAGAGAAAAAGTGAGGTAAATCTTTACCAGAATTTTCAGCCAGCCGTAACTTTCCACAACAAAGATACCGCCTCCATTGCTTCCTGACATTTTCTTTGGCCACACAGTAAAAGATGAATATGAAAAATCCTAAGGAGGGAAAAAAAACCCACAATGAATTCCAAGCTAATAGCTGAATGTCATAAGCTCACTTTGCACAAAAGATATTAATAATTATTTTGGCAGCTGTGGGCAACATGAAATTTTGCAAATTGAATAAAAAGTTCAGAGTCCTAGGAAAGCTTGCTGTCAAAAGGCATCGGGGAATGAATGCCTTTAGAAAATCTTTGTAAGATTAAGAATATTTATATGATAAAAGGAATCATAACTTTGCATTTCCACAATTAAATTCACTGTCTCCTCCCACATCCTGTCCTTGGCCTTCCGTATCTTGGAATTACAAGCCATCCACCCAGGATCCCAGCTTGGACTTAGGCTCCTGCCTCTCCCTCCCTCCCTATTTAGAATCCGTTTCCAAGCTCTGTCAAATGCCATCTCCTCCACACATCTTTCCCTTCCCACTCTCCTCCTCTCCAGCCCACTGCCATGTCCTTTGCTTGGATCTCTCTCTCCCCCTCAAACCCAGGCAGTACAGCAATGCACTCACCTACCTGCCTGCCTCCTCCTGACCTGCCCCAGGTGCTGGCATGGAGAGCAAGCTGAAGACCTGAAGGGGCCCTGGGACTCCACCTCTCACCCACTCAGGTGCCCAGTCAAGGCAGGCCAGGGCTCCCCAGCCAGCCCCATGGCTGCCACTCCCCAAGGCTTTTGCCAATAAATATTTGCTGAGTGAATGGATGAATTCTGGGTTCTCTGCTTTCTACTTAAAAACCCCCAATCTATTCACTTTAAAACCTTCATTTTAAGATACCAGGGGCCAGGCGTGGTGGTGGCTCACGCCTGTAATCTCAGCACTTTAGGAGGGTGAAGTGGGAGGATCACTTGAACCCGGGAGGCGGAGGTTGCAGTGAGCCGAGATCGCTCCACTGCACTCCAGCCTGGGTGACAGAGCGAGACTCCATCTCAAAAAACAAACAAACAAAACAGTTTTGCTTCTAGTAGGGTATATGTGCCCACCGTCAAGACCCATGTCTGAATATTACACAGCTTCATTCATTTGTCACCCTGGAAGTCGACCATTGGTTGCATTAGGAGAGAAACAGCATGTATAAGAGAGGCCAAAATCAGAAGATATATATATATTCAACCACCCCAAAAGCCCTGTGCATTAGGGTTAGTTTCCTTGTATAGATGAAACAATACATTCATTCCTTTTATCCATTCATATTCTAATGAGAAGATAATCTGGGGAAATGAAGAAAAAGGCAGATTCAGTTTCCACATTAAACATGTGAGGGTGGGTACCTTGCTTTCATGTCAATGATTAGTGTAATGTGGGCATATATATATGTTTTTTCTTTTAAAGTATCTATTACTTTCAGTATTGCCGTGGTTGGCAAATAAAACTTTTCTTAAGACCCTTAAAAAGAATTTGCTCATGTTTTTGGTTTTGTATGTAATACCATGCGGTGTAACACCTGGATATACCAATTGAGGAACCGCTATATTATAAGTAAAAATTAATAACCATATATAACCAAACAAGCATCTCTGCTGGCTTCCTCCAAATTAAAATAAGAACCAACAACCAAATTCGGCATTTGAATTTAACCTCAGGTTGGGATTTCTCTGAAAACCAACAAGATGATCTATTGCCTGATAGAACTAGAGAAGGACAATATGGGAGCAAAAGCAACAGGAAAGATGAACAAAAGCCAATGAGAAGGCAATTAAAAGGCATCCCCAAAAGAGGATTCAGAATAAAAGGAAACTAAGGGACAGTGAATTATTGTTATTGTAATGTAAACCTAATAGCCTGCTGGGCTTTTAATGCCAAAGCACTTCCATTAAAAATTAACAGCAGACACGTCTTTCATAACACTGCTCTAAAAGAATTAGTCATTTTCCTTTCTAAAGAGTACAACTATCAGGGTTCCAAGATGCATGGGCTTCATTAACCAATGGGAAACCTAAAGCAGATGGCGACACACAGAGCCTGCTCTCTTTCCCGCTGAGTGTCCCAGGGCAGCAACTTCTTGGGATTAGCCTTCAAGTAAGACTGCTGCCACTTGGGTCTGTCTGTTGCCTTCCCATTTCTCATTGTCTCCAAATCGCTGACCTAGGAGGGGAGAGTGGTGAGCTCCCACAGGCACAGTCATGGTATGTGTGCTTACAGTCTGCATGTTCTACTTGAATACAAAAGTTTTTTTTTTTAAAAGAAACCAAGTGAAGGAAGAATAATTGACTTTTTCAAAAAGTGTTCCTGGCAGGTTCCCCTCAATATGGTCTCTCCAAGGAGACAACTATGAATAAGGAGAAAAAAACACCATTTCTTGAATTTAGTAAGCACCTTTCCTCCAAGGATCTCAAAGCACTCCCTCTCAATAATAAATATGTTTTTCAATGAAAATATCATAAGCCACTAAATAAGCTACTTTGCATATACAAGCATACCTCATGGGGTTTCACAGATAGTACTTTTTTTTTTTTTTTTTTTTTTTTACAAATTGAAGGTTGTGGCAGCCCTGCGTCCAGCAAGTCTCTCAAGGCCATTTTTCCAACAGCATGTACTCACCTTGTGTCTCTGTATCAGCAGTTTTTAGCAATAAAATATTTTTAAGTTAAAGTATGTACATTTGTTTAGACATCATGCAATTGCACACTTAATAGACTATAGTCTAGTGTAAACACAACTTTTATATGCACTGGGAAACAACAATTTGTGTGACTCACTTTATTGCAATATTTGCTTTATTGTAGTGGTCTAGAACCAAACCCCCAACATCTCTGAGGCATGCCTGTACTCTTTTAGTAGCTACATTTTTATATTCAACTGGGATCATTCAGTTTGTATTTGATGCTGTAAAGCTTACCTTGTAAGGTATTAAAGATGGCAAACAGATACATGAAGGTCACGTTAACTGGTCCCCAGGCAAAGAAGGCAAAGCCCCAAGTTATTCCCAGTAAAAATGTAAGGCCAGCGATACTCCTGAGGTCTTGAATACTGGTTTTTCGCTGGGCTCCCAGTTGCTTCTTCTTTTTAATTCGACAGAGCTGAACCAGGACCACAATGAACATGCTGACGTTCAGCAAAAATATCACACAGAAATATCCCACCACCGTAATGTAGAATACTGCATTGTTGTTGATCCAGCAGCTGGAGTTTGTGGAGGGGGGGAAACAGGGGAAAACATATTATAGTAATGAACTAGAGTTCAAAATGATACAATGAATCTCTAACATTTTACTGAAACATTTTCTACCAGTACAAGAGAAAAAAAATGATAAAACTGCTATTCTCTACAACCATTTATAGCTCTAGGGAAAATAATCTAAGAGTTTATTTGAGGACACTTGGTGATTTAAAGTATTTTAAAAATAGACCTTTTTTTAAACATTCAGGATTTTGCCCCTGTAAATCCTAGCAACTCTGTTCTATGAGTCTTTATTAATATAACTGGAATGTCATTTTATCAGAGGCTAATGAAAATATTTTCAAAATAGTTCTTCCTAATTCATTTTTCTTTTCAGAATAGCTCCTAATTCATCACTTGAAGAGTAGCATGGCATTTCCAGCTAGCTTCTCTCATTACATATGACTGTGAAGGCTGCTGTGAAGTATTGCTGGGTTTTATTAGGATGATAGCAGGAGTCAATATGCTGATTAGATCCTCCGTTTTCTAGGAGCATTCCGTTTTCCAGTTCACTTAGCATTCCCTTAGGGGGCTTTGTACTCACAAGTCATCCGGTGAACCATTGGGGAATTTCCCATAGGATCCAAGCCCATAGTTATCTGGGGATATAGTCAGGATGATGGTCACAACCACAGCTGGTACCCCTGGAAGATGGGAAACATTGGTCACACCTAATTTTTTTTTTTTTTTTTTTTGAGACGGATTCTTGCTCTGTCACCCAGGCTGGAGTGCAGTGGTGCGATCTCGGCTCACTGCAACCTCCGCCTCCTGGGTTCAAGTGATTCTCCTGCCTCAGCCTCCCTAGTAGCTGGGATTACAGGCGCGTGCCACCATGCCTGGCTAATTTTTGTTTTGTATTTTTCGTAGAGACGGGGTTTCACCATGTTAGCCAGGATGGTCTCGATCTCCTGACCTCGTGATCTGCCCGCCTCGGTCTCCCAAAGTGCTGGGATTGCAGGCGTGAGCCACCGCACCCGGCTGGTCACACCTAGTTCTAATAACCAAAGTGGGTGACAAGACTAGAGATCACATCCTATTTACATCTTGTAGCAGAGACTGGCTAGCTGTTCACCAGGCTGGTTTCTTTTCCTCTTTGGCACATGACTGGATGCTCCCAGCCTCCCAGGCAGCTGGGTGTGTGTGGCCACATGGCTCACTTTGGGCCCATGGGATACGGGCACAAGTGATTTGCTCCACTTCCAGGCCTGCCCCATAGAAACCTCCTGTGAGATCCTCTACTTTCTTTTTGCCTGCAAACTTAGGGCAACCTTGAGGCAGAGTCTTCAATAGCTTGGATCCCTGAATAACTGCAAGACCAGGGACTCCTCTGCCCCTGCTAACTAGACTGTAGGTGAGTGAGAAATGATCTTCTACTGAGATTTCAAGGTGAATCTGTTACAGCTGCCAGTGTTGCCTTTAACTCCCCACCCCCCACCCGGCCCCCCTCTGTCACCCAGGCTAGAGTGCAGTGGCACAATCTCGGCTCACTGCAACCTCCGCCTCCGCCTCCCGGGTTCAAGCGATTCTTGTGCCTCAGCCTCCCAAGTAGCTGGGATTACAGGTGTGCACCACCACACCTGGCTAATTTTTGTATTTTTAGTAGAGACGGGGTTTCACCATGTTGGCTAGGCTGGTCTCGAACTCCTGACCTCAGGTGATCCGCCCACCTCGGCCTCCCAAAGTGCTGGGATTACAGGCATGAGCCACTGCACCCAGCGTTGTGCCTTTAACTTATACATGTCTGGAATGTATATTTAAGAGTCAGCAACTCCTGGCAAATCTTTCATTATGAAACCAAAAGTCCTCAATTTGAAGACTTTGAGACCCAGTGAAGGATGGAGGGTTCTGTCCTGGCTGATCCAGGGGGTGGTGACTGCTACTATGCTGGCTCTGTTGAGAGCCCACGGACACTTCCCTTCAGAGAAGGTACCATGAGAAGGGTCCCCCAAGTTTAAAATGGCTTTTGGTGGGGAAAGAATCCTATTCACCACTGCACACCATCACCCGCCAGCCCCATGCCACCGCCCCACACTCTGCACACTGACCAGCAGACGTCCTATCTCAAGGCTCTGGTAAAGAACAAACAATTCCTTGTCACAGACCAGTTGCAGTGCCTGGTAAAATCAAATCTAATAGTTCATTTAATGCCTTTGCGCTTGTACCTTCTGGTGACCCTGACATATGATAATTTTCTAAGTGAGACACTTTGTTAAAAATAAAACATTGGGGGTGGGGGCCTCATACTTAAGAAAGGAATCTGACTTTCAGCCTTCTCTAAAGAAGACAGAATCCGTGCCCAGTATCTGGAGCGTTGACTTATGTTTCTGGGACAAACAGGGAAAGGGTGTTGTTCTGTTGTTCTTCACAAAGACATAGTGACATAAGATAGAAGGCAGGGTGGCAAGGGTGGTGGTGTGCTTTCAATCTTGATGTGTAGGAATATTTAGCCTGAAAATAGAGGCAGTCTGGTTGGGGGGATGGCAGAAGGCTGCATATAAGGAGACGGAGAGCCAGGCTTGCTGTTTTCTAGCTTTGTGAATTGGGGGGATATCACATCATCACTTGGAGCCAGTTTCTTCACCTACATTTGGGATGACTGCCTGGCTCACCTCACTGGCTTATCTTGCATGGGGTCACTTGTGTGAAAAACAGGGGATTATACACACTGTTATATATTACTTGTAGATTATCTAAAGGACTCTCTGGCAGAAGAGGTATCAACTTACTGTTTTCTGCCTGAGCAAAACCACTGGTAAGTGCCACCAGGGAGCCAACTGAACTTAATGGAAAATCAGAACTGTAGAGCTTTATAAAATGGTTATTGGCTGCCTTGTAAGGTCATGAACTCCCCAGTAATAGAAGTATTCAAGCAGAAGTTAGATTATCTTTAGTCAAGGATAAGTCAGGTGGAGTTGAGGGTTGAAGAGGCTCCTGCATTGGGTGGGAAATTGAATGAAGAAATCTTCAACATATTTGGGGAGCCTAAGGCCTTGCGACCTGCCACCAATAGGCTGCACAATCTGAAATGTCATGCCCACGTGGCAGTGAAGTTACAATGGGTTTTATATGTACATTCTCTCACTCTGCCCTTCTTAGCATACTGTCATACGTGTCTGATATCTGGGAGGTACAAAGTAGAATGAGGCTGGCTGGGAGCTCAGGGACTGAGAGTTTGGGCTCTTTACCACCAAGCTAATGTTTTCAATATATTACCACCCCAAGCTAATGTTTTCAATATATTGAGCACCTTCTGTGCCAGCCCCAAATTCTAGTTCCTGGAGATACAAAGAGGATTCATGGTTCAACCTTGAGGAATTCCATATTCATAACAAATCCAAAGAAATAAACAGGTGTCCTAGAAGGAGACTTGACAAAGTTGCTCTTCGGGCAGTGCACATGTAAGAGTATAAAGCTGTTTTAGAAACTTGCTGAATGTGATCTGCTTCATCGTTTCCACCTGCTCAAAAATCAAAACACTAGAGAAAAGGCAGAGAAAGTCCAGGCAACATGCAGGCAAGCTTATACATACCCCAACCGACAATGCAGAATTTAAGGATGTATTTTCGGATGTAAGTATTAAATACTTTGACAAGGGCCAGGTACATATGGAATGCTTCTAGGCCCATCCATGTGAATGAGACCAAGAGAAAATAATGAAGAAATACAGCCACTGAGATGCAGAGGCCTTGCATCTTATACAGAGCAATCCACGAGTCCAGGAGGAAGACCAGGTTCAGCAGAAGCAGAGCAGCACACAGCTGGATGAGGATTTTGGAAGGGTAATCCCTCCGGATCTTTCTAAAAGGAAAGGATGAGAACAAGAATGAGCATTCTACTCTGCCAACCCTCCAACTTTTTTTTGGTTTAAGATAAGGTCTGGCTCTGTCACCCAGGCTGGAGTGCAGTAGCGTGATCTCAGGTCACTGCAACCTCTGCCTCCTGGGCTCAAGCGATCTTCCCACCTCAGTCTCCTGAGTGGCTGGGACTACAGGCGCTCTCTACCACACCCTTATTTTTTTTGTAGAGACACGGTTTCGCCATGTTGCCTAGGCTGGCCTCAAACTCCTGGGCTCAAGCAATCCTGCTGCCCTGGCTTCCCAAAGTGTTGGGATTACAGGCATGAGTTACCACACCTAGCACCAACCCTTATGTAAGCATATCTGTCAGGCTCTTTGAGTTTTAAGCAATTTATTTTTATTCTTTGGTAAATGTCTATATGCATAAATTTCCTCTGTTTGAGTATATGTGTATATGGGGTGGGGGGGAGCTTAAAACCAACAACAACAAAGGAAAAATCTAAACAGAATCATCTGTGATAACCATAAGGAGAATTTGTGTCTGTATTTCTGTGGGACCTTTTACATGCTGACTGTTGACGCATACTTTTAAATAGTTTGTAGTAGACTCTACTAAGCACTCGCCCTATTTCTCCCAGACTACTTTCGGAAGCATTGGTGCTGCTTCTCATGGAGTCTGCTATATTCAGATCTTCAAAATTTAACCAAGATTCCCATATTATTGTATGTTATTAGGTAAAATGAGATCATGGAAAGAAGAGTTTAAACTACAGCTAAATGTAATAGCATAGGAGAAGCCAGCTAATTGATGACATGTTCATGTTTATGCATGCAAAATTAGATCCGATGAAATCATTCTGAGTAATGGCTGGCCTTCTGGTTATTTAGTCTCACTAATAATATTTCCAAAGGCTCACTAGAAGATCCGTAGTCACAGCTAGACCCTAACTTTGGCACTGAAAATAAATTTTTACATTTCCTGATCAGTGTCCAAAATCTAAATCCAAGAACCTACATATTGTTTCGATTCGTTAATGCAATAAAAATGCCCATGTCCTTCTTTTCCATTAGAATTTGTTGGAATTACCCCCAAAAAGCAACCAAAGGGACCTGTCTGGTAAGCCAAGAAGGAAAGGCTGTTTTTTAGAATGGCATTCTTGCTGCAGAGCTACACTCACTGAATATCTATTTTTTTCAGTAAAGCTTTTACATCCTTATTTCTCTCCATCCCCACACCAGTTAATGTATTTAATCTTTTGTGTTTGCTCAGTATAATTTAGAAATGTAATTTATTAAACATAGTTCTTATGCTGTACATGGTGCTGTGGTCTATTTCAGATGGTAAGTCTCTGGGTTTTGGGGCCTGCATCCCTCATTCATTTCACACTTTATGTCTATCAGGTACTGGGTGTCATTCTGGGGCACCAAGATGATTCTGACACAACCCCTGCCTTCAGGGAGTCCACAGACTAGTGTGAGGACACAAGCATATAAACCAACAAGTCCCATAAAGTTGATACATGGATGCTCCACTAGCTGGGTGTACAGGGTAAGGCAGGCCGAGGAAAGGGCTTAGTTAATAAATGTTGGCAATGGAGGTGAGTGCTGAGTCCTAAATCCAAATTTCCGGTTGTGGATACTCACTCAAAAGCTATGTAGGTTACAAGAGTCACTGACAGAAAAATTGATGAAAGCCCACAACCAATATATGTAATGAACGTCAGAGCCATCATTTGAGCAGGCAGCACAGATGTCCTAGATAGGTCCTGGAAAATGAAATATTGCTTTTAATAATCAAATATTTTTAAATAAATACAAGACTTATGATGTATCAAGTATTCTAGGGATCCATTCATAGTCTATTCAACAAACCTATGAGGTAGGCACAATTATTACTATCAGGTAAAGATAAGGAAACAGAGACAGACACAGAGAGGTTAAGTAACTTGCTCAAGGACACACAGATAGAAAGTGGAGAAGCCAAGATTCAAATTCAGGTCTGGCACACTCCAAAGCCCACATACTTGATCACTGCATTATAGTGCAATGGAAAGGAACTGGACTAGGAGCCTAAAGACTGCAATTTAGCTCCTGCCTCTTACATTTCTTAGTTCTATGACTGTGGGCAACTATCTAACAAGAGAGTCTTAATTCTGATTTTAATAAAATGACAATAGCAACTCCCCATTCTACCTATCTTGCAGGACTGTTGGGATGATTAAATAAGAGCATTTATGTCAAAGTGTTTTGTAAAAATCTTAAAGTGCATTGCAAACTAAACAATTTTTATTACTCATCCTAATCTGAATTCCTTAGTTCTCTTAATTATTTAAAAGAGAAAAACTTAAATGTAAAAAGAGAATGTGAAAAAATACTTGTCTTTCATGTTCAGGTATTTTCCTTCAGGTGCATTTGCTTATTAGAAGAGGAATCTCTCTCTCTTTTTTTTTTTTTTTTTGAGATGGCGTCTCTCTCTGTTGCCCAGACTGGAGTACAATGGTGTGATTTCGGCTTACTGCAACCTCTGCCTCCCAGGATCAAGCGATTATCCTGCCTCAGCCTCCTGAGTAGCTGGGACTACAGGTACGCACCACCACACCCAGCTAATTTTGTATTTTTAGTAGAGACGGGGTTTCGCCATGTTGGCCAGGCTGGTCTCGAACTCCTGACCTCAAGTGATCCACCCACCTTGGCCTCCCAAAGTGCTGGGATTACAGGCGTGAGCCACCATGCCCAGCAAAGAGCAATCTCATTGGTGTATAAATCAGCCACAATATCATATCTGCTGATCTGTCACGGTTATCCATCCATCAGATTAGACATTGTAGTGTGATGCCCAGCTACCCCTCAGACTCAGAATTTAAGGCCACGTGGCACAGGCATATTACCAGCAGAACGCCGAAGCTTGTTAGATGGCTACAGGTACAGATGGTTTCATTCAATCTCCTGTCTTTGACAGAGCAGCCATTGTCTGACCAGCCTCCTCTGCCACCTGTTGGCATTGGGAAGAACATCTGTCCCATCAGCAAGGCCACAGCACCAGTGACTTCACACCCTCCCCAATTAACCCACTCAAGAGTTTGAAAAGGTTATGACTGGAACTTACCATTTCTGCCCAAGTCCCAAAATACACATCTCACTGTTAACTCATCCTGTGGTAGAAAGATAAATCACACATAATTAATTTACTGAACTAAAAAAAAAAAAAGCAAAACTGAAAGGTATTTGAAAAGAAAAAAAACTGTGGTTTTTTTTAAATTTCAGAATCTTAGGCTTAATTTTTAGAGAGTTCTTATTTTATATGGTCCCTAGAAGCAAGTAAGCCCTAAATAGACCAGCACTTCTTAAGCTCATCAATCGTGCATAGGAATCACTTTGGGGCCTTGTGAAAATGCACATTCTGACTCAGTGGGTCTGGGTTAGGGCCTGAGACTCTGCATTTCTAGCAAACTCCCAGGTGATGCTGATGCTGTGGGTCTGTGGACCACACTGTGAGTAGTGAGGTCGTAGATGATGCTTAGTGTGAACTGAGCTGAGAATCAGACCTGCAGCCACAGATCCACACACACTGATATCTGATATTTCACAGTTGTTAAGAGCTTGCTTTTGCACCAATTCTTCCTGGAAATTAGGTGGTCAATTTTTTTTTTTTTTTTTTTTTTTGAGACAGGGTCTCACTTTGTCACCCAAGCTGGAATGCAGTGGCCCCAACATAGCTCACTGCAGCCTTGAGCTCCCGGGCTCGTGATCCTCCCGCCTCAGCCCTCCAAGTAGCTGGAATTACAGGAGCCTGCCACCACGCCCAGCTAATTTTTGTATCTTTTGCAAAGATGGGGTTTTGCCATGTTGCCCAGGCTGGTCTCAAACTCCTGAGCTCAGACAATCTGCCCGCCTCAGCCTCTCAAAGTGCTGGGATGACAGCATGAACCACTGCACCTGCCCTGGTCAATTATTAAGTGTGTTAAAATCCAATGGAGAGATGTGATTCTAGTCCTGCAAACTACTCCAGCTGAGCTGAAGGTTCTTTCTGCCTGATCTGCCTTTTGCCGGCCATGCCTTACAAGCATAGTTTGTACAAGGTGTTCCTGGTCAATGAACAGACGGCACTGGCCTCTCCCCACCTGGCTCGGGTTGATGTGCTTTAATGTGACTGTCACGTTTCTTGTCAAGTTCCTGACGGTCAGGTTTGCAACACTCGATGATATGACGTAGCTGATCAGAGAGAGGTTCTCCAGGGAAGGATCCTGGCACATCAAGATGGCAAGGGTAAATGAGATATTGTCAGAGTTTTAGAGCTAGAAGGAACACTAAGGAATATTCAGTCCACATTGTTTATCTTACAATATAGGTCAGAAATCGAGGGACAAGGAGGAAAGTGACTTTCCCAAGGGATCACAATCAGAGAAACAGAGCTTGTTCTACAATACAATGCTCTAAATACTGAGCTAAAGCGCACAGATTGACACAACAGGATTTTGTGAATCTTTAAAGAGAACATAGCATTAAGCCATTTAAGCCGTGTGTCCCCAAGCAAGTCACTTAACGTCTCTCTGCGCCTCCATGGCTTCATCTGTAAAATGGGATAATAATAGTTCCTTCCTCTCAGGGTTGTTGAGAGGATTAGAGTTAACATTTGTAACTGCTTAGGATAGTGCTTGGCAATTGGTAAATATAAATACTATGTAACTGTCAGTTACTGTTATTTATCATCACCAGTATCATTAGGCTGCATTTAAAAATGAACTGCAGCATTTCGGCAATTCATTTGACTTACGGCAGCCTTAAGAATATTCGAGCACTAAAAGAAATGAAATGCCCTCATCTCCAAATAAAGCCCAAGCCAAAAGCAGTGAGCAGCAGTTTTACCTGAAACAAAGCAGGTGTTTCAAAAAAATTGAACTGAACCCTGGAAGCTAGCTCCATGTCATGAGCTGGTAAATTATTCATCAGCGATGAAGGAAGAGTAATTGTGCCAATACTGTTCTCAGGAGCTTGGGTTTCCAGAGAAACCTGAAAATCAAGTGGAAGATAAGAATAAATGTCTGGAGCTAGTATAATGAGATGGAAAACACATCTATTAAGTTGGTGCAAAAGTAATTGCAGTATGTGCCATTTTTTTTTTAAAAAAAGATAAAAACCACAATTACTTTTGCACCAGCCTAATAATTAAAACGCAGGGTTCTGTAAGGACCTGACCTGCGGCATCTCTATGCAAAATAGCTTCTACTTCTATTCCTCTGGTTGCTACTAAATTAAAGAAAGGAAGTATAGGCTGGGCACGGCGGCTCACACCTGTAATCCCAACACTTTGGGAGGCCGAGTCGGGAGGATCACCTGAGGTCAGGAGTTTAAGACCAGCCTGGCCAACATGGCGCAGCCCTGTCTCTACTAAAAATACAAAAATTAGCCGGGTGTGGTGGCAGGCGCCTGTAATCCTAGCTACCTGGGAGACTGAGGCAGGGGAGTATCTTGAACCCGGGAGGCGGAGGCTGCAGTGAGCCAAGATCGCACCAATGCACTCAACCCTGGGTGACAGAGCGAGACTCCATCTCAAAAAAAAAGAAAAAAAAGGAAGTGTAATAAGGAGAGGAGGCCTCCAAGAAGGAAAGGAAACATTTTAAGGATGCAAAGAAATAGTTGAAAAGTGCAAGATGACTGCAGACCCCAGGGAGACTGTAGCAGCAGACACACCAAGTTAGTGACCAGTTAGAGTCAAGTCCTCATAGAACCATGTGCAGTACACTTGTAAAGGGAAGACTATGAAAATTAAAAAGCGAGACTTGGTTTCCTTGGGTGTTTGTAGCCCCCAATCCCTCTAAATAGGTGGACAGAAAACACTAGAAACAGGAATGATACTCAGCACCACTATATACAGCAGTGCAGTTCTAACACTTGTTATAATATCGAAATGTGATGTTAAGTAGCTGACACCCCTGCCTACTCTCCCAATTGCCTAGAACCCTCTGCTGGATACCACCCATGCCACATTCCAAAATTCAGCTGCTAAAGGGTTAACGCAAGGTGTAAGGGGGACCTCTGACATCCTGTACCAGCCAAGACCAACGTCTTTTTTTTTTTTTTTGAGACGGAATATTACTCTGTCGCTCAGGCTGGAGTGCAGTGGTGCAATCTTGGCTCACTGCAACCTCTGCCTCCCGAGTTCAAGCAATTCTCCTGCCTCAGCCTCCTGAGTAGTTGGGATTACAAGTGGATGCCACCACGCCCGGCTAATTTTTGTATTTTTAGTAGAGATGGGGTTTCACCATGTTGTCCAGGCTGGTCTTGAACTCCTGACCTCCAGTGATCCACTTGCCTTGGCCTCCCAAAGTGCTGGGATTACAGGTGTGAGCCATGGCACCCGGCTTGATTCTATGGTGCCTCACTGTTCTAGATGCCAAATATTTTGAATATCACCCCTGACTATAAGCAGTAATTGCCTCAATCATGAAATACAATGGGGACTACAATCACACACAAGAGAATGTTTTTTTCTGCCATCAATTATGATGTACCTGAAGATTTGCAGGGTCTTGGGCCACAAAGGTAGTTGTGTTGAAACTACTGGCATTCACTCTGATCACAGCCAGAGCCAAAGAAGGGGAGGTTAGACTTATAGTCGTGTTTGAAAAGTTCAGCTGTAGGCCAATGTCATCCACTACTTTCAGCAATCTGTAAAGAAAGGTTGGCAGTTTATTATTTATTTATTTATTTATTTTGAGACGGAGTCTCGCTCTGTTGCCAGGCTGGGGTGCAGTGGCGTGATCTCGGCTCACTGCAACCTCTGCCTCCTGGGTTCAAGCAATTCTACTACCTCAGCCTCTCAAGTAGCTGGGACTACAGATGCACACCACCACACCCAGCTAATTTTTTGTATTTTAGTAGAGACGGGGTTTCACCATGTTGGCCAGGATGGTCTCGATCTCCTGACCTCGTGATCCACACGCCTCGGCCTCCCAAAATGTTGGGATTACAGGCGTGAGCCATCGCGCCCAGCCTTGTTTTTGTTTTTGTTTTTTTTTTTTTTTGAGACAGAGTCTCACTCTGCCTCCCAGGCTGGAGTACAGTGGTGCCATCTTGGCTCACTGCAACCTCCACCTCCTGGGTTCAAGTGATTCTCCTGCCTCAGCCTCCTGAGTAGCTGGGACTACAGGCACGCATCACCATGCCTGGCTAATCTTTGTATTTTTAGTAGAGACGGGGTTTCACCATGTTAGCCAGGCTAGTCTCAAACCCCTGACCTCAAGCGATCCGCCCACCTCAGCCTCCCAGAGTGGTGGGATTATAGGCATGAGCCACAATGTCTGGCCTCAAGGTTGGTAGTGTAGATTTGGCAGTCCCATCTGTCTCCTCATTCTAAGCAGAATATAGAGTAGCAACCTGAGAAACCATGATGTACCTGGTACTTGGGAGTAAAAGACTTGGTGATATTAATCATGTGAGCAGCATCTTTATCTTTGGAGGGTCCCCTCTTACCACCACTTCAGTTTGCGAAGTCGTACCTTTGAGCCAGAGGGGCCAGCATGTCAGGCGGGGAATGAAGGAGTCTGCTGACTTGGTTGATCATTTCTCCTGCGAGGTTAGGCTCCAGGCTGCCCAAGGACAGAGCCTTCTCCATCTGCAACACTTGGTTCTCAAGATCAGAAATACTGCTGGTGTTGACGATGTCTATATCAAAGAGCCAAATCGTGTTATGAACACACAATGGAAAACCCACTAATAAAGATAAACGTACATAGACCCTGTGATATGGCAAACTCACTCCTGGGTATTTGCCCCAGATAAATACAAACATATGTCTTAGGAAGACTTGTTCATGAATGTTTATAGTGGCCTTTTTCATAATAGTCCCAAACTAGAAACAACCCGAATGTCCATGAACTGGAGAATGGATCAACAAACTATGGTACCTCCATACAGTGAAATATTATTCAGCAATAAAAAGGAATTAACTCTAAATACACACAATGGCATGGGTGGATCTCCAGTTTTCCAATACATTATGCTAAGTGAAAGAAGCCAAACTCAGAAGGCCACATACTAAGTGAGTCTCTTCATATGATATTCTAGAAATATCCAAAAACCTGTATGGAAACAGATCAGTGGTGGCCAGGGGCTGGGGGTGAGGGGATTAGGTTTTGACTTCGAAGGGACACAAGGGAACTTTGGGAGTAGTGGGAAACTTATGTATCTTGATTATGATGGTGGTTACGTGACTGTGGGTGTTTCTAGCTGCACAGAACTGCAAAAATTTGATTTATCCATAAAATTGGATACATTTTACTGTATGCAAATTTTACTTCAATAAATCTAAAAAATATAAAGCACATCAGTGTATTTAGTATATACTCATATAAGCACAAGTATACTTGTATTTAATTTGTATCATGTGTACAGGATTTTATGTGGATTGCTGGAAGCTCTTTTGTGAAAAAGAGAATATTATGGGCTGGGCACGGTGGCTCGCGCCTGTAATCCCAGCACTTTGGGAGGCTCTGAGGCAGGTGGATCACCTGAGGTCAGGAGTTCTAGACCAGCCTGGCCAACATGGGGGAACCCTGTCTCTACTAAAAATATTTAAAAAATTAGCCACGTGTGGTGGCATGTGCCTGTAGTCCCAGTTACTCGGGAGGCTGAGGCACAAGAATCGCTTGAACCCAGGAGGCAGAGGTTGCGGTGAGCCGAAATTGCGCCACTGCACTCCAGCCTGGGTGACAGAGTGAGACTCTCTCTCTCTCTCAAAACAAAAAAGAATATTATGAAAGCTGGACTATCACCTGTAAGTCTGATTTTTAATAGGGAAACAATGATACAAACCTGTCTTTAACAACAGACAACTCTTAATTTCACCACTTAACATCCTATTATTTTGCCTATTCCCGTCAAATCTTTATGCATGTGTATTTACACTGTTATAAACATGGTGTGCAAACTATTTGTTGTTGGGCTATTTTCACCTCACATCAAGACTTGAAAATGCCCCCAAGTTTCTGTATATTTCTGTTTCTGTTCTAATGACTTACATGGTCGCATAATAGTCATTGTGTTACAGTAGCATATCTTATTTAATCATTCCTGTCTTCTGGAACCATTACGTTTATTCTAATTTTTAGCTCCTGGGTAACACCTCAATCTGTATCTTTTATGAATATGTCACTTTGCTTCTTGTTGCCCCAGGAATACATAGGCACCAGAGGCCACCTTGATAGTGTTTTGTGTAGCCTGTTAGGCTGAGTCTAGGGATCACTGGGAATTAGCTTTGGGAAGGTGGGCATCTTAGGCCCAGGCTAATGAACTTCAATTTTACTGTATTCTTCATCAGCCATTGGACCTTCCTTTGACTACAGCCCCAATGCTTTTCTAATTTGGCTGAAAATATTTACATTTATAAAAAATTATTGGCTGGGCACAATGGTTCACACCTATAATCCCAACGCTTTGGGAGGTTGAGGTGGGAGGATCACTTGAGCCCAGGAGTTTAAAACCAGCCTAGGCAACATAGCAAGACCCCAAAGCTACCAAAAAAAAAAAAAAAAAAAGAAACAATTTAAAAAACTTTACTGAAGAGAGAGCAGTGCAAATTTGAAGAAATATGAAGTCATTTGGCAGAAGCTCCTCATCTCCTGGTGATGCTGGCACCAGGGTGGAGGAGGTGGGTACCAAAATCAATCTAATGTCACCAAAAACTTGGCTTTGCCTCCCCCATCCTCCAAATTCTAGAGGAAGACCTGCCTCTTACTCATGGAACTGAAACTTCAGTGTATCCAGATTTCTCTCAGCTTCTTTCCCTCTTGCCTTTATCTCTGTACCACTAAGCCCACTTTGGACCCTGGAGGCCTTGGCGGTTTCCACAGCATTCTCACGTACACCTTCATTCTCAGCCTCATGCAGTTAGTGTGATGATTTTGATCCTCGCATAGAACAGGCGGAGGCAGAAGGAGCTTGTTCCAGATTACACTGTCTGCGAGGGCCCGTGCGGACCCAAGCCTGGGTCTTCACAGTGTTTCTCCCCTCCTACCACTACCTTGGCTCAGTCCCAGCTCTGTCACTCTGTGACTGACTGATTTTCAGACCTGCCAATTTTTTCTTTTGTCTTCTGTCTAAGCTGAGCTGCTATGTTTAATAGATCAAAAGTTTACTCTTCAGGGTGTTGAAAACAGTGTTCCAACCAACTTTTGTAGGAGAAAGAAACCTAGAAAATCTCCAACTCCATCAAATGAGATCTGTGCTTGCCCTTTAGAGCTATTTCTCCATTATCTTGGTCAAAACAATGGAACTCAGCCACAGCCAAGAAGCAAAGTGACAACTGCATGAAAGATACCGATACCTGGGAGCTAAAAAGTAGAATAAACTTAATGGTTTCAGAAGAGAGGAATGATTAAATTAGATATTGATTAAATTAGATATGCCACCTCAACACAATGACTCTTATGCAACCATGTAAGTCATTAGAACGTTAGAATCCCGAAAGGAAAGCTCTAGAAATCAAGCGAACATCATACAAAGAAAGGCTCAACATGGTCTTATCATAGATGTCTTGATTGGCAGATTGGCCGCTGTTCAAGTGACATTTACCTGTCTGGACAGGAGGTGCGCTGGTAGTGTTGACATTCGCAGGGGCAGACACGGTGGGAGAGGAAAATGAGGCTTTCACAGGAGGTGGGGTGCCGGAGACATGGGTTTGGGGCATAGGGGAAGAGATCGTTTCAGACTGTGGGGGCATGTCAATGGCAGGGCTGGAAGCTATGGGAGCTGAAGGCTGGGGTGAAAGGGGTTGAATCTCCCCTATTGGAGAGGGAACATTGTGGGTCACAGGTGAATAATCTGGAGGCTCAGCAAAAGAGGTAGCTTTGGGGACCTGGGAAAGCACAGTGGCCCGAGGCACCACTGGGATGGATTGGCTGGAAGAAAATGGTGGGCCACGTGGATGGTCAGCAAGACAGACAATGGGATCCTGCAGGTCACTAAAGGAACAAATCAGAGAGATACATGTGAGACACGAATGAGCTACAGAGGGGGCAAGTCTTTCCCCTCTGGCAATCATCTGACACCGTCAAGTTGACGTAGTTACATCAGGGACATGACACTTCCAGCCTCTGCCATTTCACACCCTCTGTGCACCTGCCACTATCCCCCAGCCCCTGCCCACTTCTACCACCTACTTCCTGGGAGAGGAATGGGCAAGGAGAGATGCTCTTCTGTGACTCCCCAGTTCACTGCTGCTCTGTGGCTCTGTGTCTCATGGTCACTCAATTGAGGGAATCTTCTCTGTGCTCCCGGGTGAGGGGAACTGCGAAATGTCTCGTGACCCAACTGGTTTTCATATACTAGGAATCTGTCTTAATCAACTTTACACTGCTATAGCCTGGCATAGTGGTAGCTGACCCATGGTAACTGACCAAGAAATGTTGGTTGAATGAAAACAATGAATCAAGCTGGGGCAAAAGAGGTGGTCTACAGCAGCTGTGTCTTCAAGGTTCCTTTAGCTCAGTGGTTCTCAACCTTGGCTGTGCATGAGAACTACCCAGAACATTTTTTTTTGAGACAGAGTCTCACTCGTCACCCAGGCTGGGGTGCAGTGGCGTGATTTTGGGTCACTGCAACCTCCGCCTCCTGGGTTCAAGTGATTCTCTTGCCTCAGCCTCCTGAGTAGCTGGGACTACAGGCACCTGCCACCATGCCCGGCTACTTTTTGTATTTTTAGTAGAGATGGGGTTTTGCTATGTTGGCCAGGCTGGTCTCGAACTCCTGACCTCCGATGATCTGCCCGCCTCAGCCTCCCAAAGTGCTGGGACTACAGGCGTGAGCCACTGTGCCTGGCCCAGAACACTTTTTAAAACATATGTGTATATAGATTTCTATGGCCCACTCCTCTGTGTTTGATTCAGCTGGTCTTGGGATGGGGCATATGTATTTTCTAAACTCTCTGGTGATTTTCATGGGCATCAAAGGTGGAGAAGTCCTCACCTACTCTCTGGCACAAGATCCATCAGTCTTGAGAGATCTAGGGAGGAACAACTAGAGGAGGAGCAACAAATTATTACCCAGGGAATATTTACTCAAGGAAGCCTCTGATCGATCTAGTGTCAGATGGAGACTTAGAACACCAACAAGAATGTGTTCTTAGAGCTTCTCTAGGGTGAGAAGAGGGAGGAATATTAGGTCAAGGGGCCTAAAGCAAGTCACATCTATAAAAAGAAAAGCCTGCTTGGTCCAGTCTGGCTGGTCACTTGGCCACAGGCCTCCCTGCATCCCCTGAGGTTCGGGGCAGTGAGGATAAAGGGTGTCAGACAGTCAGAAACATCATGAGTCAAAAAGCCTAGACTTGGCTGGGCACGATGGCTCACGCCTGTAATCCCAACACTTTGGGAGACCGAAGCAGTGGATCACCTGTGGTCAGGAGTTTGCGACCAGCCTGGCCAACATGGCGAAACCCTGTCTCTACTAAAAATACAAAAATTAGCCAGGCGTGGTGGCGGGTGCCTATAATCCCAGCTACTCGGGAGGCTGAGGCAGGGGAATCACTTGAACCCGGGTAGCGGAGGTTGCAGTGAGCCAAGATTGTACCACTGCACTCCAGTCTGGGTGAAAGAGCGAAACTCTGTCTCAGAAACAAACAAACAAACGAACAAACAACCTTCACTAGGGCTCCAGCTTTCACTACTCCTGTGGACAATTTACCCAACATCTCTCAGGCTCCATTCCCTAAACTGTACACTGTAGCAACCCACCTGGCCAAGTTGGGGTAAAGGTGCTTTGCAAAGTATACATTAAATTTTCTTCAGCTTATCTGGGGGCCTTCAGAAGGCCCCGTTCACTGGGCTCAACTGTGAAGAGGTTGCCTTCTACTCCTGTCATTTATGCTAGTCAGAGCCCTCCATCCACTGTGAGGCACACAGGGAAGCGGCAGAGCAGTGGTGGGCAATGCCAGCAGTACATCTGAACCCCTCAGAGTACCTCGGCACCGATGCCTGGGCTCCCACTCCAAACCAGCTGACCTGGAACCTCTGGCGGTGGGCGCAGTGCCCATTTTAATGCATGGCATTTTAATGTGCTTCTTTACTGCGGTGTAGCCTGCATAAAGTGTACTAATCTTAGATTTAGAGCTTGACGAATTTTATATATAATCACCACCTAGATCAAAGCAGAGCATTTCCAGCACCCTAGAAGGCCACCTTGACACATCAGTATGTTTTAAAAATACCCCAGGTATTTCTAATGTACAGTTAAACCTAAGAACCAACATATTAGAAAGACCCTGGGTGGGCATCTAATTCTAGCCCAGTGGTTCTCGAACTTGGCTGCACATTAGAACCACCCCACCCAGGAGTTTTTAAAAACTGGGAAGCCCAGGCCACATCCTACACCAGTCTCTGAGGGTGGGAGGCAGGCATCGATGTATTTTTGTTTTTATTTTTTATTTTTTATTATTTATTTATTTATTATTATTATACTTTAAGTTTTAGGGTACATGTGCACAATGTGCAGGTTAGTTACATATGTATACATGTGCCATGCTGGTGCGCTGCACCCACTAACTCGTCATCTAGCATTAGGTATATCTCCCAGTGCTATCCCTCCCCCCTCCCCCCACCCATCGATGTATTTTTAAATTCATTCATTCATTCATTCAGAGACAGGGTCTTGCTTTATCACCCAGGCTGGAATGCAGTGACATGATCATGACTCACTGCAGCCTCCACTCCCCAGGCTCAAGTGACCCCTCCTACCTCAGTCTCCCAAGCAGCTGGGACTACAGGTGTACATCACCCTGCCCGGCTAATTTTTAAAAACTGTTTGTAGAGACAGGGTCTCACTATGTTGCCCTGGCTGGTCGCGAACTCCTGGCCTCAAGCAATCCTCCCACCTCGGCCTCCCAAAGTGCTGAGATTACAGGCGTGAGCCACCATGCCCAGCTGCATCAATGTTTTTAAAACGCTCCAGAGGATTTCAACATGCAGCCAGGATTGAGAACCACTAGCACTGCTCTACAGTCTCTATACAGACCCTCGGTGCTCAAAGTGGGGTCCATGAACCAGCAACACTGGCTTCACCTGAGGAGCTTGTCAGAAATGCAGACTTTCAGGCCCAGGCCTTACTGGATCAGAATCTGCATTTTAACAAGATCCTGAGTGATGGATGTGCACGGTGATATTTGAGAAGTGTTGATCCAGTCCATTTCCTAATTTTACAGAGCTCTAACTCACTTCTTCATTTGATCTGAGATGCTGAAGGTAAAAAAGCATCTGCTCTGGAACACGGATACACAGCTAGTTAATGACTGAGCCCTAACTGGACATCAGTTTCACATCCTGACCCCTTTTCTATTCCTGTTTCTTCTTCTTAACCACTAGGGGCAGCCACTAGGGGTCAGTGGGGCTGCGTCAAAAGAGGGATGCTCTTCTGATCCGATCCCAATGCTTCCAGAAACTCTATCCCCAAAATGGGGCTCAATGCTCCAGCTTAATGGGGCATGTGAAGCTGAATGGGGCATGTTACTCTTTACTTTCTATTGCAGAAAATCCTGCTACAAATCCTTAACCAAAGACTTTTACCTGTTCCTCAAGGTCCAACGTTTTAATATTAGTATATCCCAGAAATCTGGCCCACAAAGGGCAGACAGGCTACACTTAGCCTTCTCTTCCCATCTGAGAAGCTACACAGATTTTTTTAAGTCCTTTTTTTCCAAATACAATTTTTATCTGATTGTAGAAGAATATAGAAAATGCTGCAAAGTAAGAAAGAAAAGAAAAAGTAAAAAAAAAAAACAAACAAAACTCATAATGCCAGCAGGCAGGTCACTCATGGGGAACCACAGTGAACATTTTCATTCCTGTCCTCCCTGTTTTTTTCTATGTATACACCTGTGGTCACATCATGTGTGACTTTCAGAGTCTTTTGCTGTTTTGGAGCACCCATCTCCCAGTTTCCCTCCATTGGAGCAATGATTTTAAGGCATCAATTCTCAACTTTGGTTGCACATTAGAATCGCCAGCAGGGCTTTTATTTTTATTTTTATTTTTATTTTTTTTGAGACAGCGTGTTGCTCTGTTGCCCAGGCTGGAGTGCAGTGGCATGAACATAGCTCACTGCAGCCTTGAGTTCCTGGGCTCAAGTGATTCTCCCACCTCAGACTACAGGCACGTGCCACGATGCCCAGTTTTTTGTTTGTTTGTTTGTTTGTTTTTTTTTAATTTTTTAGTAGAAATGAGATCTCACCCAGGCTGATCTTGAACTCTTGAGCTCAAGCAGTTCTCCTACCTGGGCCTTCCAAAGTGCTGAGATTACAGGCGTGAGCTACCTTGCCTGGTCCAGAAGGGCCTTAATGCCTAGGCTATATCCCAGGCCAATTAAATCAGAATCTCTGAGCCTGGTGACTGGGAATCAGTATTTTTTTTTAACTTTTTATTGGAACTAATTTTAGGTTTACAGAAATACTATAAAAACAATACAAACAGCTCTGTATACCTCCCACGCAGCTTGGTCACCCAGTGTTAACATCTAACATCCAGAATTAGACCCAAATGTCTATCAAAATTTAGTATAAGACAAAGGTGACATCTCAGATCACTGGGGAAAAGATGAACTTTTTCGTATTTAACTACATAAAATTGTTTCAAAATTTCCATGACAAAAAACATGATAAAGTCAAAAGACAACTAAAATACTGGGAGAAAATATTTGCAACATATACCATAGATATGCATATAAAGAGCTAATATGCACAATATATGAAGTACTTTTTTTTTTGAGACGGAGTCTTGCACTTTCACCCAGGCTGGAGAGCAGTGGCGCAACCTCGGCTCACTGCAAGCTCCGCCTCCCAGGTTCATGCCATTCTCCTGCCTCAGCCTCCTGAGTAGCTGGGACTACAGGCGCCCGCCACCATGCCCGGCTAATTTTTTTTTGTATTTTTAGTAGAGCTGGGGTTTCACCGTGTTAGCCGGGATGGTCTCGATCTCCTGACCTCGTGATCCGCCCACCTTGGCCTCCCAAAGTGCTGGGATTACAGGCGTAAGCCACCGTGCCCGGCTAAAGTACTCTTAAATAATGGATCAGATATCAATTAGAAAAAATACAGAAAAGACATGTACATGTAATTCACAAAAAGATACAAAACAGCCCCCAAATATATGAAAAAATGTTCAGACTCTGCCTTAGTAAGGAAATGTTGATTAAAGTAACACTGAGCTACCATTTCTCACCTATCAGACCGTCAAACATGTTTTTAAAATGACAAAACATTTAGTTGGTGAGTCTTGGGAGTCAGTGTTTTTAATGCTCCCCAGGTGATTCTAATGTGCAGCTAAGATTTCAAACCACTGGTTTAAGGCAGTGGTCCAAGTGGAAACTTCATACTGCAGAAAACTGCATTTTCCCTAAAATTGAAAGCCTTCTTTACTCCCAAAATTCTAAAACTCCTTAGCTAGCATGGTGATTTTTTTTTTTTTTTTTTTAAGGAGAAGGGTCAGCATGTTTGTTACATACCACTGAAGCTTTTCCAACTCTTCTGGGGAGGAAGGGCAGGGTATCCTGACAGAACAGCAGCAGTGTTCTAGGAGAGACAAAAGGAAAAGGAGTAAGAAAAATGCACGGTCAAGAACAAAGCAAGGTGGCAGCTCAGAACCATTAAGTATCACGGTTCCTACACTGCATTTAAAAGAGCAATTGTCTAAAACAGGTGATAAAATAGATTGGACGCCATTGTATTGACAATTATATACTGTATACATAGTAGTGCTCAAAAATATTTATTGATTTTTTGGGGGTTATATGCATGCAGCACTAATCACTCTTCAGCAACTCCTAAGAGGAATTCACAAGGAAACACATCTTGGAGGACATGATGTTAAGTGAAATAAGCCAGGCACAGAAAGACAAATACCGCATGATCTCACTCAGATGTGGAATCTAAAAAGTCAAACTCATAGAAACAGAGAGTGAAATGCTGTTTACTGGGGGTCAGAGGCAGAGGGATTGGGGAGATGTTGGACAAAGGACACAAAATTTCAGTTACGCAGGAGGAATAAAAGAGATCTATTGTACAACATGATGACTACAATTAATTAGAATGTATTGTATGCTTGAAAAGTGCTTAGAGAGTAGACCTTAAATGTTCTTACCACAAAAAATGATAGGTATGTGAGGTAATGCAAATGTTAAATAGTTGATATAGCCATTCTGTGATGTATATCAAAACATCACATTGTACACCACAAATATGCACACTTTTTGCTTGTCAATTTAAAAAGTGGACATATCCCAGTAGCAATCCATTGAACATTCCAAAAAGAATTCTCCTTCTCAACAGGGTTTATCATATTATCAAATAAGACATATTAAAACTTTATTAGCGGGGAGGGAGAGCATTAGGACAAACACCTAATGCATGTAGGGCTTAAAACCTAGATGATGGGTTGATAGGTGCAGCAAACCACCACGGCACATGTATACCTATGTAACAAACCTGCACGTTCTGCACATGTATCTCAGAACTTAAAGTAAAATAAAATAAAAAACTTTATTAGCAAGCAGGAAAAATAACCTTCTAGGGCTCTTTAAAAATTGCCCAATGGACAGGTGTGGTGGCTCATGATCCCCAGCACTTTGGGAGGCCGAGGCAGGAGGATCACTTGAGCCGAGGAGTTCAAGAACAACCTGGGAAACATAAGGAGACTTCATCTCTATTAAAAATGTTAAAATTAGCTGGGTGTGGTGGTGCATGCCTGTAGTCCCAGCTACTCGGGAGGCTAAGGTGGGAGAATCACCTGAATCCGGGAAGTGGAGGCTGCAGTGAGCCATGATTGTGTCACTGAACCTGGTGACAGACTGAGACTCTGCCTCAAAAAAAAAAGAGAGAGAAATTGCCCAAGGACAAAGGAGTCAAAACAGAAAGCTGTAACATATGTAAATTTATTAATTACATTTTCAATTAGAAAAATAACACATTAAAATCCACATGAAGATTAATGCAGCAATAATAGACAACTTACCCATTGGTCGAATCTTTACTCTTTCCAAAGCAGCTATTACAGCACATGCATTCATTGTATTATTCAGTTTTATTGTGAATGTACAATTTAATGTGCTGTAAGGAGAAATATACATAACCAGAATGTTACTAAATGGGAAACCTACTTACATATTTGTAATTGCTTTTGCAAACTTAGAGTGAGGAAAGGGGACACTGATACTGTTAACTTGTGATGTCACCCCAATAAGCTTGTAAATACCCATTTACCACGGTCTGAATTTTACCCAAAAAGACTTTATATTAAGAGACATTTATGGAGGTTCACATTCACAGAGGTTGCAAACCAGAGACTCTCTGACCACACATAGGTGCTGGCTCATTTTGCCTGTCTACACGATGAACAGGCAGGGGTGAAACTTGGTTGCAGAGACAAGCAAGCACCTTGACACCTTTAATCTCACCCCCAAAACACTAGCTGGCCACTTGCCTGGTGTCCATAAACATTTGAGTTTCCATCATGGGTGCCCTTTCACATACCAGTCTAGATGAACATCAAGATCTTTTTTTCTTTTTTTGTTTTAGATGGAGTCTCGCTCTCTTGCCCAGGTTGGAGTGCAGTGGCATGATCTCAGCTCACTGCAACCTCCCCGCCTCCCAGGTTCAAGCGATTCTCCTCCCTCAGCCTCCTGAGTAGCTGGGATTACAGCCGTGTATCACCACACCCCACTAATTTTTGTATTTTCATTAGAGATGGGGTTTTGCCATGTTGGCCAGTCTAGTCTCAAACACCTGACCTCAGGTGATCTGCCCACCTCGGCCTCCCAAAGTGCTGGGATTACAAGTGTGAGCCACTGCACCCAGCCACATCAAGACCTTTCAAATCCAAAATCTTTCTGGGGCCGGGTGCGGTGGCTCACACCTGTAATCCCAGCACTTTGGAAGGCCGAGGCAGGTGGATCACTTGAGTCCAGGATTTTGAGACCAGCCTGGCCAACATGCTGAAAACCTGTCTCTACTAAAAATACAAAAAGTAGCTGGGTGTGGTGGTGGGTGCCTGTAATCCCAGCTACTCAGGAGGCTGGGGCAGGGAGAATCACTTGAACCTGGGAGGTGGAAGTTGCAGTGAGCCGAGATCGTGCCATTGCACTCCAGCCAGGGCAACAGAGTGAGACTCCATCTCAAAAAAAAAAAAAAATCTTTCTGGGAATTCTATCTAGATTATTAGATAGCTAAGAATTGAAGACATTCTCTCTGTCCTTTCTACTTTAGCCTTGGTTTAGGTGAAAGAAAATTAGTGTTGCAATAACGAAAAGAGGTCAGTGAAATGAACTAAATACGTACAGTGGACAGGGAATACAATTTCATTGCCCTTATTTGTACCAATGAATA
The DNA here is from genome assembly GCF_000001405.40 of Homo sapiens. Taxonomy (NCBI): domain Eukaryota; kingdom Metazoa; phylum Chordata; class Mammalia; order Primates; family Hominidae; genus Homo; species Homo sapiens. Next base: position 19,022,474 of record NC_000023.11, read on the forward strand.
GTTTAATGAGTAGAAACTCTCATTTTCTAGGACTTTGACTGTCACAGAAGGCTCGGGGTTCAGATACTGAGTGTATTGCCCTGTAAGCCATCGGTTTACACAGCCAGGATAGCCAATGGACACAATTCAAAATGATAATCTGTGCAACCCCAAATAATTGTTGGACAAGCTGTGATTCACCCCTGTGTGCATGTGCTTCTTAATTTGTTCTTTTCTCTTTCTTTAAAAAAAATTTTTTTTTCAGACAAAGTCTCACTCTGTCACCCATGCTGGAGGGCAGTGGCGCAATCTCGGCTCACTGCAACCTCTGCCTCCCAGGCTCAAGTGATTCTTGTGCCTCAGCCTCCTGAGTAGCTGGGATTACAAGAGCCCGCCACCATGCCTGGCTAATTTTTGTATTTTTAGTAGAGATGGGGTTTTGCCATGTTGGCCAGGTTGGAATCCAACCCCTGACTTCAAGTGATCTGCCCACCTCAGCCTCCCAAAGTGTTGGGATTACAGGCGTGAGCCACCACACCCAGCCATGTTCTTTTCTCTTTCTTTCCAATCTTTTCCTTCCCCCTCTTTCCTTCTTTTCCCAAGCTCCATGTTACATTCCCTCTTTTTGTTCTGGCCTTCACCCTGCCTGGACCACTGGGAGCCATTTCCTGGTTATATTGGTGGCCCTCGGGGCTAAGGACACTGATGACCCTTAGCCTTGTGGAACCGGAGGTAAATGGCCCGATACTACACACTTCTCTGTACTTTGTAAAGAAATGAGAAGATGGATATGACAGAGTGATCAGTGTTTAGAAAAATAAAAATATTTAAATCCAAAATGTCATTAATATGTATTTATTTTAGAGGACCCCCTTTGCATTTGCAATTTAACTAAGACTCCTTAATACTTTATTTCTCATAAATGGAGAAATTATATTTATGAAAGTATTAAAAATGACTGACCTTTGGGCCTCTGCTGTAGCACACATTATAAAGTAAGTCTGAAACAAAACAAAAAACACGTATACACATATATGTTACTTTGGGCAGTTGGAAATATCAGAAAAGAAGACCTAAGGCTAATCACAGAATTTTAGAATCACGAGAGCCCTTAGGGATTGTCCACTTCACATTCCTACCAGATTCCCGGCATATCATCAACGCTCTTCAGGCCATACAATCTCTGTGAGGTCACTATTACACAAGGAAGCTCATTTTCTTGGAGTTTATATTTTAAGAAACTCTTGGTGTTACATGAAGGAAAATCTACCTCCTTATAATGTCTACCCATTGCTTCTAGTTCTGATTTTTGGAATAAAAAAACTAGTCCATTCATTCTCTTACACAACAAATTTGGGAGAATTTGAATACATATCTCCCAGGAATGCAGAACCCTATGCTTTCCCCCAGGTCATAACAATAATTATAAACAAGCTACAGGGTGCACTATGATTACCTCACTTAGGGTTTGCAGGGTTTTGTTGAGCTCTGAGCGTCTGTAATAAAATGAGAGAAATTGACATTAAGGAGACCATTAGTGATATTAAATTGAAAACATGTTAGATTTTAGCAATTAAATCAAGCACATGGTATACATTGCTTATGGTGTTCACTTTGAAGAAATAGAGAGTATAATAAGAGAGTCCTATGTGGCAAGAAAATAAATAATTTATATGACAAGGGAAACCAACCAGACAGGAGCTATGTCAGTTCTAGCCAAAAGTGAGTTATAAATTATGATTGGACAATTTTGTTATTCATTAGGCTACTGCAGCCTCAGGCAGCTTCTTCTGGCAGAGGGTCAGAGGGAGAGCTAGCCCCAGGCAAAAATTTTCGAGAGGGGCAGGCCACTCACCCTGGGGACCTTGTGCTTCTGATTTCTTCCTCATCCCGTCTCCCACTGACCTGGTCTGCCCTCTCTGGCCCTCTCCAACGCTGCCTTCCCCTCCTCACAACTCCCCCTTAGGAAATTCTCTCTTTCCTCTCCTCCAATCCCACTCCAACCATGCTTTCATTTCTTCAAAGTGGCAGAGCTTCACATGAAGTTGGGATGAGAGGAATCCAGTTAAAGAATTCATTCTAAGGCGGTAGTTCTCAAACAGGGGAGAGTCTGCCCTCCAGGGGATATTTGGCCATGTCTGGAGACATTTTTGGTTGTTACGCTGAGGAGGGTGCTACTGGCATCTGGTAGAGAGAGGCCAGGGATGCTGTTAAACACCTTACAATGCACGGGATACCCCCACAACAAAGAATGATCCAGCCTGCTGGAAGTCAAGAGTGCCAAGGTTGAGAAAACCTGCTCCAAGGAATGGTAGCATCAGGCAAGGTCTGGAAGGAAGAAGGGAAGGACCATGGCAATAGCTGCTAACTCCTCAAGCTGGCAGGAGCCATTCCTCCGTAACTGTGCTCAGAGACCACCTCCTGGGCTCAAGCGATCCTCCTGCCTCAGCCTCCTGAGTAGCTGGGACTATAGGCACATACCATCATGCCTGGCTAATTTTTTGTAGAGACCACGTCTCACCATGTTACCCAGGCTGGTCTCAAACTCCTGGGCTCAAGAGATCCACCTGCCTCGGCCTCCCACAGTGCTGGGATTATAGTCATGAGCCACCATGCCCCACCTACAGGTCACCTTCTTTCTGGGGGTTCCCCTATCCCTCCGCTGCAGTCCGGTTTAATTGCTCCTGCTGCTCTACATTCAGAGACTTAGAACATCCATCCTTTGGTACCCTATACAAGCCACCTTCAGTGCAGGGGTTGCACTGTATTGTTATTTGTTGCATCTTGTGTCTTCCCCACCAGATTCTAGAGCCCTGGTTCTCACAATTAGCCTCATGTTGGAAACATGCCAATGCTGGGTCTCAGCCCCTAAATACTGATTTGTTATGGAGCATGCCTGGGCACTGGGATTTTTGAAAGCTCCCAGGTGATTTTAATATGCAACCAGGGATGAGAAACATTGCTCTAGACTTGGTTTCCTATCTCAGAGAGTTGGGTTTATCCCTGTGGATCCCCAAGGCCGAGCACAAAGTAGGTGTTCAACAAATGCCTGGTGACCTTAAATGAACTCAGTTCTATTTCTAGTCTAGTAATTAAGAGTAATTACAAGTATGCCAAGTTGTATTCTAATTGTAAATTTGTGAGTTAAAAAAAAAAGTTTTGGCTGGGCACGGTGGTTCATGCCTATAATCCTAGCACTTTGAGAGGCCGAGGTGGGCAGAACACTTGAGGTCAAGAGTTTGAGACCAGCCTGGCCAACATGGCAAAACCCCGTCTCTACTAAAAATACAAAAATTAGCCAGGTGTGGTGCACATGCCTGTAATCCCAGCTACTCGGGAGGCTGAGGCACGAGAACTGCTTGAACCCAGGAGGGTGGAGGTTGCAGTGAGCCGAGATGGCACCATTGTATTCCAGCCTGGGCAACAAAGTGAGACTCCATCTCAAAAAAAAAAAATTATTCTATTGCCCAGCTAAAGTTTCAGATCCTTCCAGAGCATTGATCTTTTCTGCTTTACATTTCACATATATAAATGAATAGTTAGAAAAGCTAGATTTCATCAGGAGGTCAAAGAATAGGCATAAAGGACATGAATAACACCCCACCCCACTCCCAGTTCTTACTAGTTGAACTTCTTAACCACTACAAACTGAGTAGGCCCTAGGGATGTTTGCTATCTGCCAAATGCTTCTCTCTGCCTAGGCATTGCTGAATCATTAGATGTAGCCAGGTCAAAAAGCTAATTTGAAAGATGACCCATAAGAAGAGGGATTTGTTTTGTTTTGTTTTTAAATGAAAGATTTTTCTTTTCAGTGTCATCACAGACACTACAGCAGATTTGCTTCAAAAGTTTATAACAATCTCATTTGTGAGGCAGTAGCAATGTTGAGAGTAGATGAATTTTGTCTCTGATGCTGCTTCACTGGCTGCTATGAGGGCATAAACGTGAAGTTGACCCTTTTGGTGACGGACACAGTAAGATCATCTCCTGGCCTAGGCCATCCTGGTGGCTGACATTTTGACTTACTGTTTAACTGGGGGCACTTTTTTTTTTTTTTTTTGAGACAGAGTTTCGCTCTTGTCACCCAGGCTGGAGTGCAATGGTGCAATCTTGGCTCACTGCAACTTCTGCCTCCCAGGTTTAAGCAATTCTTCCGCCTCAGCCTCCCGAGTAGCTGGGATTACAGGCGCCCACCACCACGCCCGGCTAATTTTTGTATTTTTAGTAGAGATGGGATTTCACCATGTTCGCCAGGCTAGTCTTGAACTCCTGCCTTCAGGTGATCCACCTGCCTCGGCCTCCAAAAGTGCTGGGATTACAGGGGTTAGCCACCGCACCCGGCCAAGGGGCATCTGTTTGTAATGCATTTCTCATTGTCTGTGCTTGTCCTTCTAAGCCCAGGTCTACTTAACAAAGACTTTTCTCTGACTTATGAATCACTGATGCTTCATGAAAGCATCAACAAATCATATATTTGGAGTCCCACCTTGGACTCCTCTTTCAACCATGCTGGATATCAAATCATATTAAAACTCAAATGCTAATTCAAATGAAGCTGTTATATAACTTCAGCGCATCAAAGAGCCTCATGGGGATAATAGTTGATGTGATTATGGTTAATCTGCAAGGAAGTCAAGAACCAATTGGCTCTATAACCTTTGGGCTGGTCTCTTTCCCATTCTCAGTTTTCAATTGCAAACATGGCTCAAAAAGTATCCTTCCATAGTTGATGTCTGCAGTTTCAAATCAAACGGCAGATTACTCACTTTAATTCACTTAGAGACAGGACTCCAGTTAAGGTGCCATTCGTTATATGTTGATTCTGTTAGAAGCATAAAATCATTAAGAATATAACAAACATTGTTTTGTTTTTTCACTCTCTAACAGTAAGTTGTTCTTCAGTTTTATCAGCCACTCAAATAACTATACCCCAAAGACTGAATCCTAACTGTAAGGAACATTGTCTATCTAAATGATCAAGCTGCAGTTTTATAGAAAAGGGAGGGCAAAAAGTGGTTCTTAAAAGTTAATCCATATTGGCTGAGCCTGTTTTTGTTTCATGTTTTCTTTAAAAAATATTCTAAGTCAGCAGCTCTGATGTGCTGATTTCTGTCTTTCTTTATTTCACGAGTTCCTCACAAAGAACACTATTAACATTCTTGTCACGAAAGGTCCCGGATCTAAGTAACAGACCCCAATGTAAAAAGGAAAACTTGATAGCAGCCATTGCTGTATTTCTAGCAATGAGCTCATTGCCTGGCACATAGTAGGTGCTCAGAAATAGTCATCGAATGAATGAACCACATTTGGCCATCCTCTGAACCAATCTAGGTTTTGGGAAGGCTGATACCACTGCATCAGAATCCCCCATGGGGCAAAGAGAATCACATTCAGAATATTATTCATAGATTCAATACACATATTTCTTGTTGCTAGGAGTTTCTAATATAATTTAAAATTTTAACTGGCAGTAGAATTGCATCACCTTAACATTCTTATTCAGCAGCAAGCCTATTGAAAACTAAAATATAGTTATTAACAAAATACCATGATTATTATGAATTCAAGCCCTCGCTACAAAGCTAGGGACTCAATTAACATATTTCATTTAAATTTGGTCATAACAATAAATATACCAAATATCATAAATAATCTGAACCTCAAACAAATGTTTAAATATAAATGAATTTGCCTTTTAAGATTGCAGTAAAAAAAATCTTTAAAACTTACCTGGGGAACAGTGCTTTCTTTATCATATTGAAACATGATCTCACCTCTAAAAAATGCTAAAAATAAATTTTCAAAAAGATATTTGAGACTTGTATCCTTATAGCTTGAGGATTAATACCACATACAAAAAGATTATCAAATTATAAAGTTTCATCAAATTGTTTTTATTCACATTTACTTTGTCAGTAAGTTACTCAACTATTATCAATATAATTTTCAGAAAATATGAACTGTAAATTTTATGTGGGAATTCAGAAAGAGAAAACTTGTCCCCTTGTTAAGAAATTTTATTCCTGGGGACTTTGACTCTATCTGGAAACAAATAAAATAGAGACTCCTAAACAGAAAGACGTGGTGTGCACTTCATAATCTATATGCAGGGGTGTCCACTCTTTTGGCTTCCCTGAGTCACATTGAAAGAAGAATTGTCTTGGGCCACATATAAAATACTCTAACGACAACTGATGAGCTAAAAAAAAAAAAGGCCATGCATAAGTCTCATAATGTTTTATGAAAGTTTATGAGTTTGTGTTGGGCCACATTCAAAGCTGTCCTGCGCCGCATGTGGCCCATGGGCCGCAGTTGAACAAGCTTGATCTCGTGAGCAAACTGGCCTTGTGAGCAATGGGGCAAGGATATCACATAAACTAGAGCCAGGGCTCAGCCAACGTTTTTGGTGATTGAGCAGGTAGTCAATATTTGAGGGTTTGCAGGCCATATGATCTATGCTGTAACTACCCAACTCTGCCATTGTAGCATGAAAGCAGCCATAGGCAATACGTAAATGAACAGGCATGGGCTGTGTTCCAATAAAACTTTATTTACAAAAACAGGCCATATTTGGACTATGGCTGGTAGTTTGCCAACCCCTGAGCTAGAAGGCCTCCTCTTCTCATCATCTTTTATTGTACCCCAAAGTACAACAACTTATTCCTGCTTAAAAATGGCCAAGAAGGCACTAGACCAGTGTTTGACATGATCTATTTCAGCAACTTTTCTACTAAGAACCTCAGTTTCCACATATCGATACTGAAATTTCAATTCATACAGTATGTAATTATTAAAAGATATTTGAGATCTACATAGACTTATCCATTTTTAAAAATCTTAGCTTTTAAATGATTATTTAAATTGTGTGTGTACGTGCATGCCAACACCCACAACGTCTCTGCCTCACATTCTTATTGATGAATATTGAGTTTCATAAATGTGCTGGGAGCACAGTGGTAGCAGAGCAACCAGGAAGCCAGCACCTTTTGACTATCAGCCTGACTCTTGGTCAGCTCCCACTTTCTTCACCAGCCTCCATTTTCCTTAATGAACCCAGATTGGAACCTGCAAGAAGTGAAGGTTTCTAGTTTCTGGCAGGGTACCATGGGGTTTCTGGTGCCAAAAACCCTGATGAGGTTGTTGTCACCGACACTAAAACAAACGGTCAATTCAGTCCCTTAATTGGGGAAAACATTACTCCAACCAGCTTTCTGGCATCTGTTACTCAAGATGACCAGTTTTTTTTTTTTTAACTACATGTTCAATTTTCAAACAGTTATCAAACATCATGTAGACACAACACTGAACTAGACATTAGTCACCAGCCCAAAACATAAGTGAAGCACAAAAATAATGACATTATGGGGAATTCGGTGAACGGAAGAGTCAGAGAGGAGGGAGAGAAGGAGGAGGAAAAGAGAAGAGAGTTATACAATATACGAAAATGAAATGTATCCAACACTTTGCTTTCTTTAATCAAAACCAGCTAATATTTTCCTCCTATATTCTACCTGGAACGTAGTATCAGCAGAAAAATGAGCAAATCTTATATTCACACAATAGAAAGTGTTTGTGAAACATTCTTTCAATAGGACATTTTCTTGTTTTCTAATTTATCCAACCTTATTTTACTTGAAATTGTTACCTATGTTTTTCAAACAAATTATTAAACTGTTAAAAGGAATGGAATAAAGAAAATATTCCTGTAATGATTGCTTATTACTATAATCACAATAAGACTTTCAGAACATAAAATACCTAGTTAACTTCCTCTTCTCGCTTCTCATGATCTCTGGCCAATTCTGATCTGCCACACAATATTTTTCTGTTTTTCACATTTGCTTTCATTGGTTTTAACAAGGAAGGGAGCCCAGAGAGCCAAACCAAGGTGAGAAAAGTGGTTGTTTCATTCCGTCTGGCCCATGGCAGAAGGGAAAATATTCCCATTTCAAAAATAGCATGTTCTCAAGGGATTTCCATCTCAATTTTTAAAAATAGCAAATGGTCTTAGTTAGAAATGGCAAAATACACTATGGACACTACTGGAATTAGCATCCACTTAAACTAGGTGTACTTGAGTTTTCAACATTCAACAGGCTGATCCGCTTTATTCTTAGCAAGACGTTATCCTGTTTCTAAGCTCTAATACTTAAGGCCCTATGGAAAAGCTTGACAGATTTCTATATAAGAAGTGACTTTCAATAATTATTAATGTCTTTATTAGTTATGTTCACAAATTAATTCTAAGGGTATTAGTTATGGATTTAAAGCTATAATGAAAAATATTTATTGTAGAGCTTTATGTCTCATATTAAGGAAGTTAATCCATCTTCTCACTAGGCAACGGGAAGATAATTTCAGCCAGATATAAAATTTGCTTTTGTTTTTATTAGGGACTCCTAGTAGCCAGGTGGCATGAAAAGAGGCAGCTCCAAGAGGCACATACCACATACTCAAAAGAAAAGAAAGTGAACCATTTATCTCTATGGAGGAAATTTATCTGGTAATGTGTAATGTACACAAGAACTAACCTGAGTCATTGCAAATAGATGACAAATTGCAGATATTTCTCTGGGGTTTGACGCCTGCAAAGAAAACACAACCCAGCTGGTTAAGCATGTCAATGCCCGTGTTTATGTGCTGCATTGTCAAGAGAATTCATAAACGTAGGCATCAAATGTGGACCAGAAATATTATAAGCTGGAATTAATTGGATGGATGAATTCCACAAAGACTAAAGAAATGAGTTTTCATTTGTTGGTCATTTGTCAGCTACGGAACTTAATTCTTTACTAATCTTTAGTATGTCAATATCTGATCCTTAACTCCTCCCTAAAATTTTTGACCCCTTCCCAATTAATCCCTCTCCTGTTCAGTATAAACAGAGCACCATGAACACAAACCAAGTAGAGACTTTAAATGGAATGGCCCTTAATCATAGATCCTCCTTCTTTTCCTATGTAGGGGAGTCTATGAACACTCTAATGTTAATCCTAGCTCTTTATGCAAATGTATGTATGAAATAACATTAATGTCATAATATTGTTTCATGGGCAAAAACTACAAAATTCAAAACATATTTGCTGAGCATTAACCATATTCTACAGGCTTTGGGAGTTTCCAGATATAGATCCTGCCCTCAAGGAGCATACAATCTAGTGGATGATACTAGCCAGTAAATAAAAAGCATTTTTTAATTTACTTATTAGTGAGGGCAAAATGGAGTGATGACCAGGACAACAGACCACACAGGCATACAAAGGAGACAGAGATGACTGGGAGATAAAATGAGCATCAGAACCAAAACTTTATACGTATTAACCTGAGAAACACTTTCTCCTTTGGTGAGAGGAGAAGTGTATCTCTTCTTCAATTTGAAAAGAACTCAAGGTTTACTTCTCTAAAAAGCCTTCCTTTATTAATTGCATCCTTTTGGCAAAGCATAAGAAATCCATAGTACATGGGAGGAGCAAATGCTGATAATGTATTAAACAAACTGCCAAGGGAAAAACTTGTTATATTAAGAAATATTTTTGTCTCCTTGTTAGGTCTTGTTTGGTCAGAATTATGTGTGCAATGCCCAACTGCAAGTTTATTTCCATTGCACATTACAAATCCTTAAATTCTTTTCTATGAGAAAACTAGTTTGGGTACAAACTAAAATTATAATTTGAGTTAGTGCATGTGATATGCTTTCTGCTAGTGTGATTTATTGATGTACAGGCATCATGCTTTAGCGAAGACACCTATAGCTATGAGTTTTGATTTTGTGAGCAAATTAAATTTAGGTACCCCAAATTACCAGATCTGTAGATTTTTATATTGTTCCAAAGCAGTGTTACCCACACCAAAAGAGAAATATTTCATTTCTTCTTCTGTCTATAAGCAAATATACTTGCTTATAGATAGAACTCACTATAACATATATATTATGCAAATATAGAATTTATAGATTTTATAATGGGTAGTTATGCTGTAAATGTCCTTTAAACCATTGCTGTATTACTTACTAAACTTTTCATTCGATCATCTCATCTTTTTCTAAATTTTAGCTGCAGCTCCGTTTCCAGTGATGCGTGTCTTCTTGCTGTTCATTCATACTGAGAATTTTGTTTTTCCTACTGCTAGCATTCTCATCTGTAATCTCCTCTATGTACATGGCCACAGGTCATTCCTTAAATCATGAGTGAGAAAACTTTCTAAAGGGTCAGATAGTAAATATTTAAGCTTTGTGGGTCATATGGTCTCTGTTGCAACCACTCGTGTTTTACGCAGCAGAAAAATAGCTATAGAGAATATGTAAGCAAAGGGGCATGGTAGTGTTCCAATAAAACTTTATTCACAAAAACAGGCAGTGAGCCCGATTTGGCCCATTGGTGATAGTTTGCCAACCGCTACTTGAAATCAAGCCTTTGTCAAGCATGTCTTGTGTGTGTAGTCTTGTATCAGAAACTTAAAAGTACACATTTTCTTTGATTTAAAAAGAATTTGGCCAGGTGCAGTGGCTCAGGCCTGTAATCCTAGCACTCTGGGAGGCCGAGGCAGGCAGATCACTTGAGCCCAGGAGTTTGAGACCAGCCTGGGCAACGTGGCGAAATCCTGTCTCTACAAAAAATACAAAAATTAGCCGTGCTTGATGGCACAAGCCTGCAGTCCCAGCTACTCAGGAGGCTGAGGTGGGAGGATCACCTGAGCCAAGGAGGTTGAGGCTGCAGTGAGCTATGATTGCATCACTGCACTGTAGCCTGGGCCACTGAGTGAGATCTTGTCTCAGGAAAAAAAAATTTGAGGTTCATTCCTCTAACTTCTTCATTAATTGCATCCCCCTCTACTCCTATGCCTCTTAACCATGTCAGTAATACTTGTATAATCATTGCCTTTATCTGCATGCATGTTCATGTTAGTTATCTATTTTTTTGCCTTGTCTCCACCCATAGACTAGAAGATTCTTGAGGGTAGGCTCTGTGTCTGATCATTATTATATAGCCCCAAACACCTAGTACAATTTCAGGTACCCAGTGCATACACATCTGTTTGTTAAGACCAGATTTTATCTTGAAAAGTTTGGAAAAAAGAGAAAGAAATTATAAACACCAGCCATTTGTTTAATTTTACTTTAGTTATAAAAAGGAAAGTCTTGATATTGATAATAAGTCATACCTGATGCATTGAAGGTTTTTACTATAGTGATTTTAGTTTTTTCTGCAAAGAAACAACTTAAATATTAGAGAATAATCATTGCTTGTTTTTTAAAAACAATTTGCCATGAGTATCATTTTAGTGAAGTGCTAAAAAAAAAGTCACACTGTTGACACCTTTAAGACACTATCGGTCATCTCAGCAGCAGAATGAATAGGAACCGCATCCACGGATCATGTAGCATTGGCACAGGGTGAGTCTGGGAGTTGGAGTTCCATGTTTACGCAGTTAGATCACACCCATTACACACCCCACTGCCTGTGTAATTCTACTTTACTTTCCACACACTGCTGCTAGACAAATGATGTGGACTTACACTTCAGATATGTAGAATTAAGCCACTATCGGGACCTTCAGGTGATAGGTTGTAAAAACAGGTAATTCAGAATAAAAATTAATGTGAAACAGTACACATGGGATGTAAAGTATTGCTATTATACAATCAAGTGTCTCGCTATCTTCTTTAGGAGTTAACATAATACTATCCCCATTGTACTGATAGAGAATGCTATTCTCAGAGAGGTCGAGATCATCCACCTATACACAATCACATAACACGCCCACAGCAGAACCAAGACTGTTCAAAGTGAGTGACTCACAGGCAAATATTAACATGCCCTGAAGAAGCAAACTTTAGAAATGTCTTCCAAACACGTTTTGGGGACAGAGCCCATGGTTCATTCCCCAGGTAACGGAGAAGCAGGTACAGAAATCTTTGCTGTAAAAATGGCCAATGGAAAGAGGCTGTGTTCAGGGCATAGATTTTCACCGAAGCTCTGTCACCTAGGGTGGATGGGCAAATTCTGAAGAAAAGGCCAAGCTCAGAGATTGGAAACACACTTAAGAATGATGATGTTATCCTGGCAGAAACTCATCAGTAACAAAGACACACAAATGAGGTTTCTGAAACTGTCAGGTTTCAATGTGTGACCCATGAGCCAATGATGGGTGGTAATTATGAAGGCTGATAGCATTTCACATTGTCATTAAGAATCTTTTAGGTCCGGGTGCCGTGGCTCACGCCTGTAATCCCAGCACTTTGGGAGGCTGAGGCGGGCGGATCACAAGGTCAGGAGATCGAGACTATCCTGGCTAACACAGTGAAACCCCATCTCTACTAAAAATACAAAAAATTAGCCAGGCGTGGTGGCGGGCACCTGTAGTCCCAGCTACTCGGGAGGCTAAGGCAGGAGAATGGCGTGAACCCGGGAGGCGGAGCTTGCAGTGAGCCAAGAAGGCGCCACTGCACTCCAGCCTGGATGACAGAGAGAGACTCCGTCTCAAAAAAAAAAAAATCTTTTAAATATATTATTTTGTTTGCCCTGATAGTTTCCTTTTCAGAGCAAACAAAATACAACTGTGAAATGAACTTCTGGTTTTGGTAACTAAAGTGCTCTGGGGTAAAAATGTTTAACTTCACTAGTAATCATGAATGAAAAATAAAACCTAAGCGTTGAGAGAAAGATTTAATAAGATATGATACAGTCTCAGCAAAGGTACAGTGACAGACATTCTCATCCACTGCGGACAGGAATGTCGCTAGGCACGACCTTTCTAGAAGGTAACCAAGCAGTAGTATCAAGAGTCTTACAATATTCATACTGCTGACCCTTAGAATGCAATCCTTGCATACTGCAATCCTTAGAATGTATCTTACAGAAATAAGAAATGAATGCAAAGATGTTGGCACCAGAATGTTCATTGCAATAACTTCTATTAAAAAGATAGAAACAACTTTAAAGTTCAACATATGGTACAAAATGGAATATTATCAAGTCATAATAGTAAGGGACACTGGAATATACTTCTAACGTAATATTAAGTCAAATGGGCAAGATACAAAAATCTATGTAAATTATGACTATTTTGCAAAGGATATAAGAGTATATGTATATAAATATATGTATAAATGATACTGAATGGAAATAGACCAAATTGTTAACAGTCATAGTCTTAGGAAAGTAACATTAAAGATGATTTGTATTTTCTTCTTTGCATTTCTCTATATTCTCCATCTTTATGAGCTAATATGTATCACTATTATAATCACAAAAATAATACATGCTATTTTAAATGGAGTGCTATGGCCATCCTTTGGAAGTTTGGGAGTGTGGTGACAGAATTATAGTTCAATGTCAAAGTCAAAGGGGTCATAAATCAATGGTTGAAGGCACAGGAAAAAGGGCAAGGAGGCAAAAGAAAACTCTTTAGTAACCCAGTAGACTGCACAAGCAAGACACTCAAGAGGCTGCAGAAGAAGCTATTACATTTAGAAATCACTTGATATTACCTGTTTCGTTTGAAGGGAGTAAGCTTAAAGTAACATCTGAAATAAAATAATAAAAATTAGCATAACTACTGGCATGGTTTACAAACATGTGTGTCTTCCTAGGTTCCTTAAACATTTCCCTTTTCCCCAAATCTGGGAGAAGTTAGTTTTGCAAAAGCCAACTGACACTACTAAATGTTTTTGCTACCCATCCTCTCACTACTCCATTCTCCAACCCCTGGAGACAATTCCGGAGCAAATGTTCATTGATTCAAATGCAAGTTACATGTCTAAACACTTAGCAACACTCCCGTAACCATTAGATTTGAATAAACTCATCTATGTTGTTTAATATTTTGTCCCTTTTTTCTCTATTATAATGAACGTCCCTAAGGGATATGACATTTCCAACATTAATACTGATTTTAATATATAGCCCTGTGGATGCATAATACATTTTTACCAGTGGTACACTCTTATAAAGCAATTTAAAATAATTCTAGCTTAAATTTGGAGTAAATGACCATTATATTCGACTAACTTTTAAGAAAATCTCATTTGGATCCTGTTTGATTTAAAATCCAATTTAAAATCGATTCTATTGGCATTTCTTTAAATCCAAATCATTCTAGAATTTATGATTCTGGATGAAATTTTAGGAAAAAACCAAAAGGCATTTATTACATCATACTTAAAACACACACACACACACACACACACACACACACACACAAAATGGGATCCAAAAACTGCACCAAAGCTAAATTGAAGATATTATTTTCACTGTGAGAAGTAACTGCACATAAAAATGATAACATCTGTCCCTTCCCATTGGGCCAAATATGAATTTAAACCAGTTTTGATCAGTATAAGCTGCATCTATGATTGTTTAGCTCCTTAGCCACCAACCATATGGTGAGATTTGATTTTAACCAAGGGCTTGTGAAAAGTGTTGGGGTTTCATCGCAATAAGATGGAAGGAAGGCTGTCTACCCATTCTGTTCACTTATTGGAGGGAACAGAATGTACTGCTCTGCCCCCTTCCCTTGAATAAAGCCCACTTCTTTGCCCTTTTCTCTAGCATGATAGGGAAGCCATTTTTTTCCCATTTCATACTATTTAAAAATTGATCAAATCATCTGTAAAAAGGCTGTCTTTGAACACACTGTGCCTCCAAATCCATGCTGAATCATATTGAATAACTGGATGTGCTTTTCACATTTAAACAATCTGTCATGTAAAACTTGTTGGCATTGTGTTGGACAGCAAGGGAATGGATAATTCAAAATGTGATCGATATTTCTTTTATTTTTAGCTAACAATTAGAGTGGTGGACTGCTCTCTTCCCTCCATGACTGTAAGAATGTTATCATTTAACCAGAAAGTTTAGGTCACTCTCCAGGGTTGGCAAGTTTTGTTTTGGGTTATTTGAAACTACTCGACGTATTCAGAAATAATTTAGAAATGGAAACCTTCAACACCATTCATTATACTTATATTCATATTAAGGGTTATCAATTTTCACTTGCTTCAGAAAAATTCTTACCATTGAGGCTTGTTGTTTCAACCTCTTTTTGTCCCGAGGAGAAAAACAATACAAAGATATAATTAAAACAAAACTTTAACAAATTGGACTAAATCTAGGTTTAAATTTTTTCAAAATCTTGCCTGGAGTACCATTGGAGGAGGGGGCAAAACTGACAACAGATAATTTAGCTGCAGGAGAAAAAAAAATTAAATCAATATTTTGAAACGATTATTTGTCAAATTTTAAAGAATTAAAACTTTTGAGATATAATTACGAAAAGAAGTAGAAAACACACTAGCAGACCAAGTTGTAGTTAAATCTGCATGTCCCATAAGCGCTCAGTGAGTATAAAATTTAATCAGAGAATTGTAGGAAAAGAACCCAAGATGAGTGAACCTGAGACCCGTGATTGCAAAGCTTGCTAACTACTTATGGAATATTATAGAAATAAGATTAGGAACCAGACCAAAATACAAGAAATACTACTTTAAAAATTTTTCAGCCAGAGCATTCTAGAAAACATTTTAAATAACTTGCCGAATTACAATCATGAAATATATTGGCACGCTGGTGCCATTCTGTTACAGTGATGCCTAGCAAATCTTCCCACAGTAAATTTAGGATTAAAAAAATTGCTACCACTCAATACTGTACTACCTAACCAGATTTCCTGGTAAGTTATTTTAAAATATGGCTGCTATTAAGGCAATTAATCAAGTGATAAATTTCCTGTGGAATGACTCCACTTAAGCTAAGAAGTCAATCTACTACACACATTTTGCATATTTAAATATTTAAAAGATTCAATGGCTTGACCTCTACCTAAACATGGGAAAAGCAAACACCAACATTTTATAACTAAAATAAGTTTTGCAGTATGGAGCCTGATTTTCAGCTGGTATGGACCAAAGTTGGGTGTGTCAAGGCACTTTGGCTGGCCTGCTTTAGACTGCTCTTGTGTTGGCTGAAACACACACACCCTGTCTGTCCACATTATTGTTTCCATATTTTGTCATTTACTACATTTATTTATTTCTTAAATTACCAAGGATATTTCTTGAGAAGTAAGACAGTTCCTGAGCAATAAGATTCAAAGTGTAGATATAGAATCCTTTTTGCTCTTGGGGCAGAACAAAATAATTGGCCACAACTAGTTTTTAAGGAATGACTATTAATTCTTCCGAATGTTGATGAATGGTGACACTGTGCAAAGAAGAGACCTCTGGGCATGGCTGCCCATCCATCCCTTGATGCTACACTGGCTCTTACCTTCCAGTTTGCACTGCTCTCCCCCAGGGCACCCAGAAGCCAGGCTGTGACTAGACCCAGTGTGTCCCCCCAGAGTCCCATTCCCTATTCTATGCAAACAAGGTTTTGCAGATATCACCATGATTCAGTTTGCTAAGGACTATTCTATTGGAAGAAAAATATAGTGGTTCATTGTGCCCTAGAAGCTTAACAACTAGGGGGCAAATTGGCGAGATCAAAAGAGCTTGGACTTTGGAGGCCTGCAGTCCTGGGTTTGAATCTTTGCCCCATTACTCAAAAACTCGTAAAAATAATAGTTACCACTTACCAAGGGTTTACACTGTGCCTGGCACATATGTTATCTCATTCCGTCTTCACAACTACCCGACAACAGCTACTATTATTCTCCCTAATTTACAGGAGAGGAAACTGAGGCATGGAAAGGTTAAAGGAACTAGCCCAAAACCACACAGCTAGGAATGAAGGCAGGAAGGTGGTGGCCAAATTACAACTCAAGTCATCTGGCTCCAGAGAATGTGTGAACACGAGCATGTTTTATCCTCCCCAAGCCCCAGTTTCCTCATCTATAACACGAATATTTCCTATGCTGCAAGACTGAGAGGAGAACGAGGAGATGTCTGAAGGCTTCCAGATACATAGTAGTGCATGAGAAGTATAGCTATTGTGATTAATTGGATTTAAATAATGAATCAATAACAGTAGAAGCTCATTTGCACACAACTACAGAAAGAATGTGAGTTGACTCACTCCCCATCATAAAAGATTGTTCTGGAATAGATGGTGTACCCAAAAGAATACAGAAGTAGGAGTCAGAGAAGCCATGTGCTGCCTCTGTGTGATGTGGAGCAAGGAGCTGTGTGATCTTAGAGAAGTTCCTCAGCCACTCCAGGCTTCATTATCTCATCAACTAATGGACAGGGCTGGGTCACTTTATCCCTAAGGTCCCATTCCAGCTAGCAGTCTCGAATTCAGGTTCTGTTCCAGGCACTTGCCAATCTGGGTTCTAATGTATTTGCCTTCCCATTCTGGTGAGTGCTGGGCCCTTAGAATCCTAGTGAAAAATATCCTTTCAGTGGAGGTACTGAGGGTGTATATTTAAGTGAACATCTCATCTCATCTCCTCCCTTAAATGTAAAAACATCTGGCATGTTTATGTTCCTGATACTCTTCAAGAGACTTGTGAACTAGAATACTAAAAATAACTGCTGAACTTAAGTAATTACTGTAATGAAAACTAACAATTTAGTCCCCTGTGATTTGTTGCCTGGCTTTGTCCCGCAATATGGACGGATCAATATGACTGTCCTCTGGTCTATGCTTGCATTGATTTTTCAGGTGTAGGCTTAATGACCTAATTAAGCTTCTTGGAGGAAAACAATTTTGTTGTACCTGACTACATGCCATGTTTCATAGAGAACTTACAGAATAATATTTTCCTGAAATTCCCCAGAGTTCTAAAAAAACAACTTACCAGGTGGTGGTGACAAACTGGAATTATCAGTATCTTCTGTTGAGGAAAAGAGGTGATTCAGAATTAGTTTCATGAGGACTAAAATCAATAAAATTGTACTATATTAAGGATTTTTTGTCAAATAAGTAGGTTTCAGCTACTCATGTCACTAAAAAAAAGTATGTGAATGTTTATCAGCCTCACTACTGTAACAATTTCACTATCCATATGTACTCCATCCCATCATGTTATAAACCTCAAATGTGCACAATAAAATTTATTTTAAAAAATAAGATAAAATTAGTTTAATTTATGCACACATTTGTAGGAGATTAACATCTTTAATGGAAGTGAACGTAAGCTGAATTACAAATAGCTACCAAAAGAGGGCAGTATGTTAATTTACTATTATTTTCAACAGCCTAATCAATACTTTTTAACGTGTATGTTTGCATAAATTAAACTTCCATTAACTGTGCTGCTTTTGAGCACAGACGTTATATCTATTAAGCCATTTCTTTCTTATGAGTTAAGCTAGATCAGACACCTCTGGGTTTATAAACTACAAGAGCTGCTGAGTTATTTATTTGGGGAAAATGCTCAGATCTCTTAAAAGAAAAGTAATTCTATATTTCTATCTATGAAAATAATACATACATATTGGAGAAACGAGAAATTACAGATAAGCAAGAAGAAGAAAATAAAAACCATCTATAATTTCACCACTCAGAGAAAAATGACATTAACATGTTAGTATATATTATTTCTCTATGTGTGTATATATATTTACATATATAGATATATGCATGTGTTTATATGTGTATATATTTACATATATACAGATACATGCATATATGTTTATATGTATATATATGTATGTATAAGGATTATATCACACAAAAATATTTATAACTTGATTTTTCTCATGACAATATATCATGAACGTCATTCTATATCATCAAACAATTTTCCACAACACCATCTATGATGGCTGAATAGCACTTCAATTGTTGTATGTACTATTTATCTATATAACAAATTTCCTCTTAATGGGCATTTTGGTGTGTATGATTTTTCATGATTACAAACAATGCTGCAATAAATCCTTTGGGCTAAATTTTTACATACATATGTGGCTATTTCTTTCAGAAATTCCATAAATGTTGTTTGCAAAATGCCCTAGAGAAAACTTGGACCAATTTATACTACCCTTTAGAAGTGTTACATCCCCAAATACTGACCCACATGGGGTGTTATCTTATACATTAAAAAAATTAATTACAAAGGGATATTTTTACAATGTTATCTTGAGATACAATTAATAGGAAAGAATAAGTATGTTTGCAAACTAACATTGCACAGTGAAACATACCTGGTAGCCTCCAGGAGCCTATTTTCTTGAAATGATGGTAGGGTACTGATTGTTTTCTGGGATAATTAAAATCATAGTTCGGCTCGAAAGCAGGACTGAATGAGTGCCCAAGTTCCCCAATAACCCTGCAGCCAACAAGGCAAATGTAGGCAAGTGGCTAGGTGCTTTGGTGCCCTAATTTAATTGCAGTTACTTCTTCCTTAGTCTCTGTTCTTCTGTATCTCTCATGCTACTTTAATATTCCACTAATCTGTTGAGTTAGCTTTTAAAGGGTTAATTTTGTTTTTGAGACAGGGTCTCACTCTGTTGCCCAGGCTGGAGTGCAGTGGTGCGGTTGTGGCTCACTGCAGCCTCAGACATCCCAGGCTCAAGTGATCCTCCCACCTCAGCCTCTTGAATAGCTGGGACCATAGGTACGCACCACCACACCTGGCTAATTTTTTTATTTTATTTTTTGTGGAGATGGGGGTCTCACTATGTTGCCAGGGCTGGTCTTGAACTCCTGAGGCTCAAGCACTCACCTCGGCCTCCCAAAGTGCTGGGATTACAGGTGTGAGCCACCATGCCCAGCCTGAAAGGGTTAATTGAAAAAATACCTTTGGGAACACTGAAGGGGTCATCAGTCATTCACATCTTAGTATGAGTTCATTTGAATTGGGTGAATTCATCTGATCATCTAGCAAAGAGCTACCACACTGGGCAACGTGGGAAAGCCCTGGGTAAAATCAACATTCAATATGGACTACCCTCAGAATGACACCTGTCAGTGTGGGCAGGTAAAGTGAAGAAGGGCAGGCACCTGGCAAAGGCGGGGAGCAGGATGAAGGCACCTGGGAAGAGTTAGGTACCAGAGAAGAGGGATGGAGAGTGACGTCGAGGGGCAACAGAGGCTAACATTGCTTCACTGACAATTTTGCCCGGTGGATGGCCATAGTTCCAACCTTCTCCACTGCCAAATCTGTTGACCACAGCTGTGTACACACAGGGGGCTGATTTGAGTTTCACCTCTTTCTTACTTATTAGAAAAAAATGGACAAGTCAAGGGTAAGAGAAGAGCCAGAGCAGAGAAGGAAGTTTTCTGGGAAACTCACAAAACTGGTCCTCCATCCCTGAGTTTGATAGGCGTGGGCTTATAATCAAGAGCTGAAACTTGATCAAAATGTAGATAAGGCTGGGCGCAGTGGCTCACATCTATAATCCCAGCATTTTAGGAGGCCGAGGTGGGAGGATCACTTGAGGCCAGGAGTTCGAGACCAGCCTGGCCAACATGGCGAAACCCCGTCTCTACTAAAAATATAAAAATTAGCCAGGCGTGGTGGTGCACATCTGCAATCCCAGCTACTTGGGAGGCGGAGGCATGAGAACTGCTTGAACCCAGGAGGCGGAGGTTGCAGTGAGCTGAGATCACACCACTGCACTCCAGCCTGGGCGACGGAGCCAAACTCTGTTTCAAAAAAAAAAAGTAGATGAGGGGTTGGACCAGCCCAGGGCTGGTCTCTTTCATCATGAAATGTACAGGGCTCTCAGTAACTCCTGACAGGAAAGACAGCGGTCTACTTTGATGAAGGGAGGGAATCTAGTAAATTAAAGCTAGAGATTTTTAAATGATTCTTCTCTGCTTTTTTCTTTTGGCATTTCTTTTTCCTTTAGGAACCCAGCTGCTCAGTCACTAACATTTATTCACTTTTTCTGTCTCTCATTATGATGCTCCACCTCACTCCTGGTCCAACCTAGAGGTATCCCCACAGGACTTACACTTTTCTGAGGATCAGCTTATGTTTCTCTTGGGCCCTCTCCTAACTCACTTCCCATTTGTTACAACTTAAAGAGGTGGTCGTCATATCCAGTGAGTCATATATTTGAGCTCCATGCCACTCTTAGGAGACAAAACATTTCCATTGTTAAAAAGATTCATAAACAAAGAAAGGAAAAACATTTAAAATTTTCAGATTTTCCTTTGGAACCTACAAAGAGCCAATTTTCAAGCATTATTCATTTATGGAAGTCTCAATTTAAGTCAATAAATAAAATTATGGTGCCGTGTCTATAAAATTTACTCAGTATGACTCCCTAGTGATTTTTTTAAAACAAAGTCCATATATTCCAATTAGGATGAGCAGGAGTTTGGCTTAGAATAGAAGCCAAATGGAGCCAGACGAACTGGAAACTCAAGAAACTGGCCCCATCAATGGAGTCTCTTTCCCTACATCCCCTCCCAGGCATTTTTTTTTTTTCAGTTATTGCCACTACCTTCTAAACTCTAATCCCACATGGCCAAGTGTGGTTCGAGCACTGCCATGTGAATGTCTTGCTGTCATTGCTTCTCCAACTCAGTATATCCAAGAACTCATCCCTCATCACCCCACATCATTTCCACCCTTGATCAGTTCCTGAACTCAAAAGTATTGCCAGTAACACCCGCCAAACATTTAAGTTGAAAACTTCAGTACTGGTTTGCTGTTGCTGCTGTACCATTAACTTACTGGCTTCAAACACAAAATTGTTATCTTAGAGTTCTGCATGTCAGACGTCCAGTAGGAGTCTCACCAGATTAAAATCAATGCTGATGATGCTAGGCCACATTCTTTTCTGGAAACTCTAGGGGAGAATCCATTTCCTGCTTATTCAGGATAAGCAGAATTCAGATCCTTGTGGTTGTAGGACCAAGGTCCTCATTTTCTTGCTAGCAATACATTGAGGGCCATTCCTTCAATTCCCAGAGTCTAGAAGCCCCCCACATTTCTTGGCTCATGCCCCATTCCTCTATCTTCAAAGTCAGCCATGATGGGACAGGGCCAGGTCTTTCTCAGGTGGCATCACTCTGACTCCTCTTCACTTTTAAGAGCTATTAGGCCCACCCAAGTAGTCCACGATAATCTCATGGTCTTTCATTTTAATCACACCTGCAAAGTTCCCTTTGCTATGTAAGGTAACATATTTACAGGTTCCAGGGATTTTAGGATGTGGACATTTTTGGGGAGCCATCAGTCTTTCCACCATACTCAGAAACCCAGTTTCCTAAATTATGGAGAATGAGTTGCAAGGAACCGCCCTTCAAGAGAGAAAATCCTACAGGGGTCAAGTGAAGAGCCCAGAAACAAAGAGTTACTTTTAACAATAGAGTCGAGTCTACAAACCAAGATGCTAACTCTCTGGCCATTGCTCCTGACTCCTCCCCATCCCCAACTCCCACCTCCATATCCAGTCATTGCATCCTGGGCAGTCTTCTCATTGTAGCATGGGGCTGTTGCAAGGATTCTCAAAGAGAGAATGTACATGGCATAACAGGAATAGCAAAAACTGATCCACGCTTCCTGTGATCCAGGCTTACCACATGAAGGACTTCAAACATACTTTATTATTTAATCAGCCAACAACTTTGCAAATGTGATGAACACTGAGGATCCTGAGATGGATCGATTATCCTGGATTACCTGGGTGGGCCCAATCTAGTCCATGAGTTCTTAAAAGTGGAAGAGGCAGGCAGAAGAGTGGGTCAGAGTTATGCCATGAGAAGGACTCCTCGACCCTGAAGAGGTAGGTGATATCATTAACATCATTCCTTGTTAGTGCTTGAGAAACAGGATGGGTGAGGTTTAGAAACTTGTTCAAGGCCTCACAGATCATTGCTTGTAGACCTGAGATTTGAACGAAGGCAGTTTGACTTCTGAGCCTAACCTCTGAGGCTCTACTCTATCCCAGTTCCAATGACAAACTCTGTAGACCATAATCGAATACAGAAATGGGGGGTGTTGTTATTATTATTATTATTATTATTATTATTTTGAGACAGAGTCTCGCTCTGTCGCCCAGGCTGGAGTGCAGTGGCGCAATCTCGGCTCACTGCAAGCTCCTCCTCCCGGGTTCAAGTGATTCTCCTGCCTCAGCCTCCCGAGTAGCTGGGATTACAGGAACCTGCCACCACGCCTGGCTAATTTTGGTATTTTTAGTAGAGACGGGGTTTCACCATGTTGGCCAGGCTGGTCTGGAACTCCTGACCTCAAGTGATCCGCCTGCCTTGGCCTCCCAAAGTGCTGCAATTACAGGTGTGAGCCACCGCGCCTGGCCATAGGGTTTTATTATTAATCTTCTTTAATCTCTCTCTCATCTGTCCCTTCTCCCCATGCTCACTGCCCCCTTCCATACCCAGGCCGTCACTGCCTCATACCCGGGTGTAAAATTAGAACCTTAGAACCTTCTAATTGGAAGGAATCCTAACATTCTCTGCATCCCATTTCTTCCCCCATACAGTAATCCATCCACCAATTGTACACCCACAGTCTCAATTCAGCCTCCAAACAAGTTTTATCTTGTCTACATAGTGGGAATCATGCTGGAGTTTTTTGTTATTATTATTCTTTTAGTGACAGGGTCTTGCTCTGTTGCCCAGGCTGGAGTGCAGTGGCACAATCATAGCTCACTGCAGCCTCCCACTCATGGGCTCAAGGGATCCTCCCACATCAGCCTCCTGAGTAGCTGGGACTATAGGCACATACCACTACACCTGGATATTTTTAAAAAATTTTTTCAGAAATGGGGGTTTCAAGCTCCTGGGCTCAAGTGATCCTCCTGCCTTAGCCTCCTGAGTAGCTGGGACTACAGAGGTGTGGCACCATGCCCAGCTCCAAGTTACTGAAAATTTGAATTACTCACCAACATTTAAAAATCAGGAAATTTCAAATAAAATTCCAATTTTTCACCTTGTTTTACAAAATTGTAAGTTTTGGGAGATGACCCCTTTATGTCGGCTCCCTGGCCCTCTAAAGCATGCCCTGGTTACAAAAGCTGATGGAGCTGGCTCTCTCCTCTTTATATCTTCAAGTATTCATTGACTACGCCCTTCTTTCACTTGGCATTTGGAAAGATGTCATTTAACTTTTCCACTGTGTGCCTTGTTTACCCAACTAGACGCTAAGCTGCTTGATGCTTTATTTATTACCTTCCAGGAATCTAGTCCAGTGTCTTGTTTGTGGTTGATGTCCTAAAATATTTTTGCAATGACTAATGAAATCCTTAAGAAATCTCCGTCAGTCAGAGATCAGTTGGGAACCCATGACAGGTAGTTCAAGAGCAGGAATGTAACACAGGGAAATGTTGCAAAGATGAAGAACTGGAGCAATCCAGAGGTGAGCAACAGCAGGAAGATTCTGGAAGAGCAAAGGGGGGAGGTAATATTACCAGATACCGATGAACAGAGCCACAAGGCAGGAGTTCAGGCCACGGGATGTTGGAAGGGGTCTGTCCAGTGAGACTGGAATCATGGAAGAGGCACAGCCCCCATTAGAGATGCCAGCCAAACCGAGAGAGGGGGAGAAATACCCTGACTTCCCCTTTCCTCTTGCACTCCAATCTCCTGTCACTGACACCCACTGGCCGAACCTAGCTGGAAGCCAGTTGGCAAGGAGACATGAAAGATATTGCAAGGGGTCAGGTCCCTGTGATACAGAGTAAGGGAAGGATGGGGAATGGATCTGAAAGTAACAAGGCAAAATGACTAATGCAGAGTCAACAGAGCAAAGACTCAAGAATACTTCTTGGATGACTATGACTCAGATTTCAAAGTTTGGAGGAGTAGTTATAGCTGCCGATCACAGCAGATAGATGCCTTAACAGGTCTTACAAATGTATGCTAAAATGTCCACCCAAATACATATCAAAAACAGCATTAAAAAGTCAGCCATTGTGAGCCCCCATTGCCTACAGTGGTGACCTCAATAACATACCTGTTAATGACTTTTCCTCTTTTCTTAATGCCTTCTCCCTTCTCTCTTTTCCTAATGCCTGCTCCTTCACTCCTGATTCCTGGGATCACCTCCCAAATAAACTACCTGCACCAAAGTTATGCAAGATCATGTCTGGGTGTTTCTGAAGTGTTCATTTTTCTCCCTGCTATTTGACACCGTGGTAGATATTAAGACTTCAAATGTGAGATGGTTGTCTTACACCTATGATTGTGGTACTACTATGAGTATTTACTTCCACCACATTCTTCCCCAAGTTGGATGGGAAAGAAAAAGGCTTAATCTTTTGGGAGTGGATCTAAAAAGATTACAACTAGCTCTCCTTGCATGAATATTTTCAACCCAACTGAAACTTGTAATCTGGTGGCAGTCCTCCTCTGGATTGAATTACTGTTCCATAGAGAGATAATTAAAAACAAGCCACCACGCCTAGGCACTCTTATATGGGAACCCCAAACAGAACAATATTTTTGTTGTTATTACACTGGCTCTTAAGGGCTTGGGATAACAGACACTCTTCCAGGAACGGCATTTTCCGAGTTTACTACATAACCCCCAAAACTGAATGAAAACATTTCTAATTTGGCATATCCAAAACATGTTTACTCGCGCTGGGACACTGCTCAATAAGTACTCTTACATAATGTATTTATTAAATGATTAATAATGACATCATTAAAAAAAACTTCGGCTCTTAGCTGATGGAACTTCCCAAAGTGCAAGCAATCCGCAGTTCTAGGTGGGCTTTGGCCAGAACGGGAAGAAGGTGAAATGTGTTCTTGAGCCCCCAGCCCCCAATTCTTGCTTTTCTCCTGCCTTCGCACAGTATCGCCCACCCATCCCCCTGGCTCTTGATCCCTCCAGAACTCATCCTGGTTCTCTCAGGGCTTTATGAACTGTCCCTTCCCCAAGGGTCCACGAGATGCATTTTGGAGCGTCCATAAATGCCCCGAAATAAAATGCAAATGTGTGTTCATATGCATTTTTTCCTGGGAAGATTAGAGCCCCCAAAGGGGGTCTATCTTTAATTAACAAGCACTTATACAGCATTACTATATGACCGGGCACTGCGTAAATATTAGCTCATTTAGCCCTCATAACAACCCTATGAGGTACGTTATCCCCATTTCACAGATAGGGAAATGGAGGAAAAGAGCAGTCAAGTAACTTGCCCAAGATTACATGTAAAAGGGCAGACTAGGATGTGAGGCAGGCTCTCCAGCTTCACTACACCAGGCCGCTTCTCATCTTGGGCTGTGGGCTGAAGAGAAGGAAGGGCCACTGACCTACTGGGTGTCCACCGTGCTCCACCAGGAGGGATGTGTACTTTAGGAAGAATGAGAGCCTTGAAATTAACTTTCTGACCAGTAGAGGATACTGGGGGATCATTCCCCGCCCTTCCCAGTGCCTCTGAAACTAGACACATGGCTAGCAATCTACGCTGCTGGTCCTGGCCCGTGCTGATAATGGAGCGTCATGGCTGTGCTTTTCATTTAGAATGCTAGCCATGATTTCTGTTCACTTCCGAAGTGATTGGTGTAACTTCCGAAGGCTGGTAGCTTCTAGAGCTATTTCAGTCTGACGACATGTAAATGCTGCTTAGCGCTTTGGGAGTGGGGAAAGCGGGAGGCCGACTCACCTTTATTGGACACTGATGACACTGGCCTTATACCTGTGCTCCTCACTCAATGGAATCGCCCCAACATTTCCATGAAACAGACAGCTCTCTACCCCAACCTTATCTTCTCCTGCCCTCCCCTCACTCAGCCATCCTGGCCTCCCTGCCGTTTCTCCAACACACCAAGCATATTCCCACCTCAGGGCCTTTGCCTTTGCTGTTCCACCTGCCTGGAACACTTTTCCCCCAGAAGGCCCCTTGGTTTGCTACAGAGCCTCCTACACATTTTACTGAAATGTCACCTTCTCCGAGAGGCTGTTCCAGACCAGTCTATTTCAAACTGCAACACTTTCTGCCTCTGCCTGATCCTTTTCATCTCTTTATGCACAGGCTCGTTGCCATCTGGCGAGTTAATATGTTTATCCATATGCGGACATCCACAGCCCTGGGAGTGGCTGTCTCCTTAATATTTTCTTCCCTGGGCCCCTGACTTGCCTCATCCTAGTCCTGGCCCTGTGTCATATATAAGCGTTTTTTGTGTTTTTTTTTTTTTTTTTTTGTTGTTGTTGTTTTGCTACCAAGAACCAATTTTCCACCCCAATGGGGATGATAGCGCCTCCACTGAGAATGCATGACCTAGGCAAGCTTCTCCAACCCGCAGCCCACAGGCCACATGTGGCCCAATACAAATTCATAAACTTTCTTGAAACACTATGAGATTTTTTTGTGATTTTTTTTTTTTTAGCTCATCAGCTATCATGTTAGTGTATTTTACGTGTGGCCCAAGACAATTCTTCTTATTCTAATGTGGCCCGGGGAAGCCAAAAGATTGGACACCCCTGCTGTAGGGTTATCTCTGCTTCCTCCAGAAAAGATAGAGTGTGAAGAAAGAACCCTCTCCTCCCCAACTCCACTAGTGTCTAGAGTGATTCTGCTGCTAGCCAGCTGACACTTTCCTTCTCATCAAAGCATCTGTCATGTATGGGTTAGCAAGAGTCGCTTGTGGGAGTTTTAAGTGCAGAAGTGCCTGGAAAGGTGGCAGGGGTGCGTGCACCAGTGGTTTGGCTGTGGCGAGCAGTTTTTCCAATTTCCCTTAGTTCACACCACTCTTTGCCAGTTCACAATTGAGCAGTGATCACTTGGCATCTTAGTTTAGGTTCTCTGGGTCGCAGGGCCTAAGATCAAGACTGGAGTGCAAGTACTTTCTTTGGGAGGTAATCCCAGGAGGCAGGGAGAAAGAGACAGGGAAGGATGGAAGCCAAGTTTGGGGTGTTTGTTGTGGACAGTGGGAGCTCAAGTCCAAAGAGACCTCTGAGAAGCATAGAGAATGCCTTCTAGAATTGTCTCTAGGAAGGGCTGGAGACTGGGGCATTTATCCAAGTCTCCCTCCCCAACAGTTGACATTTGCTCCTGGGCCATTACTTCCTCTGCACTCCTGGGCTCTTCCTGTGACAGCTGAGCAGGCTGCCAGGGCTCGGGGGAAACCCCAGAGGCAGACAGAAGTCTGCGAGCATAGAACTGTCCACCTCTTCTGTGGCTGGTCTCATAGATGGCTCAAAAGGATGTCACAGGGGCACGAAAAGCAATGGCTACACTTGGGTTCCTTTGATTGACTCCTGTACACACTTAGATGGACACAATGGCGGAGCTCACCGATTCTCAACCCTGGCTGCACATTAATATCACCCCCAGGGAAATTACTGATGTAGTCAGTCGTGGTGGCTAGCACCTCAAATCCCAGCTACTCAGGAGGCTTAGGTAGGAGGATCACTTGAGGCCAGGAGTTTGAGACCAGCCTGGGCAACGCAGCAAGAACCCATCTCTAAAAAAATTTTTTTTAAATTAAATGACTGATGTCCAGATCCCACCCCTGATCATTTCAACCTGGGCATCTGCATTTTTGACAGCTCCTCTAGCAATTCCGATGTGAAAAGAAGATGGATGGAGAAGCACTGATTCAGCCATGGCTGACATGTCGGAGTTGGAATGGACAGTGCCCGGACCTCACAGTCTCAGAGAACTGGAGAAGAGTAAAGCTGAAGAGGGCATCATCTGGTTACAAATGACAAGTCCAGGGCTCCAGGTGAGTGCTTTGTGTAAGAGGAGACTGCTGCGTGGTGATACGATTAAAACTCATGTCCCCCACCTCCTGGTTCCATGTCGCACATGGTGCCCATGACACTCTTTTTGTTTTGAGACAGAGTCTCGCTCTTTCGCCCAGGCCGGACTGCAGTGGCGCGATCTCGGCTCACTGCAAGCTCCGCCTTCCTGGTTCACACCATTCTCCTGCCTCGGCCTCCTGAATAGCTGGGACTACAGGCACCCACCACCACGCCCGGCTAATTTTTTGTATTTTTAGTAGAGACAGGGTTTCACCGTGTTAGCCAGGATGGTCTCGATCTCCTGACCTCGTGATCAGCCCGCCTCGGCCTTCCAAAGTGCTGGGATTATAGGTGTGAGCCACCGCGCCCGGCCCCATGACACTCTGTAAACCTCAGAAATCACTTCCCTATGGGTTCCAAGTCCAAAGCCTTAAGGTAGAAGCTGAAAACTCCTGGTGGCAGACTGCATTTTCCATGAATGGCCACAGCAATATTTCTCATCTCACAAGTTCTTCCAGAACTTTGCCACTCTTCTGTCAAGAGGTAGAACCTATGTCCCTTTCTCTTGATCCTGGGTGGGCTTTGACTAAGAGAATATGGTGCAAGTAACACTATGGGCTTCAGAGGATAGGTGACAAAAGGCAACAGAGCTTCTGCCTGCTTGCTCTCACTCTCTCTCTTTCTCCCTCTCTCTTATCCTTAGAACTCAGGCCATGTAGAGAGGCCACATGGGAACTGAGGTTCCTAGTCCTCAGCTTCCACTGAGCTCCCAGCCAACAGCCAGCAATAACTTGCCAGATGTGTGCACAGGCCATCCTGGAAGCAGAGGATCCAGCCCTCAGCCAAGATGCCCCAGTTGATTCCATGTGAACTAGGAATGAGCCCTCCTGCTGAGCTCTGCCCAAATTACAGATCTGTGAGCAAACTAAATGACAGTTGTATTAAGCTACACAGAAATAGATAACTGGAATACCACCCATGTCTTTCTTTCCAAACTTAGTTAACTGAGTCTGAGCTAAAGAGAATTCACACTGTATATCTTATATTGAATACCCACTATATCTGGGGCATGATTGCTAATAATCCTCACAATAGCCCTACAATAGGAAACGATCATCCTCATTTCACAGATGGAGAGTTTAATGGTAAGCCTGAACTCAGACTCAGACTTGTTTGACTTGAGAGCCCATACCTCTTTCACTAAGCCATACCATCTCCATTCACTCTATGCTGTCTGGCCACCTGAGAGGCTGTCTGTAAGTCTATCTCCTTATTAACCCATCATTCCTGCTACTTCCATGATAATCGGCAAGGCTGAATGATAGCTCTCAGTTCTATGGGGTCTTTCCAGGAGAAGGGCCAAAGAGGAGTGGTTGATCACAAAGTCATCGGCACAAAAAGATGGTGGCCAAGCTACAGTCCTGCATGGCACATGAGCCAGATGATCAAGTAATGAAAGCTATGCTAAGAAATGTGGGCTTTATCTTGTGGAGAAGGAGATGCAGTAGAGGCTTTTTAAGGTACATTTCAGAACAATTATTATTTTTATATTTATTATATATTATTTATATATATAAAACCACAAATTATATGCTACATATATACATATGTTTTTATGTCTATATATAAACACATATATACGTTTATATATATATACATATGTATATACAACACATAAAATTTACCATCTTAACCTTTTTTTTTTCCAAGATGGAGTCTCATTCTGTTGCCCTGGCTGGAGTGCAGTGACACGATCTCGGCTCACTGCAACCTACACCTCCCAGGTTCAAACAATTCTCATGCCTCAGCCTCCCTAGTAGCTGGGATTACAGGCGCCCACCACCATGCTCAGCTCAGCTAATTTTTGTATTTTTAGTAGAGACAGGGTTTCACCATATTGGCCAGGCTAGTTTCGAACTCCTGACCTCAGGTGATCCGCTTGCCTCGGCCTCCCAAAGTGCTGGGATTACAGGCATGAGCCACTGCACCCGGCCTCATCTTAACCATTTTTAAGTGTACAGTTTGGTTGCATTAAGTATGTCCACATGTTTATGCAACCATCACCACCTTCTCTTTTTAGAACTTCTGCATCTTCCCAAACCAAAACCCCATACCTATTAAACAATAACTCCCCATTCTCCCTTCCCCCTTGCCCCTGTTCCTGACACAGAACAATATTTTTTGTATAACTATGAAATAAATGAAGGAAATCTGAAGTGGGAAGGCCAGAGAGTAAGCTACAGGGGTACATTGGGCAAGACACGATGAGGACTTGAACCCATGCTTGGGAAGCTGGCATGAAAAGAGAGGTTCAACAGATCCTACTAAGGTAAAAGTGAGAGGATTTTGCGGGGCGGAGGGGGGGTCACTGGGATGTGGGAGTGAGGAAGAAACAGGAATCGGCCTGCCAGCAGTTAATCTATCGAACTCCCATAGTCCACGTGACCCTGTCCTGCACCCCTAAAGAAGGCAGTGTGGCAGGTAGGTTAAGAGCCTAGACTCCAAAGACCAGGACGGCCTAGGTCCAAATCCTGGCTCTGCCATTTGCTAACTATGTAACTTTGACCACTTACTTAACCCATCTGCACTTCAGTTTCCCAGGTGAAAAACAGGCACGAAGATAAGTGTAACAGGACATACTTCATAGGTACTACTGTTAAAGTATTGAGAAGAATACACAGTAAATACTGCTCAAGTCAGTAGTTAATACAATGACTGTATTAGTCCGTTTTCACGCTCTGATAAAGACATACCCAAGACTGGGTAATTTATAAAGGAAAGAGGTTTAATTTACTCACATTTCCACATGGCTGGGGAGGCCTCACAATCATGGTGGAAGAGGAAGGAAGAGCAAAGGGATGTCTTATATGGCAGCGGGCAAAAGAGAGAGCCAAGTGAAAGGGGGAAATCTCTTATAAAAACATCAGATCTCATGAAACTTATTTGCTACCACAAGAACAGTATGGGGGAAACCGCTCCCGTTATTCAATTATCTCCCACCGGGTCCCTCCTACAACATGTAAGAATTATGGGAGCTGCAATTCAAGATGAGATTTGGGTGGGAATACAGCCAAACCATATCAAGGATGCGCTCTCTATTCTTCACTTTCCCAGTGACTTATCTAAAAATGATTTCTCCCTTCTACGTGCAAGACTTCCACTCCAGTTTCTTTTCTCCTTATATTATTTGCTTCCAGTTTCTAAAATATCCTTGGGATCACTTTGAGAACATGGGAGGAGAGAAGCAGAGGGCTTCAGGAAATCTGATGACCATAACTTACGTTTTATAAGTTCTTGTACAAAGTCAAGAACAGGTGAAATTTCCAGGAAGAATGTAGAAGACACAGTTAATCATGATGTTATTGGGTTGCCCTTAAGTGGGATGCATGGTCTCCCTAGGGGTCACAGGCTGGCTTCTAAAAAGTAACTAATTTTTTTCTGATTACAATCATAATGTGGGTTTATGTGGGAAGAATTCTAAGCCACAGAAAAATATAAGGAAAAACTTGAAAAGTACTCCTAATCTTACCACTCAAAGATAACGTTAGCTGGCTGCAAGGATCTTCAGAATTCTCTAGGCCAGTTGCAGAACTGAAACAACAAAACAGAGCCTTGGGAGATGTTAGCTTCATGTTTTATTTAGAAGTATTAGCAGATAGAAAATTGAGCTCATTAGCATGCTAGCATGTGTGGTGGCTCCATAATGCATCATCTTCGTTAGACCAACTACATTTCCCAAAATTCCCTTTCTTGCATGTTTCTAATTAACGTGGGACAGAAGAGAGTTTCCTGTGGGAGATCTGGGCAGATGTGGGCAGCAGCCATGTTGTAGCTCACATAGGTTGGCAATGATCAGTTGCCTCATCTTATTAGGACCAGGGAGGTGCGGGGCCTGTAACTGCTCCACCTTCTCCTGGGTTTTCCTTTTCAGCTTCTTCGGCTCCTTGGCCATGTGTGTACTTTATGATGAAGCGCCCAGCTTCTGCAGGATATCCATACTGCCAAGGTCAAAAGCAACAATAAGCGACGTGGGGCTCAGTCTGTTCTCGTGGGCTACAATGCATGCTTCTGGTTTCCAGGTTGTTCTTGCTCTCCCTTATTTTACATTTATCCTTCCTTCCCAACTGCCTGTCCGATAGATGTCGAGTCCCAACATCAGATGTGAAGATGAGAGCTTTATAGAGACTGCTTAACCAGCTCCCACAGTTGTATTAGGACAAATCCCTGTAGCAAATCCCTTTGTGTGTGTGTGTGTGTGTGTGTGTGTGTGTATGTGTGTGTGTGTGCGCGCGCACGCGCGTGCACGCACCTTAGTGGTTCTCCTGTGATTGAATCCTGACTTACACAGTTTGAGATAGAAACCTTCTGAAGCAATTAGATTAAATGGTCTATAACTGTGCTGTCCAACATGGTAGCCATTAGCTACATGTGGCTATTTAAATTTAAATTAATTAAAGTTAAACATAATTAGAATTTAGTACCCCAGTCAAGTTTCAAGTGCTCAATACTGTGGTCACATGTGGCTGGTGGCCACTGTTTTGGGCAGCACAGATATAGAGCACTTCCGTTATTGCAAAAAAATGTTCTATGAGCACTGGTCTATAGTGATAATTACTAGTATTTACTGAGTTCTCACCATGTGTCAGATGCAGATTCCAAGTTTGCTCTGGAGAGCACGATGCGGCAGGCAAACGGGGAAAGAGAGAGAGTGATGGGAATCAGGTGGGAGATTTTTTTTTTTTTTTTTGAGATGGAGTCTCTCTCACTCTGTCACCCAGGCTGGAGTGCAGTGGCACAATATCGGATCACTGCAACCTCCGCCTCCCAGGTTCAAGTGATTCTCCTGCCTCAGTCTCCCAAGTAGCCAGGATTACAGACTTGTACCACCACGCCTGGCTAAGTTTTGTATTTTTAGTAGAGACAGGGTTTCACCATGTTGGCCAGGCTGGTCTCGAACCCCTGACCTCAGGTGATCCACCCTCCTTGACCTTCCAAAGTGCTGAGATTACAGGTGTGAGCCATTGCACCTGGCCAGGTGGGAGATTTTTAATGACCAGGCCTGGAGGTGGCACACATCACTTATACCCACATCCATTGGCCAGCACTCAGTTACACGGCCACTTCTAACTACAAGGGAGGTTGGGAAATGTAGCCTAGCTGTGTGCTGAGGAAGAAAAAGTAAAAGCTTTGGTGCCAGCCAGTCTCTGCCACATCAGATTTAATTTGAGCGCTGTGAAGTAATTAATGCCCATTAAACTAAGGGTGGGACAAGATTAATGCTAAAATCACTCTCCCCAGCCACCATTTTCTCTCTTGTTCTTTGTCATGATATTGACAAGGTCAAAAGTCAGGCAGTCAGCATGAACCCGAGGAGGAGAAGTCCTTGCCACTTTGAGGCTGAATATGAACAGCCCCTTCTTTATGACTCACCCTATCAGCTTTGCTCCTAGCGAATGTTCATATCGTGGTTCTCCGGGACCCTTGAAAGTGGGACTCCTATGTGAGGAACTAGTTCTATAAACAACTACATGCTAGTAAAAAACCATTAAGAGGGTTGGAATTAGGCATAGTCCTGCTGCATAGAAATCCTACTTAGTTGGAAAAATTGTATTTTTAAGTTGCCTCTGTTTTGAAGCCACGTTAACCCTTAACCTTCAGAAAATCCTTAGCCAGCCTTTATACATTGGTAGCTCCTGTTCTAATAATGTCTTCTCCTCCTATTTTCTTTGGCTTGTCATGAGCTTTGAAAGTTTGATCTGAGATCCCTCACTTTTAATAATCTGTAACTCTGATTTGGTAATCTCCTACATATGAATAAAATGTCTGTGTTCATTTATTTCTAATGAATAAATGAACATGCCTGCTGAGCCAAGCCTTAAATGTGATTAAGGAGACTGACTTGGGTTCAGATCCTGGCTCTGCCTTGAGTAAGTTTCTAACATTCCTCTGCTTGTATTTCCTTATCTGTAAAATGGGAGTGATTTCTTTGAATGAAATTATATTACATTTATCAAGCATTTTATCACAGTTTCAACAATAAGGTGTAATTATTATTAATTCAGACTATATGATTCTGTGCCCTTGGATAAAGTTTACCATTATATAATAAACTACTTTTCTCACTTAATGCAAACAATGTGGTATCAGTAATTTGTAGAGGGCATTTTAAAAAATCATGAAGATGGTTTCTTCCAGGATTTACATGCATGAGATTTCCATTCTGACTATAAAACATTCTTATTTATTCACTAACACTAGGTTAGTGAGAATGTCTGTTAGAACACTGTGCTCATCTAATTCAAGTTTCCATAGTTTAGGATCATCATAGGAAGGCACCTCCTACAAAGATCATGGGGTTCCATCCCTTCGTATTACACATCAGGAAACTGAAGTTCATAGAAATCCACTTCAGAGGTAAAGGAGACTTGAAGATGACCTAGTGCAATACTGTACGTTTTGCAAAGGTAGTCATTTAGACGGTACTTTCATCATTTCAAAAATCGCTTATTTATCCACAATAGGCTGCACACACAAAAATTAGAGTGTGAGGCTGAGGCTGGGTGCGATGACTCACGCCTGTAATCCCAGTGCTTTGGGAGGCCGAGGCAGGTGCCCAGGAGTTTGAGCCCAGGGGTTTGAGACCAGCCTGGGCAACATGAAGAGACTTCATCGCTACTAAACATGTTAAAATTAGCTGGGAGTGGTGGTGCATGCCTATAGTCCAAGCTACTTGGGAGGCTGAGGTGGGAGGTGCGCTTGAGCCCAGGTGTTAGAGACTGCAGTGAGCTATGATTGCACCATTGCATTCCAGCCTGGTGACAGAGCAAGACCCTGTCTCTAAAAAATAAAAATAAAATAAAAATAGAGTATAATGTTTGTACCGTTTGGGATTATATCAATACTGGTTTTCTACTGCTGATCACAAACACTGGATACTGTCATATATGTTTTTACTCAACACCAAAAATGAGAACAATCTTACTTAAATAAATTGTGCAAAAGCATCTTTTAGGGCTTGGAGTTCACTGGAAGAAAAGAATTACAAAATAGGTCATGGGTGGGGAAAATACCAGATACCAAAATAGTCCAACCCCTTCAGTCCACAAGTGAGGAAACACAAGCTCAGAAATGTGAAGTCATTTGCCAAAGTTTATTCTTTTAATCCCATTTTTGAAGGCCTACTGTGTGCCAGGCACGGGGGTTATAGCAGGGAATAAAACAAAGTCCCTGGCCTCAAAGAGAGTTTACATTCTAGTCATATTATGCAACTCACTTCAAAGTTTTAAAACTCTACTTTGAAAACATCCTGTAACTGAAAACTTCTCACTAATTCAAACCCATCTCCTTCTGCTTGTGTACACCAAAACCCAGAATTGGTTAGACTTCACTGTGAATCCCAATCTGTGTAATATCAAATCATATTTCAAGTTAGGAGCAAGGCAAAAATGTCTACATAATTGAAAGACAACAGAGCTATGTGTTCAATTCCTGTTCATTCAATTAATCAGATAATTATAAGCAATTCTAATTTACACACTAAAGCAAAATTACTGCCATTTTATATCTTTGTTTATCTCTTCTTCAAATTAAAAAACTCTATGCTGTACTAAATACTATAGCAACATTAGAGTAACTTTTACTTTATGCTCTGTTCACTTCTAAAAGAAAAGTAACAAAAGGGTATAGGTCACACTGGACACGGATGTTAAAGACTAACACACATCACATCACAAACATCATTGCAAAAGTATCTCTAACTTACCTTGATGTTTTTTACAGCCCTGTGATCTTGTAAATGTGAGGCCTCTTGGCAAGATCAATGTGTTTCTTGTTATTTCTTGAACTAAGGAATGCTATTAAGGTGCATTTCAACAGCGTGTTCTCTTGGAATATCAACTTAAACCCTAATAGGTTAAATCAGCAGAACTGTTGCTTTTATGCCTTAGATCACTCTTTATCTTTATACAGTGCTTTGGGGATATAAATTCATCCCAGGATGAACAAATCATGCAAAGTTGTGTAAAAACCATTTTCAAGCCAGGCACGGTGGCATGCACCTGTAATCCCAGCTACTCGGGAGGTCGAGATGGGAGGATGGCTTGAGCCCAGGAGTTCGAGGCTGCAGTGAGCCATGATTGTTGCGCCTGTGAATAGGCACCGCATTCCAGCCTGGGCAACACAGTGAGACCCAGGCTCTAAAACAACAACAGCAACAACAAGAAAACCATTTTTAATGCTTCAGGACTAAATATTGGGGAAGTGGTTAAGAACACGAGTTCTAGAATCTCACCACCTCCACTTTCCAGCTGTGTGAATTTGGAAATTACCCAAACTGTCCAAGCCAAAAATAAGCACTTTCTGGATCTTGGTACTGTTTCTTTCTGGGTAACCTAGAAAGTCACTCCATTGCTTTGAGCTTCAGTTTTCTCTTCAGCAAAGTGAGGATAACACAAACTTTTCTACTAACCTCAAGGGGACACCGTGAGATGATGTATGCGAAGGTGCTTCGTCAACCGCAAAGACCTACAGGAGTGTCCAGTTGTGTTGCTGCTGCTGTTGTTAATCTTTAGTACCAGTACTATGTATGAAGTAGTACTAAAGAATCTGTCTTTAGTACCAGTACTATGTAGTAGTACTAAAGAATCTGTCTTTAGTACCAGTACTATGTAGTAGTACTAAAGAATCTGTCTTTAGTACCAGTACTATGTAGTAGTGCTAAAGAATCTGTCTTTAGTACCAGTACTATGTAGTAGTACTAAAGAATCTGTCTTTAGTACCAGTACTATGTAGTAGTACTAAAGAATCTGTCTTAGTATACACAGTACTGGTACTAAAGGCACTATGAAGAAGGCCAGGCATGGTGGCTCATGCCTGTAATCCCAGCACTTTGGGAGGCCGAGGTAGGTGGACCACCTGAGGTCAAGAGTTTGAGACCAGCCTGGCCAACGTGGCAAAACCCCGTCTCTACTAAAAATTCAAAAATTAGCCAGGCGTGGTGCCGCGAGCCTGTAATCCCAGCTACTCGGGAGGCTGAGGTGGGAGAATTGCTTGAAGCCGGGAGGCGGAGGTTGCAGTGATCCGAGATCGCGCCACTGCACTCCAGCCTGGACAACACAGCGAGACTCTGTCTCAGAAAAATAAATAAATAAATAAATAAGATACTATGAAGAGACACTGGGATTCTTCAATGAAGAGCAAGGCAAGGACAGCAACGATAACTTGGGGGATTTGCCAGTCGGCAAGAGCCACTTCTAGAGCTTTTATCCATTTTGAAATCAAGAGATTACTGGCTTTGTTATAACTTTAAAAGCCTTTGAAATTGCCTCACATAATAAATGTAGTTCGAAAAAATGTGACTTATAAATTGTTTCCAATTTCACATTAGGACTTTGAACAGGAGAACAGCCTTAAAATGGGATTGCAGAGGTGAGTGGTTCTCGGTTCTGCTAGCATCGCTTGGGGTATTTTGAAGAACCCCAATATCCAGGCTGTGCCCCCAGACCAATAATGTCAGAATCTCTGGGGGTAGGAGGCAGGTATTCTTTTTTTTTTTTTTTTTTATCTTTGAGATGGAGTCTTGCTCTGTTGCCCAGACTGGAGTGCAGTGGTGCAATCTCAGCTCACTGCAACCTCTGCTCCCAGGTTCAAGCAATTCTCCTGCCTCAGGCTCCTGAATAGCTAGGATTACAGGTGCCCACCACCACACTCGGCTAATTTTTGTATTTTTAGTAGAGACAAGGTTTCACCATGTTGGCCAGGCTGGTCTCAAACTCCTGACCTCAAATGATCCACGTGGCTCGGCCTCCCAAAGTGCTGGGTTTACAGGTGTAAGCCACCACACCCGGCCGAGGCAGGTGTTCTTAAATTCCCCCAGGTGATTCCAATGTGCACCCAAATGTGAGAACCTGGCATAAATAATCAGCAGCTCAGACATCACCCAAGGACTTCCAGAATGACATAATGTTCGAGGATCCCTGGTATTCCAGGACAATGAATGAAGAATCTGAAGATGGTCCCTACTGGCTGATTGAACTCACAGAATGTCAGACTGTGAAGGAATCTTAACGGGGAATCAGTTGAGCTCCTTCCTCATATGGAGGAGGGGAAATCCATTCTTCAAGGGTAATCCTAGCCAAGGTACAGCCACCTCACTGAAGTCTATACAGAAGTTTGGAGTAGTCTACACTGTATCAGAACTGACTGGGTTCGGATGAGCATAGTACTGCTGATGTAAGCTGAGGGGGGGCCCACTTTTTGGAATATCTCTAGGCTTTAGACTAGGGTCACAAATCGAAACCAATTAGACAACCACAGTTTACTGAGTACTTACTATGTGCTAGAAAATATGGAGGCTACAAAGAGAGAAAAGATGTCACCATTACCCTCTAGGACCTGAATGATGTCTCTACATACCTGAAAAGATAAAACCTGGAGGAGGATCAGAGTTCAAGATATGATGATGGCCTCCCACAATTCCTAATGGAGTGCCCTGACACATCATTCTGTGTTCAATATGTATTCATTTTAAAGCAAGTTTAAAATTTATAGATACAATTTAGATGTAGAAACAATAGCACCAAAACACACCAAAAATTCCTGAGCTGCCTTTGATATCTAGGGTGGCTCCCTTTTGTTTCAGAGCCTCCACTCCAGAAATATAGGAAAGAGATCCTTAAGTCTGATGATTTAAGGTAGCTTTGTCTCTTTTGCTCTAAAATGGTCTCTAGTTAACCCAATGACTTGTGAATAAATGCACAATCTTTGTCCACCCTCCTTTTCTTTCTGGTAGTCAAGATGGCGCCTGGGCTGAGAATGGCGTGCTAGGGCCTTTCTGGCAGCAGGGAGAAGGGGCCTGGATCTGTGAGCTCACCCAGTGCTGAGCCCTGAGTTCTCAATGGCCTCTCCAGAGACCTCCCTCATCCTGCAGGGCTCCTGGGTATCCAACTGGTGTCCACTGCTGAAGGCTGTGTCCAGTGGGCCCATGGTCTATTCTTCAGAATCCCATCCAGGCCTGGGGGGTCCTTCTCCTGCTAATACAGCTCCCTTGAGCTCTCACCACTGAATGTCTGTCTCATCCTCCATCTGACCCCTGGCCTAGGCTGTCCATGCCATAGTCTTTGCAGCCCTGTCCCCACCCCTGGATCTCATCACAGCTACCCACTAAGAACATGAGGGTACTTTAGAGTCCCTACTCTACCACATGAGAGCTGAGAGAGACTTGGAGGGGACATCATCTCCCAGAGGAAACAGTTTTGCCACTTCATCTCTGCAACTGCCCTGTGCTGACACACAGGGCCCATAAGGAGTCCTTACCTGGAGTTCCAAGTGGAGAGTGGGACACAATGCCCTCTGCTTTCAGTTTCCCCTGCAACCTATCTATGATAGACTCTCCATCACTCCCCATCACCACTTCCACCTGCTAGGGAAAGAGCCAGGGTCCAACAGACATGGCCTCATGCCTGGGTGCAGGTAGTAAGATTTGGCAGGGGTCAGTGGGGGTTGTGAGATTGGCTGAGCATCAGATCAGTGCCATGGTAAGCATTTATAACCTCATTTGTACAGACAGGGGATTGAGAGAGAATGAGGAGACCAGGACAGGGTCTGGTATTAGAGGACAAAATGAAACAGAACAGGTTTCCCGCCTCTCAGGAGCACGCAGCCCATTTCCTGCAGCTCTACCGACTTCCTCGCAAGGAAGACCAAGGACTCAGGTGAACACAGCAAGAGAGGATAGGAGGAAATCAGACAGCCAGGCCTCAGAGAGGGGAATTATAGAGGGACTCATCGCTGGAAATGCCTGCAGCACAGAAAGATCTAGACCCAGCCCAGAGAGAAAGTTGGGGATTGTAGCTCATGAGATCACCAAACTGGCTCAAATGTGTAATTGTTTCCAAATGAGGAAGACAACTCTGCAAGAATGAAATTATAACCATCTTCCACTATTATGTCATCTGCCCCTCTGGAAAATAGAATAGTTGTATCTAAAAGAAGACCTCCTTCAAAGATTTAAAAAAAAAAAAAAAGGCATTGGTACCGCCCAGGAGAGCTGGAGGCTGGAGGTGCCAAAACCCATTCTGGTAGACCAAGAATGAGCCCCTCAAATGTCACCAAATCACACAACTGAAAGTGTTAAGGTCCACGGGCTCTCTCTGTTGGCTAGTGGCCTGACGAGAGAGTGTCATCCCACCTCTCCCTGCCGTCAAGAGCTACTGAGTCACCTCTCAGGCTTCCAGGGTGAAGCTACTGTGTTTACGGTCCAGATCTCCCAGAGCCCCGGGTCGGGGGAGCTGCTGCTCTCTAACAGCTCACCCCAGGCTCCCTCTCCACTCCCCTAGCCCTGCACCTCAGTGACATGCTCATTCAGTCCCCAGACACTTACTGAGGGTGCCCTGGGCAGCCTGGTGTCGTGTGAGTAGTACAGGCTACAGATTCTGATGGGGAATCTTCCTAGCTGTGGGACCTCTAGGCAAATGCCTTCATTTGTTTGACAGTTTCTTTGTCTGTAAACCGAGATGAAAACTACCCACCGGAAAGAGGTTTTGTAAGGATTAAATGAGATAATGTGCGTAAAGCACCTGGAAGAGTGGCCCTGAGCAGGCTCTCAGTGCCCATCAGCTTCCCTCCCGTGAGTTCGCCACCCGCCTCGCCAACCTTTTGTCTGGCACTGACCGCACACTGCAAGGACTCACAGTACAAAGGAAGCCCGTAATGAGTGTGACACAAAGTGATATCCCCAGGTATGGATGGATAAAGAGAAGCAAGCACTGGGGAGGGGGATTTAATTCTTCCGAGGTCAGGGCAGGTTTTCTAGAGGTAGTAAGATTTGGCCTCAACTTTGGAAGGGGAGTTTCCCAATAGGGAGGGTCCCCAGAAGCAGAGTGGGGGAATATGCAAGTGAGACAGACAAGGGGGTGAATCCGGAAATGGGCACATTCATGAGCAGATGAGTATTATGGGGTACAATGCAACTGGGGAACTCTGGGAGATAACATAGAACACATCTGAGTGTGGTCCCACCAAGGGACAAGGAAGCTGGCATATTTAAATACCAACTCCCATTACTCACTGTTTGGGGGTGTTATCTCCCTGGCACTTCTGGTTTGTCCCGCACATGGGCCAAGCACACTCCCATGGACATAGATGATCCTCAGGGAGACATGAAAGCCGTAAGCATCCACAGGAACTGTCTGCAGGTGACCCCTGGGGTGGGCCAAGGGGGTATAGGCAGGGCACCAATAGCATCTGCTATAGGTGGCTTAGCATCGAATTAGACTAATCCACAGATCTGGCCACAGGCCATATGTGAGTGCCCTATAGCGCTGACTCATACTTTAAGACTTATAGTTTGTATTGTTCTCATGCGTCATAGTCACGGCCCTCCAACTGCAGTGTGAATTCCCTGGAGTCAGAGACGATGTTCTCAGCAGCCAGTACTGCTGGGCACACAGCAGGCAATCATTATCGCACAATTGATAACCCAGTGGAGAAGTGGCAGGTCAGTCCCCTTGGCCTTCAAAAACCAGGCCTGAGCCATCCTGAACTAAAAGAACCCCTGCCCCAGTCCAAAGCTATTGGAGGAGGCGGTGCCTATGAACCACCTGGGTGATCCAGAACAACATTGATTCTCACAATTATGGATTCCATCTTTATTTTTAATCTACAGATTCACAACTACCAAGCAACTGAGCCTAGCATAGCAGAGAGGTTAAGAATGTGAAAAGGCACCATAGTATAGAGGTCCAACATACAAGCTTTGGAGCCAGATGGCCTGAATTTGAATTGTAACTCTGCAACCTCTTAATTATTTGACCGAAGGCAAGTTGCTTAACTCCTCTGTGCCTCAATTTCCTCACCTGTAAAATAAGCTGATAATAGTGCCTTTTTCAAGGGGTTATAGAGTGGGCTTTAAATGAATTAGCCATTTGTAAGGGCTTAGAACAGTGGCTGGCACATGGTGAGTGCTATCAAGGTGATTATTCAGTAACATGAGCAGGGCGTGGTGGCTCACATCTGTAATCCCAGAACTTTGGGAAGCAAGGTGGGAGCATCACTTGAGCCCAGGAATTCGAGACCACCCTGGGCAATATAGCGAGACCCCATCTCTACAAAAAATTTAAAAAATTAGTTGGGCGTGGTGATGTCACCTGCAGTCCCAGCTACTCCAGAGACTGAGGTGGAAGGAACACCTGAGCCCGGGAGGTTGAGACTGCAGTGAGCTGAGATCGCGCACTCAAGTCTGGGCGACAACAAGATCCTGTCTCAAAAAAAAAAAAAAAAAAAAAAAAGTAAAGAAAAGAAAGAAAAAGAAAAAAACAAAAACAAAAACAAAATAAATAAATAACATGAATAAATACTCTTACTGGGCGTTCTGAGAGACAGGTGATGCCAGTGCTACTTGTCTGTCACACTTTGGGAACCACTGCTTTAAGAAATCAATTCATCAGAGATCTGGAGCAAGAAATGCAGTCAGCTGCCTTGAGTGATCACTCAGCTTTTCCCTACTTAGGTTTGTTTCAGAGCCATGCACTTTCCTATTTACCTGCCCCTGTTGTTGGCATTTTAAAACATAATTTTTCAAAAAGACATATTTCTAACAAACAGCTTTCATTTGGATGAATTTTTTCCCTTGTGTTCCACTTTCCTGCCTCATCTACCCCTGTGGTGGAAAAAGCACCGAAACGTGAGACTGAAGATCTAGCATCTAATCTGGACTCCGCCACTTCCTAACCAATAACCTCCCTGGGGACATTTACTCATCAGTAAAGTGGGGACTCTTGAGTTTTGCCCTGCCAAGCCCACAGTAATGTTTCAGTGCCCTAAGGAGATGGTGCGTGTGAGAATAGTTTAGATTTTATTTTATTTTTTGTTTGAGAGTCTCGCTCTGTCACCCAGGCTGGAGTGCAATGGCATGATCTCAGCTCATTGCAACCTCTGCTCCCGGGTTCAAACAATTCTCCTGCCTCAGCCTCCCAAGTAGCTGGGATTATAGGCGTGCACCACCACGCCCGGCTAATTTTTTGCATTTTTAGTAGAGACAGGACTTTGCCATGTTGGCCAGGCTGGTCTCAAACTCCTGACCTCAGGTGATCCACCCGCCTCGGCCTCCCAAAGTGCTGGGATTACAGGCATGAGCCACTGCACCCGGCCATTATTTCTTTCTTTAAAGAATGGCGGCTTTTTGACAACGTGCCCCAGTACCTACTTTTTAAAGGATTGCCAATTGTGTTATAGCTTGTTGGGAAGTTTTCCATTTAGTCTGTGTATTTGTATGTGTGTTTTATTTGTTTGTATGTTTTGTTGTTTGCTGCTAGTAGATTTTTATCTTATGCAATAAAGATTCCTTGGTCCTGCCACCCACTTCTGAATAAGAAAGTTATTTCGTTGTGTGTCCTTGATGTCTTAAGTATCAATCATTTCCTAGTCCCATTCCTAATGAGGATGCTTCTTTTTTTTTTTTTTTTTTTTTTTTTTTTGAGGCAGGGTTGTACTCTGCCACCCAAGCTGGACTGCACTGGTATGGTCACTGTTTACTGCAACCTCCGCCTCCTGGGCTCAAGCAATCCTCCCATCTCAGCCTCCTGAGTAGCTAGGAATACAGACACCCGCAACCATGCCCGGCTAATTTTTCATGTTATTTCATTTTTGTAGAGACGGGGTCTCACTATGTTGCTCAGGCTTGTCTTGAATTCCTGGGTTCAAATGATCCTCCCTCCTCAGCCTCCCAAAGTGCTGGGATTACAGGTGTGAACCTCCTAATGAGGATTCTTTACACTTGCCTTTGGCAGTTGTGCCCACAGAAATTGCAGGCCCAGCATTGCTGGTCTTTCAACTGCTTTTCTCAGATGCCTTTTCTTCTTGTTCCATGAACTTCTAAAGATCCCCCTTTCCGAAAATACCAGGCTGCTTCATCTGTCTGATTCTCTACCACCTTTAAATTTCCATATGGTTGTACCTTCAAGTAGATACATTTAAAAACAAGTAAACACCAGAAATAAACCCTCATCTATACGGTCACTTTGAGGCAGGAAAATAGGGTCTGGAGGCAGGGAACATAAGGCCGATTCACACTTCAGCTATGACAGGAAATATCCTCACCATAGGGTGTATGCTGAGTAAATGACTTTGTAACTTTACTTCATCCTCTTCATTTACATAGGGCATACACCAAGTAACCAATGGAAACTCCCACAAATTCTGTAACAGGGACTTTGAGCCCCTGTGCTCGGGCCACTCCCACACTGTGGAGTGTACTTTCATTTTCAATAAA
This sequence comes from Homo sapiens, assembly GCF_000001405.40. Classification (NCBI taxonomy): domain Eukaryota; kingdom Metazoa; phylum Chordata; class Mammalia; order Primates; family Hominidae; genus Homo; species Homo sapiens. The sequence goes on from NC_000023.11 coordinate 19,067,268, forward strand.
TCTCTTCATTCCTTCCTTGCTTTGTTAGTGCGTTTTGTCCAATTATTTGTTCAAGATGCCAAAAACCTAGACACCCTCCACTGGTATAACAAAGTGATTTTTGACAAAGTTGCCAAGACCATTCAATAGCAAAAAGGCAGTCTTTTCAAGAAATGTGGCTGGAAAACAATACCCACATGCACGAGAGTGAAGTTGGACCGTTACCTTATACCATATACAAAAATGATAAATCGATCAAAGGACCTAAACATAAGAGCTAAAACTATAAAATTCTTGGAAGAAAACATAGGGGAAAGTCTTCATGATATTGGATTTGGCAATGATTTCTTTGATATAACACCAAAGCATAGACAACAAAAGTAAAAATAAATAGACTACATAAAATTAAAAGAATTTATGCATGAAATGATACTATTAAGAAAGTGGAAGAAACACCCCACAGAATGGGAGAAAATATTTGTAAGTTATATATCTGATAAGGGATTAATATCCAGAATACACAAAGAACTTCAAAACTCAACACCAACAAAAACAACCCAATTCAAAACTGAGCAAAGGACTTGAATAGACACTTCTCCAAAGAAGATATACAAGTGGCCAATAAGCACATGAAAAGATGCTCAATATCACTAATCATTAAGAAAATGCAAATCAAAGCCACAATAAGATACCACTTCACACCCATTACCAAAACAACAGGAAAATACAAGCATTGTCAAGAATGGGAGACACTGGAATTCTTGTGCCTTGCTTGTAGAAATGTAAAAGGATATAGCCACTGTGGAAAACAGTTTAGCAGTTTCTCAAGATGTTCAACACAGGGTTATATGATCCAGCAATTCCCTCCTAGGTATATACCCCAAAGAAATGAAAGCAGGGACTCAAATAGTGATTTGTACACCCATGTTCATAGCAGCATTATTCACAACAGCCAAAAGGGGGAGACGACCCAAATGCCCATCAATGGATGAATGAATAGACAAAATGGGTCAATGCATACAGTGAAACATTAGCTGTTAAAAAGAATGAAATTCTGATACATGCTGCAACATGGGTGAACCTTGAAAACATCCTAAGTGAAATAAGCCAGGCACAAAAGGACAAATATTGTATGATTCCACTTATCTAAGGTACTTGCAATAAGCAAATACATAGAAAGAACAGGAACAGAGGTTACCAGGAAGGGGTGGGGGGGAAGGAAATTGGGAGTTATTGTTTAATGGATATAGAGTTTCTATTTGGGATGATGAAAACGTTTTAGAAATGGATAGCAGTGACAGTTACACAAAATTGTGAATGTACTTAATGCCAATGAACTGTACACTTAAAAATGGTTAAAATGATAAATATTATGTTATTTTACCACAGTAAAAAAATCCTAAATAACAAAAAAATACACACATGCAGATAAACAGAAAAAAAAAAAATGAAGAAAAACAGACACATTACCTTCCAGGGATGTTACCAGAACGACATGAAGACAAATGATGACAAGGAATATCTTGAACGTCAGTAAAACTTCTTCAGTTCTGCCAACATGGCCACACTGCCTGACAGAGAAAACCATCCTGGAATAAAGTAAGGAGAAGACAGATCATCACAGCTGCCATAATCACAACACAGCAATACCTCAAAGGTCATTCCTCAACCAAGGCAACCTGTGATCCTGTGCACTTCAAATTGCTATGGTTCCAGAGAATCAGAAACGCCAGTTGGGCACTGGTGACAACAAGCAAAACCCATGTTTATTATGGGAGGGTTGCCCAGTAGGATGTTATACTTAGAAGCAAGGTAGTCCATGTGGATTTATGGAAAACATCAACACATGCAAAATAACAAGAGAAGGAATAAAAAACACAAAATGTTACATCATTATTACCATTACACAGAATCTTTTCAATAATTATCCTTCTCTATGTCATTTTTCCTTAAAAAAATTTTTTTTTAAAGAGATAGGGTCTCGCTATGTAGCCCAGGCTGGAGTGCAATGGCTGTTCACAGGTGCGATCATAGTATACTGTGGCTTCAAGCAATCCTCCTGCCTCAGGCAGCACCACTGTGCCCAGCTCCTATTCATGTTTTTTTTGTTTGTTTTTTGTTTTTTTTGAGACGGAGTTTCGCTCTTGTATGTTTTATACTGTAAAAGGATAAGTGATATGGACAGGAGGCAGGGAAATATTGGGTAGAAGAGTGTGGCCCTAGACAAGGGCCACACCCTCAAGCCTGGACCCGCAGCCAAAAGTGAGAACATGCATTCTCATTTCCCTGCCCGAATGTTGCCTTTTCCAAAACCACCCTGGCCTGCCCTGCCCCCAAATCCTGTACCCATAAAAATCCCAGGCCCCACTGGCAGAGTGGCAGAGGAGAGAAGAGAAGTAGCCGGACCTTGGAGAGGAGCAGCTTGACTTCAGAGGGATGGCTTGACAGTGCGACTTCGGAGGAGTTCAGCCGCAGATGGCCGAACTCCAGGGGAAGACCACCTTCCCACTCCATCCCCTTTCCAGCCACCCATCCCACTGAGAGCCACTTTCATCAGCAATAAAATCCTCTGCATTCACCACCCTCCAATTTGTTCTTACAACTTCATTACTCCTGGATGCCAGACAAAGACCTTGGTGCAGGTGCAAGAGGCTGTCACACTGACCCTCCACTGAACTGTTTAACACTTACACTGTCCAAGGATGGCAATGCTAAAAGAATGCGCGGTAACACATGCCCTCTGGGGCTCGGGGGTCGCGGGCAACCTGTAGACGCTGCTGTGGGCCTGCACAGAGTCCTGCTCCTGCTGGTTGCCCAGAAGCACTCAACCTGGCCTCTGTACCCACTCACCTGCGTGCTCCCCCTCCCACGAGGGGTTGAGAGCTGTGGGCTGAGTAAGCGAGCCACTCCTTCATGAATCCCACAGAGGGGTCAAGGGAACTATCCAGTTTCATCAGTACATTGCATTTCCTTTTTGTTGCATATTATTTTATCATCATTGCTTGCATTTCAGTAGTTTATATCAGAATTGAATTTAAAAGCCTCATTTACCATTCATTCATTTATTCATTCAACAAATATTTATTGAGGGCCAATATGTACCAGATGAGATGTGAGGGCTGAATAGGAGTGAACTAGATGAAATGCACGTGCTGGAGGTGGGGCAGGGGCTAGGGGAGAGTTCAGCACACAGAAAGAATTGCAAATGCTAAGACTGTGTCTGATCCTCTCATGTCTGGGAGTTGGCCAACATTACCCCAAGATGGGCAGTCAGCACTAGGAGCAGAGGCTGGCGTGGGGTGCTGAGAAAGGAATCACTCATGGGCACAGGCACAAGCAAGGGGGTGGCGAGAGCCAACTGGGCAGGCTCCCTCTACACAGCCAGAGGGAAGTGGCTGGGACAAACCAGGCTGTGTGTCCTCAGCTAGCAGAGCTCTCGGCCAAGGGCACTCATGAATCCAGCCACCACTTGCAGCTTCTGCAAGCCCTAGAGTGAGTGTGAATACACAGTGGTGAAGACTAAAGAGCATGAGTTCAAAGGTCCCAACTTGGCCCCATAATATCTGAGTGACTGTGGACAAGTTATTTCCAATGGTCATGTTTCCCCATCTAGCAAACTGAGACAACAGCACCCACCTGATAGTGCTGTTGCGGTGAGTAAACAAGAAATCTTTGCACAGTGGCTGGCACTGTGAATGCACTGTAAATGTTAGCTGTGCTCTTCATTCATTCATTCATTCATTCATTCATTCAACAAATATCTATTTTGCACCTAGTATGTGCAGGATCAGGCAGTGCTGGGATTAAGGGGTGGAGGGCATGGAAAGAAAGGGGTTTTATAAGTCAGAGTTTCTGTCTCAAGGTAAAGCTGGCAATCTTTAAGAATTCTGTAATTGAATACTCATAACCAGCACTAGGAGAGTGATTCTTTCCTTGACCTGACATGATGATGTTTTAGACCAGGAGGTGAATCTTTCTCCTTCAGAAGAGGGCTTGCATATCTTAAATTAATAAATTGTATTATGTATTAATGCTAGAATATGTTAATCAATTATAAAAAGCCTCTAATTTCTCCCTCCTCTTTTAACCTCTCTCTGGGCATAATGGCATGTTATTGATCTTCCCAAAGGAGTCACTCAAATGAGGATGTTAACACAGTTGTGCAAAGATGTATCGATGTCTCTCTGGAGGAAAGATCTAAGTGTCTGCTACAGCTACACAAAACAATCTCAGTGCAGCTCAGAAATATAATGTTTGCCAAGGAAACCAGAGACAAAAGAGTGCTTATTGTACATAATTCCATTCATGAGAAACCGAAGCAGAAAAAACTAATTGATGTGGTGAGAAGTCAGGAGAAGGGTTATCCTTGAAAGGGAGGGAGTTATAACAATATTGGATGTGGGCACAAGGGAGGCTTCTGAGGTACCGAGAATATTCTGTGTGCCAATTACATGGGTGTGTTCAGTTCACGAAATTCACTGAGTTGTACACATATATGTATGCCATAAGTTTCAATAAAAAGTTTAAAAATTAACATTTTTTAAAGTTTTTGAACTCTGTCCCCCCTCCAAAAGCACTGCTTTAAAAAAAAAAAATGAAGGCATTATTGAGTGAACTTCAGTGCCACAGAAAATGCTCTCCTCTACAAATAGGCTTGACTGTACCTGAAACTGGTGGAGTTGACTTAGATTTAATTCACAAGTATTTAAGTGTAGCCTGGGGAGAGAGTATCAGAGTGGTTTATTTCTGGAAAGGAACTCAGAAATCACCTATCCTCGAACCCTCGTTCTACAGATGAAAGAGGTCCCATCATTGCAAGCTTGTCCAACCCTGGCCCCCGGGTCACATGTGGCCCAGGATGGTTTTGAATGTGGCCCAATACAAATTCGTAAACTTCCTTAAAACATTATGAGTTTTTTTGCAATTTTTTTTTTTTAACTCATCAGCTATCAATAGTGTTAGTGTATTTTATGTGCGGCCCATGACAATTCTTCTACCAATGTGGCCCAGAGAAGCCAAAAGATTGGACACCCCTGCAAGTCTAGGGGATGGGTCAAGGTCATTCAGCTATTTGGCAGAACCCTTACTCTTTCTACCAGAACACAATGCCAGCCTCCTGAGACTTTGTCTCCTTGTAAGTAAAATGTTTTGAGTCCATCAGGTGAAAGACATCAAGTTCAAAATGTTATTATACAATTTAAGAATGTCTAAAGACTCATTCTTGAGCTTTGCTAACTCGTAGGGCAGGACCTAAGTGGTGTACAAGATATGATCAAAGGCAAATTCGTGTACTCAGTGACTCAGTGTACATACACAGTGAGTGACTACTATGTGCTGTAACTGAGACCTCTGATCAAAATAAACTATGCCTTTTCACTACAGGCAGGATCTACTCAACTTCCAAATGCAGGTAGGAAAGGCCAGAATGAAAGATGACCCCAGCAATCATCTTGAAAAAAATATATAGATCAAGAACTTAATGCAGACTGCTTTCAGTTGTCAGATCTGGAATACGTTTCCTCAAGGCTGAACATATGTTTTTGGAGAAGTTTTATGGTATTTGAAATAATGTAGCTCCTACTGCCTTCTGCATAAACCGAGAATGTCCTATTAGGTCATAAAGTCTCTAGGATCACTAATCAAAGGGCAATCTGTGAAGTTTGAAACCTTTAGTCATTGCACATCAAAGCCATTTTTCTCTTTTTCAGCTGGAACATTGATATAGTTTGGATACGTGTCCCCATCCAAATCTCATGTTGAATGTTGGAGGTGTGAGCTGGTGGGAGGTGTTGGATCATGGAGGATCCTTCATGAATAGCTTGGGCCATCCCCTTGGTGATAAGTGAGCCCCAGAAGCAAATGCCACTATGCTTCTTGCACAGCGTGCAGAACCAGGAGCTAATTAAACCCCTTTTCTTATAAATGACCCAGTCTCAGGGATTTCTTTACAGCAATGCAAGAACAGCCTAACACAAACATCTATTCATCTTCTGGTGCAATCTGGGTTAGCTCAATGCTATCCAGGTCATCAACAAAGAGGATCTGAACAGCCACTGGTTCTTAGTAAATTTTTAAGGTGCTAAGGATGGCTAGGAAGATAGCAACAATTACAGAGAAAACTATTTGGTAGCATTTAAACAGTGAAACGTAGACCTTGACACTAGATTAAAGATGATCCCCAATTCATCTTTATCCAGGGCCCCCTTTTAGGTTGTGAACTCTGATGTAAATGGCAACCTCCCTCTAGAGTTGTACAGTGCACGAACTACATGACTATATGCCGTGGTGCTTCCACTCTAAAAACTCGTTCTAGAGCTCTTCAATTTCATTAAATAGTATCAGTATCATATTTTTGAAATATATATCATCAGTGCAACCTGTTATGCCAATAAATGATAAATCTGTCTTTAGATATAGAATAATCAAAGAATAATATTAGAAAGGGAGAAATAGCTTGATACCACCATAGGGCAGGTCTGTGTGAGGGTTATTCTCTGTTATCTCTGGTTAACTGGCATACTTTGATTATACCATAGCCACTATGATATAGACAATGATCAATATTTCTGACCTGAGTTATAAGAGGTATGATAATTGTTCCCTAAGTCTTCTAGAAAACTCTATGCTTTTGAGACATTTATACGGAGTCATATATGTTGGCTTACAAGACCACCACAAGGGGAAATGTAAAAAGAGAAGGACTGCAGGGGTTCTCAGTGTGGATAAAGTGAGAACAAAAAGTGAAAAAGCAGTTGATTTGGATTGTTCAATTCTCAAAGAAGTCAGAAAAAGAATCAGGAAACTGGTAAGAAAAGCATAATTAAATTTCTATTTGAACACTGCTCAATGACTTCGATACAGGAAATATCTCAGGGAAAAAAAAAATGTCTTCAGTGTTCCGGGAATATGTTGGGTTAGGTTAGTTAGATCAAACCTTGGGCTGAAGACAATTAAAAATCATGAATAAAATGCTAAAAGCATTTTCTTATTATTATTAATTATTTATTTTTTGAGACAGGGTCTCATTCTGTCACCCAGGCTGGAGTGCAGTGGCATGACCACGGTTCACTGCAGCCTCAACCTCGTGGGCTCAATTGATCCTCCTGCCTCAGCCTCCTGAGTAGCTGAGACTACAGGCATGTACCACCATGCCTGGCTAATTTTTTTATTTTTTGTAGAGATGAAGTTTTACCATGTTGCCTAGGCTGGTATTGAACTCCTGGTCTCAAACTCCTGGGCCTCAGCCTCCCAAAGTGCTGGGATTACAGGAGTGAGCCACCGCACCCAGCGCATTTTCTTTCTTCTTCTTCTTCTTCTTTTTTTTTTTTTTTTTGTTTGTTTGAGGCGGAGTCTCGCTCTGTCTCCCAAGCTGGAGAGCAGTGGCATGATCTCGGCTCACTGCAACCTCCGCCTCCCAGGTTCAAGCGATTCTCCTGTCTCAGCCTCCTGAGTAGCTAGGATTACAGGCGCCTGCCACCACACCCGGCTAATTTTTTCTATTTTTAGTAGAGATGGGGTTTCACCATGTTGGCCAGGCTAGTCTCGAACTCCTGACCTCAGTTGATCCACCCGGCTCGGCCTCCCAAAGTGCTGGGATTATAGGCGTGAGCCACCATGCCCAGCTGCGCATTTTCTTAAACATATCAAAGAGCTGGCCAGATAGAAAGGAATTGCCAGGCCAAAGGTGAAACTCAAGCAGGAACCCAGGTAAGTAATGTAAGCAATGAAGCCCACTTATACCTGTGGGTATGGGCCTAATGAGGCAAACCTGAGTTTCAAATATGACATATGAAAGAAAAGTTCAGAGACATGGAGAAAAGAAATACAATGTCTAACATACATTTAAACAAAATTCAAAGAGAGAATCAGTGTTTGGAATGATAATGACTAAGTGTCTCCAAATGGGTGAAAAACACCAATCCTCAGATTTAAGGAGCCCAAAGAATCTCAATCAAAAGAAATAAAAAGAGATCTACACCTAGATACATCATAGTGAAAATGAAAAAAAAAAACAAAAACAAAAACAGGAACATCTGAAAAATTGTCAGAAATACAAGACAGATAACCTTCAAAGGAGCAGCTGTTAGGCTGGGCATGCAGTGGCTCATGCCTGTAATCCCAGCACTTTGGGAGGCCGAGGCGGATGGATCACTTGAGGCCAGGAGTTCGAGGTCAGCCTGCCTAACGAGGCGGAACCCCCGTCTCTACCAAAAATATATAGATTAGCCAGGTGTGGTGGCGCCCACCTGTAATCCCAGCAACTCTGGAGGCTGAGGCAGGAGAATCGCTTGAACCTGGGAGGCAGAGGTTGCAGTGAGCTGAGATCACACTACTGCACTCCAGCCTGGGCAACAGAGCAAGACTTCGCCTCAAAAAAAAAAAAAAAAAAAAAAGAAAGAAAGAAAGAAAAAGGCTGTTAAGAAGCTGCTGTTAGACTGACAGCTATCTTCTCAGAAGCAACAATGGAAGCCAGAACCAGTGGAAGTCTATCTGCAGTGTGCCAGAAACAAACTGCCAACTTAGAATTCTGCTCTCAGGGAAAATATCTTTGAAGAATGAGGGCAAGATGAAGATATTTTCAGACAAACAGAAACTGTGATGTTGTTCCCTACCTGCAAATCATTACTGAAATCAATCCTAAAACATGTATTTAGGCAAAAGACATAAGAACTGAGATGAAAGGAGGAATGAGGAACAAAGAAAGTGGTGGGTTTGTGGCCAGGCCCATGGCTAACATTTCTAAGATACAGATCAAGAGTTTAAAAGAAGGCTTTGCCCTTATTCTTCCCCTAAGGCTTCATTCCAAGCTGTAAGAGGCTTTGTGCACACTCATGTGATCACCACAGCCTGCATACCCCTAACCCCCTCTCCTGCATGCATGTACCCCTTGGTCATCCCTTGGGTCTGGGGGTACGTACACCTGCAGCATGGCTTGCAATGAGGAAGGGGAGTGCCCAGGTCCTGGAAATTGGCACAGAATGTTTGGATTGGGAATTCCAGGGTCCCGGATTCCCAGAGTACGATCTAGAAGCAAGGGTGAGGGGAAGAGGGAGGTAGCTCCGGGTAGGCATGACTTCTTGGTGCCACAGACTTCTTGCCATTTGGAGAAGGGTGGAGCTAGAGAAGGGCCAGAGAGGGGACTCTAAATCACAAGTCACAGGCCAGAGGCCCCAGGTGCCCAGAACTAGGGGTAGTACTCTCTACTGGCAAATCCAAATGAACTTTTACTATATAAAACAGTGCCAGTCATGGTGGCTCACGCCTGTAATCCCAGCACTTTGGGAGGCCGAGATGGGCAGATCACTTGAGGTCAGGAGTTCAAGACCAGCCTGGCCAACATGGTGAAACCCCATCTTTACTAAAAATACAAAAATTAGCCAGATGTGGTGGCTGGCACCTGTAACCCTAGCTTCTTGGGAGGCTGAGGCAGGAGAATTGCTTGAACCCGGGAGGTGGAGGTTGCAGTGAGCCAAGATCGTGCCACTGGACTCCAGCCTGGGTGATAGAAGGAGACTGTGTCTTGAAACAAAACAAAACTACTATATAAAACAATAACATCTTGTAGGGATTAGTGAAACATGATAAAATAAAAACATATGGCAACTACCTCATATATATAAACATAGGAGACAATATATGCATTATATGTAATATAAGTAAGGAGATGACAAAATGAAATTCAAAAATTAAAGTCTTTCAAGGTCCTTGGATTATACTAGAGGAAGCTAAAGGTATTGATTATCTTTACACATTGAAAAGTTGAGTAGACATGTTGTAATTTCTACAACAGGTTGTAATATCTTTAGTAACTAAACAACAGAAATGGGACATATAACTTCCTAACTAGTGGAGGAGGAAAACAGTTTCTAACATATTCAGTCAGTCTGAAAAAAGGCAAGAAAGAGGAGAAACAGCAACAAAGAATGGTTAGGAAAAATAGAAAGTAATAAAGATTTAAAAACAAATGCAGGCCGGTGCAGTGGCTCACGCCTGTAATCCCAACACTTCGGGAGGCCGAAGCGGGTGGATCACCTGAGGTCAGGAATTTGAGACCAGCCTGATCAACATGATGAAACTCTGTCTCTACTAAAAAAAAAAAAAAAAAAAAAAAAAAAAATTAGCCAGGTATGGTGTCAGGTGCCTGTAATCCCAGGCTACTTGGGAGGCTGAGGCAGGAGAATCGCTAGAACCCAGGAGGCAGAGGTTGCAGTGAGCCGAGATTGCGCCACTACACTCCAGCCTGGGCAACAAGAGTGAAACTCTATTTCAAAAAAAAAAAAAAAAAAGCAGATCAATGATTCATGAAATATAAATGGACTCAATGATTCCATTAAAAGGCAAAGATTATCAGACTGAAAAAAATACAAACTCCAATTATATGCTATTTACAAGGACACAAATAGAACCTAATGATTCAGAAAGTTTGAAAGTAAAGAGATGGAAAAGATATGCTATGCCCACACTAATCAAAAGAAAATTAATGTGTTTATACTAATATCAGACAAATTATACTTTAAAGCAAAATACTTTACCTAGAAATAAAACCGTTCATTCATAAAAGATTCAATTCTGAATTGAAGACTGAAGAAATTTACATGTGAATGCAACTACTATAGCCTCAAAATACACCAAACAGCATTGACAGAATATAAGGAGAAATAGAACAAATCCACAATCATAATGAGAGATCTCTATCAGCAATTGGTAAAAATTAAATAAGAAAGTCATTAAGGATATAGAATATTTGAATCACACATTTAACCAACAACATGAGGACCATATCTAGAAGCCCCCATTCAACAACTGCAGCGCGCATAATCTTTTCAAGAGCACATGGAATGTCTGTGAAAACCATCCAGACCAACAGAAAAGTCTCAAAAGCTTTTTAAACAATTGGAAAACAGAAAAGCAGCATGTTCTTTGACCACAACACAATTAAGGTGTAATAACAAAAAGTTAGATGTGTTATTTAACAAATAACCCATGGGTCAAAGAAGTCACAATGTTTATTAGAAAATATTCGCCAGGCGTGGTGGCTCACACCTGTAATCCCAGCACTTTGGGAGGCCAAGGCAGAAGGGTTACCTGAGCCCAGGAGTTCGAGCCCAGCCTGGGCAACAAAGTGGGACCCCCCCTCCATCTCTACAAAAAAATAAAAAAATTAGCCGGGCATGGTGGTATGCGCCTATGGTCCCAGCTGCATGGGAGTCTGAGGCAAGAGGATCGCTTGAGGCAAGGAGGTAGAGGCTGTAGTGAACCATGATCACGCCAATGCACTGCAGCCTGGGCAACAGAGCAAGACCTTGTCTCAAAAACAAAAAAGATAAAAGAAAAAAGAAAATATTCGACTTGATCAATAAGAAAAACACTGTATATAAAACACATAGGATACAGCTAAAGATAGAGTGAAAATTATATTTTAAACATACAAATTAGAAAAAGAGAAAGGCTTAAAATTAATGAATTAAGGTTCTTAAGAAGTGTGAAAAAGTACAGCAAAATAAACCCAAAGAAGAAGAAGGAAGGTAATAAAAAAAAAAGCATATAATAAAAACAGAAAAAAGACATAAAGATTAACAAAGCCAACGTTGCTCTTTGAAAAGACAATTCTGGCAAAATCAAGAGACAGAGGGAGGGGAGGGAAAAAGGGGAGAAAAAGAGAGAGGCAGGGAGTGAGGAAGTAGCTAATAAGAGGTACGGAAAAAGCAACACACCTGTAAATGCTATAAACATAATAAATATAAAAGGCTCTTAGCAAAAACTGTCTTCAATAATTTTGAAACTCTAGATAGAAAGGGACAAATTTCTAGAAAAAAATACCAATTACCAAGAAGGAATCAAGTGGAAATGGTAAACATGAATAGTAGGTATAACCATTAAAAGTCTCAAAACTTGTCCCACAAAGAAAACTCCAGGCCCAGATGGCTTCACTGATGATTCTATCAAATATTTAAGGAATAAGAGTTTCAATCGCACAGAAACTCAAGAAAAAGAGCACATCTGAACTCACTTTTACAAGGCTATCATAACCCCGATGCCAAAACCAGACAAGGAAAGTCCTTAGATTTTTGCCCATTATATAAATCAAATGAGACTGTTTTCAGATTTCTCCAAAATGCTCACAGAAATGTCTAGAAGCAATTTCAAATCTTGTAAATTGAGGTAGTTTGAATAAATATTGGACAAAAGGAACTATTCTGAACTTCAGCAACAAAATTTTTTGAAGATAAGGTCACCAAGAACTAAAGCCAGTATTACCGTAGTAAGAGAAACAACATCCCATATGCCAAAAACAACCATGTCCTAAAGATGACAGAAACTAGGTTAACTGGTAAGTGCTGAATAGGAACTCTAAAACAGCAGCCTTGTATGTTGTTTGTCAGAGCACAAAGTAAAGCCAATGCTGAGCCATATGGCATCATTGCAGTGTGAAACTTACACATCTCTAGAATCAAATGGAAGGAAATGATTTGGTCTTTACAGTGCAAAAATGATTTTCTTAATAAGCGGTAAGTGCTTTCTGATGCAGAAAAAGGAAGCTTTATTCAATAAAACAAGTGAATCAATATCAGACGTGCAAGATTAGAACTAAATTGTGCGCTTAATGTAAACATACACTCACCAAACCTGGTGAGGGGTGTTCTGCTTTTTGTCTGGTTTGGTTTTTGTTTTTTTTTTTTTGAGACGGAGTTTTGCTCTTGTCACCCAGGCTGGAATGCAATGGCGTGATCTCGGCTCACCGCAACCTCCACCTCCCGGTTCAAGCAATTCTTCTGCCTCAGCCTCCTGAGTAGCTGGGATTACAGGCGCCTGCCACCACACCTGGCTAATTTTTGTATTTTTAGTAGAGACAGGGTTTCACCCAGTTGGCCAGGCTGGTCTCGAACTCCTGACCTCAGATGACCCACCCGCCTCGGCCTCCCAAAGTGCTGGGATTCTAGACGTGAGCCACCGCGCCCGGCTGAGGGGTGTTCTGTTTTTTGGCTCCCTTGCTCATCTCCAGATTTCTCCACTCTCTCATACCTGCGATCTACCATACTCTTGATTAGCCATGTGTGAATTATCCAACGCAAGGTGAAAGCCTACTTCATCTCTCTCCCCTCATTCTTCAGGGTCTGCCCCCAATGCTTGCAGTATGTTTAACACACAATAATGAGCAGAATAGCATAGGATTCGGGAGCATGCATGGTAGAGCCATCTGTCTGCCTTCACATCTAAGCTCCACCACTTATAGTGTAAACTTGGGCTGTTCCTTAACCTCTCTGGAGTTTAAATTCTTCATCTGAAGACGTGGAAGTAATGCTAAGACCTATTTCACAGGGTTCTGTGGGGATTAAATGAGGTAATGTAATGAAAGTCTTAGTGTAGTCAAGAAGTGTTAGCTATGATTACAAGCATAATTAGAAGACAAGTTTTTGGGTTTCTTTTATTGTTTTTTGGTTGTTGCTGTTGTTTGCTTGTTTTTTTGTGACAGGGTCTTGCTCTGTCACCCAGGCTGGAGTGCAGTGGTACAATCTCGGCTTGCTGCAACCTCCACCTCCCAGGCTCAAGCGATCCTCCTGCCTCAGGCTCCTGAGTAGCTGGGACTATAGGCACACGCCACCATACTCAGCTAAAGAAGATAAGTTTATAATACACTCCAGTACAAACTGTAAACAGATTTTGGAATTATTTCCAAAATAATTGACATTCATTCATCTAGTTGACGAATGTTTATTGAAGTTCTATTACAAGCAAGATTCTATGCCAGGGACTTGAGATACCACAAAAAACAAGGCAGATATCTTTCCTGCCCTCGATAGCTTAATAGCCACTACTCAGATTCATTGGTCATTGGCATGGCCAAATCAATAGTGATTTTTTTTAAAACAACAAACAAAAGATACTTTCTCTTCATGGTCCATCAGACTCGACTTTGCCTAAAAACAAAAACAAGGAAGCAGAACACAATAGCCTCTCCTATATAGGCTTGATCTCCACCTCACCCCCACACCCACAGCAGGCACTCGACAAAGATTTTTTCATTGATTTGGTCCAGAATCTACTGCTGCAAAATAATTCTATCAATATGTAGAGGAGAGAAATAAGAGGCTCTTCTTAAAAGCCTCCTGGGGCATTGATCTGCACTGCAGGGCTGGGGCAGGGATAGGGCAAAAGCACATGGTTGGCGGTCATCTAGGAAACCATGCTGGAGAGGAAGTGAGGGACTCAGGAAACCAACCCCGCCTCACCCACCAGGGCCCACCCCTCGCCAGGATTCTGTGCCCTTCCTTGGTTTTGTCATCACACCATGCCAATTCCTGCTTCAGGTCCCAGCTGGGCCATTTACTGGCTGTGTGACCCTGCTCAGCTGTTATAACCTTATTTATAGCAATAACTTACTAGTATCTATTATAATAACAATGTGTTATTTATCATGTAAGTTATAATGGGATCATTCTAATTTGTATTCATTATGATAGACATTTACATTGTTTACAAAATTTTGATAATTTATGTCAATGAATTCCCAGAAATACCACTATTTATGAGTCTCAAAAGAAATAGGCTGGGTACAGTGGCTCAGGCCTGTAATCCCAGCACTTTGGGAGGCTGAAGCAGGAGGATGGATTGAGGCCAGGAGTTTGAGACCCGTCTGGCAGCATAGGGAGATCCCGTCTCTACAAAAAATAAAAAATTAGCCAGGCATGGTTGCATGCACCTGTGGTCCCAGTTACTCAGGAGGCTGAGGTGGGAGGATCACTTGAGCCTGGGAGGTCAAAACTGCAGTGAGCTGTGACTGCGCCACTGCGCTCCTACCTGGGTGACAGAGGGAGACCCTGTCTCAAAAAAAAAAAAAAAAAAAAAAAAAGAAAAGAAAGAAAGAAAGAAAAGAAAAGAAAAAAGAAAGAAATAGGAAGCGTGAAAGTAGCGGCTTCAGAATTTCTATCTAGAAGAGGGTCATGGGCAGAAATCTGGTTGGAAGGATCCTTTGACAGCTGCATTTGCACAGCACTTAGGTCAGAGAGAGAACAAACACTTCCTTGGTCCATTACAAAACATGACAAAAGCTGTTAGAGCCAAGGGACACACGTCCAGGGAGCAGGAAAGGGGAAAACAGTGAAACAGAATCCCAAATAATTCCACGTAAATGATCATTCTCTTTCCCCAGCTTTGACCGCACCATGTAACTTCAAAATCGGTACCCATTTCTGAACGCCCATTCAAAAGCAATTGGGTTAGCAAGAAGAAACAGGTCAACAATAGAATCCCCAAGGAAAAGAAAGTATCTGAAGAAAAGAGAGCTCCAAGTGGGAGTGAGGAGTTAAAAACAAAACAAAACAAACAAAAAAGAATAAAGTTGGTATGGGGATGGGAATTTGCAATGAAGGAGGGAAAATAGGAAAGAAAAAAAAACCCAAGCTAACATGTTCCTCATTTCTACAACATTATCTCATAGAAATAGCATTACTCACCTGACCGCGAGTTCAGAAAACAAAGTGGAGAACCTCTGTGCACACCTGAAAATGAAAAATAAAAAATAAAAAGCAAAATTAGACCAATGGAAAGTGGACTTTCTTGACAGCATAATACTTCAATACTGCAGTGAGCTCATCAGCCGACGCCCCCTGGGCTCCCTACTGCACGTCACAGCTTGAACTTGGCAGTGGAGTTACAGAAAAAATGGATGTAAACCCTGCTGCTGAGGAACTTATATATAAACTGGAAGCACAAGCCCAAAGCCAGTTTGGGGACTGATCTTGTTAATGTGTTTTGTTTTGTTTTGTTTTGTTTTGAGACGGAGTCTCACTCTGTCACCCAGGCTGGAGTGCAGTGGCATGATCTCGGCTCACTGCAGCCTCTACCTCCCAGGTTCAAGCAATTCTCTGGCCTCAGCCTCCTGAGCAGCTGGTATTACAGGCACACGCTACCACACCCGGCTAATTTTTTTTTTTTTTTTTTTTTGTATTTTCAGTAGAGACAGGGTTTCACCATGTTGGCCAGGCTGGTCTCAAACTCCTGACTTCAGGTGATCTGCCCACCTCAGCCTCCCAAAGTGCTGGGATTATAGGTGTGAGCCACCACACCCAGCCTTGTTAATGTTTTTGTGGCATGAATTACTGTTCAGTTGAAGACTTCATTAACAACATCATAGGGCACTGGACAACGAAGTGATTGGACCAGACCTGGGGTGGGGTGGTCCCTTCTAGAGACCCTGCTTGGTTAGACATTTCTTCATGTGTTTGTGACTTCACTTCCCTAGAACCTAAACTCCTTGATATCAAGGATTGGGGCATTTAGGTCTCTTGTGCCAGAGGCAGAATTGTTTCTCCACTAAAGGGCTAACTCTTGGTTAATTACTAAGTTTGGCTCAGAGTTGAAAGGGGAACATGGGGGTATTTGCAATGATATGAGGGAAAACTCAGATGCACGCTGGGGAAAGAATGGGGTATCCACCCAAGGCAGAGAGCATTGCTGACGACCTGACTTGTATCTTTTAGAATATTCCAACATGCCTTACTTCTGAACCAAAACATTGGTCCAGCTATTAGCTTGAAGATGACAGTCACTTCACGTAATGGCATCTTCTCATGTGAAATAGGACATAATGACTTTCAAATGAAGATCTGTGATAAGAAACGATCTCTAAGGTCATCCTGGAACCAACTGACCTACTGACAGACTGTTATAATAGCAGTTCAGTGCCCAGCAATCCCATTACTGGGTATATACCCAAAGGAATAGAAATCATTTTATTATAAAGATACATGCACACATATGTTCATTGCAGCACTATTCACAATAGCAAAGACATGGAATCAACCTAAATGCCCATCAATGATAGACTGGATAAAGAAAATGTGGCACATATACACCATGGAAGACTATGCAGCCATAAAAAGGAATGAGATCATGTCCTTTGCAGGGACATGGATGGAGCTGGAAGCCATTATCTTCAGCAAACTAATGCAGGAACAGAAAACCAAACACCACATATTCTCACTTATAAGTGGAAGGTGACACACTTATAAGTGTGTCCATGTGAACACACAGACACATGGAGGGGAACAACATACACTGGGGCCTGTCGGGGAGGGGGTGGGTAGAGAATCAGGAAGAATAGCTAATGCATGCTGGGCTTAATACCTAGGTGATGGGTTGATAGGTATAGCAAATCACCATGGCACACATTTACCTGTGTAACAAACCTGCACATCCTGCACATGTACCCCAGAACTTGAAATAAAAGACAAAAATGAAGGCCAACCATGTTGTCCTGTCCTACGATGAACAATTGCGAACACATGTCCCAATGCTGAATGTGGACTAAATGTAGGATTAACAACTGAAAAACATTTCAATAATCAAAGAAAGAAAGAAATCTATTGTGACTTGAGTATCGAAAGAAGTTCATTTAACATTTGTGAAAATGAGAATTTTCCACATAGGGATTTCTGATATTTTGATGAAATTTCCCAACCCAAGCACACTACCTCTTCCAAAACCTTACTGATGACCATAATAAAGCACACTTAATGGTTCTTGGGAATCCAGTTTATTAATGAACAACAGGAGGCTCTGTTCGCTCCCTTGGAATACTTACAGGTAGAAAAGTAGGGCAAGCAACATGACATTTGTTTTTCCCAGTGGATGAAAAAATTGAAAAGCCTAGTAATATCCAAAGCTGGAGAGCATGTGGGGAAATAAACACCTGCATACACCATTGGTGGAAACATAAACTTTGAGAGAGTAATTTAGCTATGTTTTAAAATTTTAAATGTGCATGCTTTTTGATACAGAAATTTGAATTCCAGAGATTGTCCCCACAGAAATACTGACCCATAGATACAAAAATATACACACAAATACTGTCATTGCAGCTGTGTGTGTGGTGGGGGGAGCCTAAGTTTCCATTAGTAGATGAAGAGTTAAACAATGGCACATCTGTGTTTTGGAATATTATGCAACACTTAAAAGTGAAGTTCATTTAGGTGTATTAACATACAGAGACTGTCAATGCATATAAGGCAAGAGAAAAAACCAAGTTTCTGAATAATATATATACGAGGACTTGTTAAGATGCAATCAAAGTTATATGTGTATGCTTATTTTTTAATTAGAAATGGGGTCTTGCCTTGTCGCCCAGGCTGAAGTGCAGTGGCTCGATCACAGCTCACTGCAGCCTCCCACTCCTGGGTTCAAGTGATCCTCCCACCTCAGTCTCCTGGGTAGCTAAGACTACAGTCACGTGCAACCATGCTCGGCTAATTTGTTAGTTTTTTGTAGAGATGGGGTCTCACCATGTTGCCCAGGCTGGTCTCAAACTCCTGGACTCAAGCAATCCTCCCGCCTTGACCACCCAAAGTGCTGAGATTACATATGTGAGCCACTGCACATGGCCTATCCTTATTAATACAGTGACAAGGGTGGATGCATACAAAATAGCCTGGAAGGAAACCCACCAGTAACCCAGGAGTGTGATGAGGGAAAGGATGAAGCCAAATTGCTACTCCATAGACCACAGGCATGTCTTTACATAGTACTTACACAATTAAGTAGATTTCTTCTAGTGAAGAAAAGCAGAAGGAGGGCTGAACAGAGCTCCTCCATCAAGCTCAGTGGGTGGGGAATGGGACGGAAAGCCATCACTTGCTCAGCTCAACGTCATCTCCCCTTCGCCTGCTCTACCTCAGTTAGAAAGGCCCAACTGGGAACACAAAGACTTCTGGTTTCAGGGCCAAGAAACCAGCTTCCCAGCCAGGGAGCAGGAACTCACTTCAGCAAGTTGTGGAAAATAATGGCAAAAGCAATGATGCAAAAATGCCTGATGAATACCAAGGCCTCAACTTCATTAAAGAAAGGCCCATCCTTCAGTCCACAGATCCCTCCTTGCCCCTGTGGCCACCACACACCCACCAGCCTTTATCTCCTAGAGAAGCGGAACAGGAATGAGGATCTGATGAGCACCAGCGCTTCAGTGACAAAACATAGTGACTACCAATGTTTGGGGTTCTTACATCATTGAAGGGAAAGGGCAAGTCACAAAAGGAACCATATCAACTTATGTAAGACATGGCACGGAACAGAGAAATTTCGCAGAGAAGAACAGCAAACTCACCACTTGCTAGGATTCATGAAACCTCCCACAGTTGCAGATTGCCCCAAACCATGACATCAGGGAGGCTGGGAAGCCACCCAACTTCCTCTATTTATCAAGCTGGCTAAAACCCAGGGTAATACCAGCGTGACCCAAAAAAATAAATTTTAAAAAAGGCAGGCAGACTTTACAAGTGGTTTGGGTGGGAAGGAAATGACCTCCGGGTGTACTTAAGAGCCCTGCTCCAGTTCAGGGCCGCTCACAGGGAGGCTGCGTCCAAGAGTCAGAACTCCCATCCTGGGCACCTGGCCACAGCACCCACACATCCTAGGGATAATCTGCAACCCACTTGGGAAGGAGCACAGGTAACAGCAGCCCCAGGCAGTTGTCCCACTGCCCTCCAAGGAAGGACCAACCAAAAAAACCAAAACCAACCAAAACAGAACCATGACATACAGCATCCTGGAGGGCTCAGCACTTCATTAGGAACCTAATGATTCATTAGTGACCTAGACCGACAGGCACAGACTGGCTCGAAGTTCCTGGCAATGACACTGACACCGACACCATGGAAGAAATGACCAGAGGACAAAGAGGTCTTGATACATCGGGATGGGGCCAGAGAGAAGGAAAGAGGAGTTTCTTCACACTGGGAGGAAAAACAAATTGCCCAAATGGAGATGATGGGGAAGGCAAAGTTATATGCAGGAGAAGGTTGGGCATATGCACATTCTTGGTCTTAGAGTGGTAGGTATTGCCATCGAGGAACAAACAAGAGTGGTTCTAGAACCTTGTGGTGGCCCCAGTACTGATCAGACCCTGCCTAATAGGACCCTGACCTTCACAGACTGGTTTGTTCAGTTCTGAATGCCACCACTCAAGAGGAGTTAAATTGTGAGATGGTTCTGGAAAACTAAAGATCATTCATTCAACAAACATTTAACTGGGTGCCTACTATGTGCCAAAAAACAAGGCTGCTCTGTACGGTTGTGCAGGTTGTGCCCTGCACAAAGGCTCACGGCCAAGGGCACCAGCGAGCCTGAATCCAGAATGCCAGGCTTTGGCATCAGCTGTGGGCAGTAATGGGAGCACCGAGGAAGGACACCTAACCCAGTGTGGGGAAATGGATCCAGGAAAATCTCATCTAGGAAGTAATCATCAGGCTGCAGCTTAAAGGGTGCAACTCCCTTTATATGAAGACATGGGCGAGAGCATTCCAAAGAGAGGAAATGGCTGAAACCAAGGCACAGCCAAAGAGTTTAAAGTGGAAAGACAGTGTCCTGGTGTCCATCCTTGTTAAATTGTACAAGTGACTAACAGAGCTTTCGGAATTGCTTTGTAAAACATCTCAAAAGATGACCCCTGGTCATCAGTCTGGAGGGGCTGCATGCTGAGGTGGAAGGAAGCAGCCAGGAGAAGTCGTCAGTGGGCCTCTTGCAGCCGTTGCTACCATGCTTTATTTTCCTGCAGCACGAGAAGCTTTCTTTTCTCTCTTCCCTTCCCTCCAGTCTTCTCTCCCTCTTTTCTCTTCTACTCTCTTTCACCCTACAGTGTCCCCGTTTTCCTTCCCTTCCCTTCCCTAGCTTAAGGCTTGCCACGTGTATTCCGGGGGCTAGAATGTTGCTGGTCACCTCTGCCCAGAGCTGGAGAAGAGAGTATCAAAGACCACATGGTGAGAGCCTCACCTTCAAATGACTCCCAGACCTCCAGTCCCAGTGGTCTGGGTGAGGCAACCACCAACTCTCTACCCAAGATGACAGAACTAAGGCATTCCAAAACAGGACATAACCTTCCTTAGACTATAAACAATTCTCACTTTCACAAATGCATAGGCAAGAATTTACCAATTCTTTTACAAAAACATTAATTTACTATTTCACAAAAAGAACACTTATATACTTGATTTTTTAAATGCAAGTCTGACATTAAGCTATATTCACACAAAGTTCACCAGAGTGAGCTTTCTTCCATTAATATGAAAACACTTCACAGGATAATTGAATTTGGATCATCACAACTTAAATCAATCTCAATTAAGATGACTAACATTTTCTAATTAACTCAACTTCTCTTTCCACTGGGTAGCAACAAACACTGGCCATTTCCCTCTGTTTAAACTATGTTTTGATATTTTCTTTTGATATTTTCTTTTCTTTTTTGTTTTTTGTTTGTTTATTTGTTTTTTCTTTGAGACTGGGTCTCCTCTGTTGCTCAGGCTGAAGTGCAGTGGCGCAATTACTGCAGACTCAATATCCCAGGCTCAAGTGATGCTGTCACCTCAGCCTCCTGAGTAGCTGGGACTACAGACACATGCCACCACACCCAGCTACTTGATGGGTTTCACTATGTTGCCCAGGCTGGTCTCCAACTCCTGGGGTCAAGCAATCCTTCTGCCTCTGCCTCCCAAAGTCCTGAGATTACAGGTGTGAGCCACCACACCTGGCCTGATATTGTATTTTCAATGATGAGAGAAAATACGACCAAAAGCTACACAGATAAGGAAAGAGCAATTGTTCATGTAGGATGGGTCTCACCAAGTAGTAAGAAAACCACACACATAAATGTTTCCTTTGTTTAGTAAGCCTTTGTTGTATATTGGACACTTGGGCTACAAATTAAGGCTGGTGCATTAAAATTTTCCTGTTTCCATATATATCTGCCACGTGAGATGTACTAAACCTTAACTCCAGGAAATAAAAGATGAGGAAACCCTTGCCCATAAAGTTGTTATTATTCTCACTGGAAATGATTAAGAAGTTACATTATTATCTAGCCCTATTTGACAGAAAAACTGTGGAAGATAGGAATTTAGTGATTTATTAATAACATTTTAAAAATTCAATATGAAGACCTCAAACTCCACCTCAAAATTGCTGTATCTCTGCCAACTTTGCCAGCAAGAGAAGTTTCTAGCCCCTCCCTTTTGTGGCTGATTGCAAAGCTACTCATAAACTCTTCCTAGGGTGGAGGGTGGGAGGAGGGAGAGGATCAGGAAAAATAACTAGTGGGTTCTAGGCTTAATACCTGGGTGATGAAATAATATGCACAACAAACCCCCATGACACAAGTTTACCCATATAACAAACCTGCACATGTATACTTGAACTTAAAATAAAAGTTAAATAAAAATAAAATAAAAACCAAACTTTTCCTATTCTAGTTTGCCTATCTATTTTGCCTATCCAAAATTACATTGCAAAATCCATGCAATGTGATTTTGTTGCTCTACCCCTTGAATGCTCCACCCCTTGAATGCAGCAAATGTGATACAACCAAAAGTGTGAAAAGTGCTTGAGCATGGAATTTGCTCTCTCTTGCTGCTCTTTAAGGCTCAAGCCACCATGTAAGAGTGGAAACCAGCCTGAGCTAGTTGGCCAGATGATGAAAGACCCACGCCTGGTCAGGCATTGCTCCAACCAAGAGCTGGCCAACCCCCAGGCAAAGGGTCATCTGGTAGACTGGCAGGTGACAACAGATGCATGAGTGAGCCCAACCGAGACCAGCAGAAGAACCATCTTGCTGAGCCCTGCCAAGACTGTGGACTCAAAAAATGTGAACTAATTAAATGGTTGTTGCTTTAAGCTGCTAAATTTTGGGCTGTTTTGTTATGTGGAAAAAACTAACTTATACACCTTCTTTCTTCCCTTCCTCTTTACCCTTTCTTCCTTTCATTATTTCTCTCCACTCATCTTCCTTTCTTCTTTTCCTTCTGTAAGTACTACAAGTACCAATTTAAGGGAAGGGCCCATTATGTATAAAATGCTGGCCTGGGCTGATTCTAATTCAAAGCCTGCCTCATTTTCTTTTATACACTCCCTCTATACACTCCCTCTGGAACCCACATAAGCAGATTCTGCAGACCTTGCATGGTCCATGGGCCCTACTCATAAAGAGATGAACCAAGATGTTTCTGGGGACACTGGGCAGAGTTTGCAGCCCGTTTCTGGGCATTTGCTCATGATAATCTCCCTGAAAGAAATATTTGTCACTGTGACCTGTTAAGTGTGTTCTAGCCCTCCCTTCTACCCATTGCTCCTAGCCAGCAGAGAGGAGAAGAAAATGGGCCTTCGAGCCAGATGCCCAAGGGTTAAGAGGCATGGTTTAAGACCCCCTCCCTCACGTGGCTGCGCAGGCTAAGAAAGAAGAAAATATATTTATAACTACAGGAAACAATGTACTGTGAGTGGTAAAATGCTTAAATTTCCATTTGTTTACTATACAAATAAGAGAAAATCAATACGTTCATCTTGCTAATGACATCAAGCCACTCAGTACAACTCAGAAGCCAGAAGGTCATTTCTTAAAATGCTTGTCTTTCCTCTTCCACATTTCTAATTTATTCTTTATTCTCACTCTAACTTATTTTTTTCTCCTGAATGATGTATTTTTTTTTTGCACTTTTTAAAAGTTGATTTTTCCTTAGTGTCCCAGAACCTATTTGTTTGTGGTTATGATGTTAATGTTTAGAAAGGTCAAATTAGATGTTGAGGTTGGGTAAGTGTTCATATTCTAATGGGGAAACAGAGATATGATACAAAAATTCACACCAAGAAGTGCGATATTGCGATTACAGCAAGTGCCACAAAGCAATGCAACAGGAGCTCTGGGTGAAGACAGGGGGATCTGACCTAAGGGACTGGGGAAGGCTTCCCTGTGGAAGTGATGCTGAAACTGGAAGGGTGAGAGGAACTTGCCCACCAAAGAGGCAAGGAAAGACCGTATCAAGTAGAGGAAGTAATATGTGCAAAGGCACTGTGGCAAGAGGGAATGTCACTCATGTAAGGAACTGAAGAAAGGTAGGAGTGGACAGGACATGCCGTGGCAAGGAGAGGACAGTGAAAGATGAGGCTGGAGAGACAGAAAAGGCTCAGCTCCCAAGGGGGCTTGGTGGCCAAGGTAAGGATTTGCACCCTTGCTTTGAGAGCCATGGAAAGTCACTGAAGGATTTTAAACAGTGGGCAGCGTGTTCAGATTCACATTTTGACAAGATTGTTCTAGCAATTTTTGCATGGAAAATGAATAGGAGGGGGTCTTAGTGGAAGTGGGGGTCCAGTTTGGAATTTTAGCTCTCCATTCTCAAACATTGTTCTGAAGGTCTGAGCAATTCAGTAAAACAAAAATACAAAGTAAGAGTTAGAATCAAGAAATGGAGACTACAGATTTTATGTCACACACACACACACACACACACACACACACACACACACACACACGAAAATCTATTAAAATGTAATGGGTATTAGAGTTCAGAAAAGAAGAGTCAGAATAATTATACAAATGATTTTCCTCTACACCAGGGGCCTGCAGATCTTTTCTGCAAGGGTAAGATAGTAAATATTTCCAGCTTTGCAGGCTGCAGGATTTCTGTTGCAATTACTCAACTCTGCCATTACAGCACAAAAACAGCCACAGGCAATCTGTAAATGAATGAGTGTGGCTGTGTGCTAATAAAGCTTTATTTATAAACACAGGCAGCTTGTGGGATTTGGCCTGTGGGCGCTAGTTTGCCCTGCTCTCTACCAACGAGGAAGTAATTACGGTATTCGAGGTGAGAAACAAGGCTGGATGAAGATGGTGGTGGTGGTGATGAATGATGGACATACTGAGCAGTATTTGGGAGGAAGAATTGACGCGACTTGGGTCTGGGTTGGATATAAAGAGTGAAAGAGTGGCAGGCACTGCCTAGAGTTCAGCTAAGGCAAGTGAGGATCAAACGCAGTGAAGCAGCTGCATGTGAACTAGAATCCAGGTCATCTGACAACTTGTCCACCCCTTGGGTCTGGTGTGCCTTCCCACCACAGCCACCGGCCCTCTGCCAGCCCAATCCACAGCCTTTGATCCCAGCCCTTGCAGCATCCCAGCATCCCACTGCTGCTAGGTTACAAGTGTATGGGATGCTTTCTCGAAATGCTTTTGGCCTTCATAGTCACATACAATTTCTACAGAGTTAACAACACCTTCCAGCTTTTTCCCTCACATCAGTTCCCCTGCAACAACTTGAAAATAAGTCAGGTATCAATGACAACAAATTAGCAGAGTAGACAGTCAATGCCTAACTTGATGGGGGCGAGAATAAAATTGGGGGAGGGGGTGAAATTAACCAGACAGAGCAGCTTTAGAAAGATGAGCTTGGAGTCAGGTGTCTGGAGAGGATGAGGAGCAGGGTCAAAGGCAGGAGGGGGAGAGGAAACCCAAACGGGCAGGTGCGAGGACAGTAACTTCCCAAGCTGCAGGGGAAGGCCATAGCCTGGCCCAGCAAGAGAGGGAAAGCAGTCCTGCAGCTCCAAGTGGGGTATGCACAGTCCCTTTTTACCTGCTCTTACCCTCCAGCCTCACCCTCCTCACCCAGCATCTTAAAATTCAGTCCTTGCCTCTGTCTGCAGCAACTGCACAAACCCATCCTGAACCAGGACCTAGTCCAGGAGTTGTCTGGCGAGATGGAGGAGGACCTTCACGTTGACTTGTGTCTTAGAGCCTTCAGTTGCACTTGTTCTGTGAAGGCTAACAGGCAATTAACAACCAAGACCACAGATGACAAAACGGCACTTTGTATTCCCCTCCTCACTCCCTGCAAAGAAAGGCAGGATCAAGGAGAATATAAATTACAGAAGGAGATCAGGACCAAGGAGGGAAACTGGGAAGTTAGGAAGTAGGTAAGTAGGTCACAAGGCCTTCACCTTTATATTAACAAACTACAAACATGGCTCTTTGGTGCCCAAATAGAAAAGGGGATCGTGTTTTATTCTGAAATCTCATCCATGAACAAGAGAAAACATGACAATCCTTAGAGAAGGCCAAGCTTTTCCTCTTAGCTAGTCCTCAACTAACCTGCTCAGGGTTTGGCCACACTCAGCACCTCCACTTC
Organism: Homo sapiens; assembly: GCF_000001405.40. Taxonomy (NCBI): domain Eukaryota; kingdom Metazoa; phylum Chordata; class Mammalia; order Primates; family Hominidae; genus Homo; species Homo sapiens. The sequence goes on from NC_000023.11 coordinate 19,093,190, forward strand.
CTCTTCCCAGCGTCTCCTGAACTGATTTCAATCGGGCTTTTGTGTTATTCTTATCAAGGTCATAACTTCCACCTTGGCACAATTCTCAGATCTCAGGTTACTCCTCCTCTCAGCAGTCTTGAATGGTAGATCCCACAGTCTGCAGGAAGTTGTGGCCCTTGACTGAGCCCCTCTTCTAAATGGAGGCCAGTCTGTGTGCACAAGGAGAGGATAAAGGGGAACGTTCTGAGAAGGCAAGAAACTCACATGTTCACTCCTATGCGTGGATGAACAGTGGGAGAAAACGTGCTCATGGTCATAAGAACACTGCTTTGAGGACACAAAGATGGGAGTGACTGATTCTATCTTTTGTGTGTTTGGGGAGATGGCGGGCAGGGAGCATGTAAACATGTTCTATACCAGAGAATCTGAAGATGACGGTGACCTAGAGTCTATTAAGACTTCACTAGAGTAGGACTCCTCCTCCACCCCAAAAGTTGTTTTTAATTTTTGACTAGTATCTAAGAGACCACCTCTCAAGGCTTGTTTCTGTTTTTGTTTGGTTGTTTTTTTGGTAAGGGCTTGCACCCAATAAAACATGCAAATTTCAATGACTGTGGTCACTAATGGGCACGTGTGACTTAATTTATCAAGTCAGACTATTCACAATAGCAAAGATATGGAATCAACCTAAGTGTCTATCAATGGTGGACATAAATGTGGTATGTAGGTATACACACACACACACACACACACACACACACACACACCCCATGGAATACTACCCAGCCATGAAAAAGAATGAAATCATGTCCTTTGCAGCAACATGGATGAAACTGGAGGCCATTATCTTAACTCAGAAACAGAAAGCCAAATACTGCATGTTCTTACTTATAATTGGGAGGTAAATAATGTGACATGGACATAGAGTATGGATAGATCAACATAGAGTGTGGATAGATGGATATAGAGTATGGATAGACATAGAGTATGGATAGATGGACACAGAGTATGGATAGATGGACATACAGTATGGATAGAAAGCAGGGAGGGTGAGAGGTAGGTGAGGGGTGAGAAATTACCTAACGGCTATAATGTACACTATCCTGGTGATGGTTACACTCAAAGCCCAGACTTCACCAATACACAATACCTTCATGTAACAAAGCTGCAATTGTACCTCCTAAATCTATTTTTTTTTTAATGATCAGGTCAGTTTGGGTGGTGAACAGGGATACAGCAGGCCTCAGTGACCAGGCAGAGCCCAGTGAGGTCAGGCATGGACAACGCACGCACATTGGGATGGGAAGGCCTGCTGTTAACTGGGAGAGAGAGGAGGAGGAGGTATGGGGATGACTCCCAAGGAAGGGCTTTGCCTACCTTGATGGGTTTGCTGGGCTGCGCCTCAGAAACTGGAAGTCAGTGCCATTCCCATCAGTGTTCCTACTGCCAGGAAAGTCTTGCAGTGGCTGGCTGGCCTTCCTGTTCGACTTTCTTTCCTTGCTCATCAAAACACTTTCTCTCCCAGCATCAACTCTACCTGCTCCTTCTGCTTACCACGCATTCCAGTGACTCTGCCCGGTTCCACCGGAAGCGGAGTTATTTTGGAAGGCTGGATGGTGTACGGTAGGGTGGAGGGAGCCAGAACGGGAAGCCTTGGATGGTGGAAACTCCTCTATCACCAGGGAACTTGGCTGCAGCCCCAAGCCCTGGCCTCCCACCAGAGCGGGGCCGTCCACTTTCTCCTTCTTTTTTTAGTACTATCCTCTCTGACCCGCCCAGGGCTGGGATGTTGCAGTGTGTTTTTCCAAGAGACCCGGCAAACAGCAACTTGACAGGTTCAACGGTTCCCATTGACAGCCTGAATGGACTCCTCTGAAAACTACGAAACTGGACACAAAAACAGCCCATAAAAATCCTGCCTCCCGCAGGCGTCTGGACGCTGCCTTTTCCCAAATGACCCTCCAGCAGCACGGATGCTGCATGGGTGGCTAAGCAGCATTTTTTGAGTGATTTTCCCAAAACTGGGGTGTTCCAAGTGGTGTGGGAGTATTATTTTTTCCCTTGCAGTAAGAGACTAACTCACCAGATAATTTGAGAAAACGGGAGACTACATGAGTCATGTTACTCCCAAAGCTAATCACTTGCCACTGTACCCCAAAGCCTCCATGAACCATGAGGTGCCCCGGGCCTGCCTGTTATGAGGTCTGGAACTCACTTTAATATACCGCAGGGAAGGCAGTGTGATGTTTGTGTGTGCCGGTGAGTTTAAGCTTGAACTCGATGAGTGCTCTGCAAACTTTATAGCACAAAGGCCACTCTCTCAAGGCAGCTCCTACACGTCCTTCTGCCATTGTGACCTTGACCTACAATCCACACTTCGCTAATCAGCATATCAAATGCCAAAAGCATTTTATTAGTGAAACTGGTAACTTGTTAATTAGAATGATAAATAGAATGCTGAGGAAAAAGTAAACATCAATTCTCTCATCCAAAATAAAGTAATCACATAATCTAGTCTCGGGGACAGCTGAAAAATTTTATAGTAAAAACAGTGCCGGGGAGCCAGGCGCAATGGCTCACACCTGTTATCCCAGCACTTTGGGAGGCCAAGGTGGGAGGATCACTCGAGTCCAGGAGTTGGAGTCCAGCCTGGGCAACATAGTGAGACCCTCCCCCATCTCAATAAAAAATACAGAAATTAGCTGGGTGTGGGGGCATGTGCCAGTAGCCCCAGCTACTTGGGAGGCTGAGATGGGAGGATTGCTTGAGTCCAGGAGGTTGAGGCTGCAGTGAACAAAGACTGTGCCACTGCACTCCAGCCTGGGCAACAGAGGGAGCCCTTGTCTCAAAAAATTAAATTAAAAAAATTTTTAAAGTGCAGTGTACATATAAAATGGAATATTTTAATCATCTCCCAGGTTCTCATTGGAAAGGCAGGGTTAAAAGGAAATGGACCAGGCCAGGTGCGGTGGCTCACGCCTGTAATCCCAACACTTTGGGAGGCTGAGTCAGGCGGATCACCTGAGGTCAGGAGTTTGAGACCAGCCTGGCCAACATGGTGAAACCCTGTCTCTACCAAAAATAAAAAAATTAGCCAGGCATGGTAGCATGTGCCTGTAATCCCAGGTACTTGAGAGGCTGAGGCAGGGAGAATTGCTTGAACCCAGGAGGTGGAGGCTGCAGTGAGCCAAGATTGCGCCACTGTACTCCAGCCTGGGTGACAGAGCGAGACTCTATCTAAAAAAAAAAAAAAAAAAAATCAGTATTGCAGTTAGCAATAGGTTGAAAACTACCATTTGATAGAAAAATGATTCTGCCTGGATAAAAATGTAATGTGCTCATGCAAGTAAGAACAAGTGTACAATATCTCAAAAGATCTTTTAAAACTCCCTTGCCATAAATATTACAAGCTGCTTTTGGTTATCCTATAGTACTAATGCCACATTATTGACAACATTGTCAAAGCCTTTTCACTATTACAGAAAAAAGGGAGGTGTAGGGAGGTGGTGAGGTATTTTCAGTGAGTCATGATGATAACAGCCAGTGTTTAATTGTAGCCTATCACAAGTCATGGGATAAAGTAGTTGCTGATATTTACTGCCTCCATACCTGGGATTCTTTACCCATCAAATGGGGATAAACTTCTTATTTATGTCCTAAAATTCTTATGAGTAATGAGTCAGTCAGTACAGGGAAAGTGCTTAGCAGACTTTGGCTTAGAGCACATGCTCAAAAATATTAGCTGTGAGTGTTAGTGCCATCGTTAACTGCTTCCGGGCACCAGGCACTCTGCAAATTGCTCCACATACATCTCTGTGGCTGACACTTCATGTGCTTTTCTAGAAGAGAAGAGGTCTGGCATGGGCCTGCTGCCCTTCCTGCATGTTTTCCTCCTTGGCCATGCCACTCCACCCAGCCCCTCTCTGCCTCCCCTCCTTATGCTCTTCTTTCCGCTCCCACTTGATCACAGCTGTCCCAGGAATGGAGCTAATATCACACCTGACCTCTTCGTGTGAAGGTCCTATTGAGCTTCCTCTCTCAAAAGGTATCTCTTCTTTGGCCAGGCGTTGTGGCTTACGCCTGTAATCTCAGCACTTTGGGAGGCCAAGGCGGGTGGATCACTTGAGGTCAGGAGTTCGAGACCAGCCTGGCCAACATGGCAAAACCCCATCTCTACTAAAATACAAAAATTAGCCAGGCGTGGTAGCAGGTGCCTGTAATCCCAGCTACTGGGGAGGCTGAGGCAGGAGAATCGCTTCAATCCGGGAGGTGGAGGTTGAAGTGAACCGAGATAGCGCCACTGCACTTTAGCCTGAGCAACAGGGTGAGACTCCGTCTCAAAAAAAACAAAGGCATCTGTTCTTTAAACCAACTCGGAGGACTGAATTAATGACTTATCCTTTGTTACAGGAATCCGGGGCCTGGGGGAGAAAGTGTGAATGCTATTTGAGGGACCAAGACCACATTTTGGAGGTTCATTCTCTCGCAGCTGAGGACCTTATACTGGGTCATCTCCTCCCCACCCCGGCCCCGGTGGCAGGACACCCTCACTGCATCGAGGGTGAGCGTACTCTGCTGTGCTCAGGCACCTTCCCATTCAACAAATATTTATTAAGTAAATACCATGTGCTAGGCACTACGGGAGGTGCTAGGAGTGCAGTGGTGAACAAGACACACACAACTGTGCCCTTTTGGGTTGTACGTGCCAGTGCGGCATTCAAACAAATAAAAACGCAAATGGATCAATCTGTGAAACACTGACAGTTTTAAAGAGAGCTATAAAGCAAACACATAAGAAGATGAATTATATCAATGATGCAAAAAGCAACTTGCTCAATATTACAAAGAAAGTTAGCAATTCAAAGGAATGTCACACATGATAATTTCTATTAAGATGCTCATTTTGGCAGGCGCCAGGCCAATGCTTTGCCACCGTGCCAGAAAGCTAACTGCAAGTGAGGGAACATGCCTTTTCACTCAATTTCTCTTCTATGTTTTTTTTTTCCTTTACTTCTAGAGATGGGACTAGGCTAGACCAGTGTGTTTATATTTCCTCCTAGGCCAGCTTCAGATGAAAATGTGTAGGAAAAATCTCCTTTTAAAGGAATCAAAATAATACTTAGAGAACATAGTAAACTGTCATTTGCTTGTAAGCTGTTTAGCTAAAGTTATATGGTTAGATTAGAAAATGTACTCCCTCTAGAGGTGGGGTAAAATTGCTGTATTCTTGATACACAGCAAAATGCCAACTGGAGGGGGGACCATGGGTGGGCTGAATTTTTTACTGGGTTTTTCTGTAATTTCTGAAAATGTAATGATAAAGATACATTTTTTTAAAACATAAAAATAAATATTCTCACAGGCATAGCAGATTTTGTAGGATTTTTTTTTTATCCAAGTAACAGCAAAACAGAACCACATCAGTAGTAGCTCAGTAAAACCTGTATGTTAGTAATAACTATAAAGCAAACACATAAAGCAGAGAAGTGGATATGAAGTGTGTTGGAGGTGGGGGAGGTAGCAATTTTAGAGAGGTGTCCTGTGACACCATCATGAGAAGATGACATCTGAGCAAAGCTGCTAAGGGAGGTCAGGGAGTGAGCCAGAAGGCACTGCCACACAGAAGATGAATCCTCAATCACCTATTAACCCAGATAAGCAAAATTGCTCCAGACAGAAATCAGTTCAGACTTAATGGGACAAAGCAATGGGTCAGAAGAAAATTAAGTGAGGCCAGGTACAGTAGCTCATGCCTATAATCCCAGCACTTTGGGAGGCCAAGGCAGGTAGATCACTTGAGGTCAGGAGTTCGAGACCAGCCTGGCTAACATGGTGAAACCCCATCTCTACTAAAATACAAAAATTAGCCAGGCGTGGTAGCAGGCGCCTGTAATCCCAGCTTCTCTGGAGGGTAAGGCAGGAGAACTGCTTGAACCCAGGAGGTGGAGGTTGCAGTGAGCTGAGATCGCGCCACTGCACTCCAGCCTGGGCGATAGAGCGAGACTCCATCTAAAAAAGTTAAAAAAAAAAAAATTAAGTGATGGGCTGGCATGGCCTTGACAAGAAACAACAGCCAAAGTCTAGCAAATGCTTCCTACAGCATGGATTGAACTGCTTTATTTGTATTAACTTGCTTTATTTGTATTAACTCACTTAATCTCTGCAACGACCCTGGTTAGGGCATGCACATAATTTAATGTCCAAATGGGGGTATGTGAGAGTAAAATGGGGCACTATTGATTAATGTGGAAAAAACAGGCATAAATCAGAGCTGCCTTGGCAAAACCAAGATACAGCACCACCTGACCTAGAAGGCATACAATTATGACTGCTTTACAGACAAGGAAACTGAGGCAGGGCACAGAGAGGTTAAATAACTTGCCTGATGTCACAAAGGTAAGTGGCAGAACAAGCATTTGAACTTGGGCTGCTGAGCTTCTGAGCCCACATTCGTGACACCTACACGTGATTGCCTATCTGTGTTTCATGTGCTTAGAAGCTCGTCACGCTAAAAACCTGGGTTGTATTTGTCACTGGAAAGTAGAAAACGCACCAGCTTTTAGAGTTGAACACCAGCATTAGGCCAGGCACAGTGGCTGATGCCTGTAATCCCAACATTTTGGGAGCCTGAGCTGAAAGGATCCCTTGAACCCAGGGATTTGAGACCAGCCTGGGCAACATAGAGAAACCCCATCTCTACAAAAAATTCAAAAATTAGCTGGGCATGGTTGTGTATGCCTGTGGTTCCAGCTACTTGGGAGGCTGAGGTGGGAGGATCACTTGAGCCCAGGAGGTTGAGGCTGCAGTGAGCCATGATCATGCCACTGCATCCAGCCTGGACAACAGAGCAAGACCCTGTCTCAAAAAAACACCAAAAAACACGACCACTTTACAAGGTCAGCAACCCTGGACAACCATAATAACCCCTTCAAGCCTCAGTTGAGTCACCTGTAAAACAAAGCTACTGAGACCTACCTCATAACAAACACTACTTCAACACTCAGATGACATCGTGTTCCTGACAACGCTTTAGAAGCTGAAAAGCACAACATGGGTAGAATCCTCAAAAGTTATCATAGGTAAAAATCTGCATTTCCTCTGCAAAGGGTCAAATAGTAAATATTTTCTGTAAAAGGCCAAATATGAACTATTTTAGGCTTTGCAGCCAAAATGGTCTCCATTGCAATGACTGAACTCTGCTGTTGCAATGCAAAAGCAGCCATGGAAAACATGTAAGTGAATGAGCGTGACTCTGTTCCAATAAACCTTCATTTACAGAAACAGATGGAGGGCCTTGGGCCATGGTTTGCCAACCCCTGGCCTAGAAAAATGCTATATAAAATTGCAACCCCTCACGGCTTCCTGTGCCTCTTTCCCAAGATTCATTTTCCTCCACAGACACCACCTAACACCATCTAACTGACCGTGTATTTTACTCAAATACCGTCTGCTTCACTCACTGGAAGATAAGCTTCTTTGCCGAAGGCAGAAGTTTTGTCTGCTTGGTTTACTGTTGAGTCCCCAGTGCCTGCAAAAGTGCCTGGCACATACTAGGGATGTTATAAACATATGTGAAAAGAATGCATGGCTGAATGAATGGAGAGGTTTTGAAAGAGTTGGACATACTATTGGGAAAGGAAGGCAAATCTATGCCAAGTAAAAAAGGAAACAGAAAGATAACGACATCTGAAAACGGGAAGAAAAGCGATGGCAAATGAAAGCAAACTCAGCTTTGCGATTCCTCGCGGGCAAAGGGTAAAAGGATTATTTGCAAAACCAATTTTGTGAGTTGTGAACATATGGAAGAACTAGAGCTTTATAAAACAATTTCCAAAGTTAAGTGGTTAAAATCTAAAGGAATTATTGGTTGGATTAAGATTTAGTTATGAGAATAGCTTGAGGTGTGTTTCAAATCAACTAATCATGAGATTGTGTGTGTGTGTGTGTGTGTGTGTGTGTGTGTGTGTGTGTGTAATTCCTGCTCTTCCCCCACCCTGGCAACTGTGAGTTCAGTTGTTCTCTGGGAGTGGTTTGTGGATAAAGCAAAGGAAGAAAAATGAGCTAGAGCTACATGTAGCCAAGAGAATCAATCTCACAAAAATAGTATTAAATGAGATGAAAGTTGCAAAATGTGAAAGTAAAAAACACACCAATCTTATAAAGCTTAAAAGGCATGCGAGTAGCATTCTCTCTTGCTTAAGGACATATTCCTATGTAGGAAAATATAAAGAAATGTATTAGAAGGATAGCCAGGCACGGTGGCTCACGCCTGTAATCCCAGCACTTTGGGAGGCCGAGGTGGGCGAATCACTTGAGTCTAGGAGTTCGAGACCAGTCTGGGCAACATGGTGAAACTCTTTCTCTACAAAAAATACAAAAATTAGCCGACCCTAGTGGTGTGCACCTGTAGTCTCAGCTACTTGGGAGGCTGAGATGGGAGGATCATTTGAGCCTAGGAGGCCAAGGCTGCAGTGAGCTGGGATGGAGCTACTGCACTCCAGCCTGGGCCATAGAGTGAGACGCAATCTCAAAAAAAAAAAGAAATGTATGAGAAAGATAAACAACAGTTTCAGGATAGTGCTTACCTTTATGCACTTTTGAAAACTGATGCAGGGCCAAAGTTAAGCACCTCCAGCTGTTACCCCATTAATGGTACAGGTTCAAAGGGGATGGAATTCCACATGCAGCACATACTGAACCAGCAGTGACCCACCCTCAACAGGTCCCCAAGAGCAAAGGCCATACAGGAGTCAGACCCACGTGCCTGATTTCCTGACCCAGTGTTCTGATTGCCTGAGCTAATTATCCACAAGCAGCTGTTCCCAGCAATAACAAGCCATAAGAAGTGGCTCGCTTTACTTCAGGTACCATTTGGATGTTAGTAGGGGAGGAAGATGAAGTATTGCGGTGAAAATATTGCCGGGTGTGGTGGCTCACACCTGTAATCCCAGCACTTTGGGAGGCCAAGGCAGGCAGATCACTTGAGCCCAGGAGTTCAAGACCAAAGTGCTGGGATTACAGGTGTGAGCCACCACGCCCGGCCTGGACTCCCTCTTTAAAAGGCAATGTCTTTCACATCACTCATAGATGCAAAAAAGCAAGATGAAGGACTCATTTCTCTTATTTTAAGGGGTATTTTGCAGGAACTGATATGAACATAACTCTGAGGACTAGGACAGGCCTTGGCAAAGTTAACAAGCCCACCTCACTTGAAGAAAATCAATTTCCTCTTTAGTACTCTTTGTGTCTTCTAGGTGGGGGCCATTCCCAACTTGTAGGTGCCCAGTGACCTCATACTTTTTCACTGGCTCTCAGGAGAAGGCCTCGCATGGAGGCCCATCGACCAGGTTCTGTGCTCATTTAAATTATAACACTTTAAACCAAGGAAATGAATCTCTAATTGTGGAATTTCAGATTTCAGCCAGATCAACAGATGAGATACTGGTGGGGGTGGGGAGATGGGGGTGGAGTCATGCACAGTTATTGCTGTGGACTTGTGTGTCCCTCCTGCCAAATTCATATTTTGAAGCCCTAACCCCCAGGGTAACCTGTCTCTCCCTCTCCCTCTCCCTCCCCGCTTCCCCCACCTCTCTCTGCCAACTGAGGACACAGTGAGAAGGCAGCTGTCTATAAACCCAGAAGAGGGAACTCACCAGAACCTGACCATGCCAGCATCTTGATCTTGGACTTCTCGGCCTCCAGAATTAAGAGAAATAAATTTCTGTTGTTTAGACCACTCAATCTATGGTATTTTGTTCTGGCAGCCCAAGTTGACTAAGAAAGTTACAGGGTAGTGTCAGAGGCATTTGAGCCAGAGTGACTCCATCTTGAATAGGGACTGGGTAAAATAAGGCTGAGACCTGTTGGGCTGCATTCACAGGAGGTTAGGCATTCTTAGTCACAGGATGAGACAGGAGGTCGGCACAAGATACAGGTCACAAAGACCCTGCTGATAAAACAGGATGCGGTAAAGAGGCCAGCCAAAATGCACCAAAAACCAAGATGACGACAAAAATGACCTCTGGTTGTCCTCACTGCTCATTATACGCTAATTATAATGCATTAGCATGCTAAAAACACTCCCACCAGCGCCATGACGGTTTACAAATGCCATGGCAACATCAGGAAGTTACCCTTTACAGTGTAAAAAGGGGAGGAACTCTCAGTTCCGGGAATTCCCTGCCCCATCCCAGAAAACTCACGAATAATCCACCTCTTGTTTAGCATATAATCAAGAAATAACTCTAAGTATTCTCAGTCGAGCAGCCCATGCCACTGCTCTGCCTACGGAGCAAACATTCTTTATTCCTTTACTTTCTTAATAAACTTGATTTCACTTTACTCTATGGACTTGCTCCTAATTCTTTCTTGTATGAGGTCCAAGAACCCTCTTTTGGGGTCTGGATCGGGACCTCTTTTAGTAACAGTAGCAGTCACCTAGCCATCCACCCTTATTGTTTTAATAGATGTTTTAACATTAAAGCTAGCCCTGTTGATACCACGTGTACTCTCAAAATACCAAATCCAAAGGACTAAGTGTCTAATTAGGACCCCCAAGATGCCCAAACAGAGAAACAGGAGTCTGGCCTGGGGGCAGCACAGCCTGGCAGAGGTATGCAAAACTGTGAGACATCCAGGACAGTGTGCCCAGTGAGGCCACCCTCCCAAACATCTCTGCCTGCTGTGGGTTCCAAAGATGAGACAAACCATAGAATGGGGAATTTCAAATACAAGGTCTTGAGGGGAAAAGGCTGGGTCCTATCACACGTCTGAACATATAGAGGGGCCCAGGCAGCCCTAAAATCCCCTAAAATGCACTAAGAGGCATAGATTGTGCCAAGGTTCAGATCCACTTCAGTCTGGGGAAGAAGGCAGGAGGAGGAGAAAGCTGAGGACATGGCTAAGAGGAGCAGTGACCATCGATGCAAAGCTTCGGAAACGGATGTAGGTAGGCCCTTGAAACTGAGTGTCAGGGGCTCTGTTCTGTAAAGGTCTGAGAAGGACTCCTCATCCCAAGAGGCTATGCAGAGAACCCACCACAGAGAAACTCAGTGAGGGAGGCCTGTGGAAGGGAGTTGGCTGCAGCCAGGATGTGGTTTGTAGGAGCCCCCGGGATGTGATCAAGCTTCTGAGGCAGAACTCAGAGATACACCCTCTGGGTACAGGTCAAAAAGACCTGAACTAGCTTGACTGGGGTGTCCAGAAAATCAACTCTGTTGACCAGATCCCAAAACAGCCCGGGAACAGAGAAGCATTCTCTCCATTATCAGGCTTATTTCCAGCCATCTGACTGTTTGGTGTCACGCAGACAAAATATCTAGATACTGGTGAGATGCCCCTCAGAAGAAACCCCATGGGGCTCCCCCTTTTTTTATAATAGGATTTTATTAAAATTAACAAAAGGAATTCCTGACTGTTGACCAGTTTTGCCTTAGTTGGGTTCCTTCAGAAGGTAACTCTGCTGGGTGTGGTGGCTCATGCCTGTAATCCCAACATTTTGGGAGACCAAGGTGGGTGGATCACTTGAGTGAGGCCAGGAGTTGAAGACCAGCCTGGTCAACATGGTGAAACCCCGTCTCTACTAAAAATACAAAAATTAGCTGGGGGTGGTGGCGGGTGCCTGTAGTCCCAGCTACTTGGGAGGCTGAGGGAGCAGAATCGCTTGAACCCGAGAGGTGGAGGTTGCAGTGAGCCAAGATCACACCACTGCACTCTCGTCTAGGTGATAGAGCGAGACTCTGTCTCAAAAAAAAAAAAAAAAAAAAAAAAAGTAACTCCAAGGCTGGGCGTGGTGGCTCATGCCTGTAATCCCAGCACATTAGGAGGCCGAAGTAGGCAGATTGCTTGAGGCCAGGAGTTCGAGACCAGCCTGGCCAACATAGTGAAACCCCGTCTCTACTAAAAATACAAAAATTATGTGTTTTGTATTTCTTCTTCCTTCTTTCTTTTTCTGCTGCTGCTGCTTCTTCGAGATGGAGTCTTCCCATATTGCCTAGGCTGGTCTTGAACTCCTGGGCTCAAGCAATCCTTCTGCCTCAGCCTGAGTGTTATTCTCTTTGACTCATCCATGAAAGTGGATCCAATGTGTCTATGTATATTTTTTAAATTAAACTTTTATTGTAGTACAAATTATACACAAGGCCATCAGCAGTAGAAAGGATAAACCATGGTAGTCATGCAGTGGAATATTATTTGGCAGTGACAATCATCCAACTATAATTAGTTGCTATTTAGGCCATGTTAAATAGGCCTTTGCAGGGACATGGATGAAGCTGGAAACCATCATTCTCAGCAAACTAACACAAGAACAGAAAACCAAACACCACATGTTCTCACTCATAAGTGGGAGTTGAACAATGAGAACACATGGACACAGGGAGGGGAACATCACACACGGGGGCCTGTAGGGGGATGGGCGGCTAGGGGAGGAAAAGCACTAGAAGAAATACCTAATGTAGGTGATGAGTTGATGGGTGCAGCAAACCACCACGGCACGTGTATACCTATGTAACAAACCTGCACGTTCTGCACATGTACCCCAGAACTTAAAGTATAATAAAAAAAATTTTTTTAAATACAAAAATTAGCTGAAATACCCCGTCTCTACTAAAAATACAAAAATTAGCATGGTGGCGTGCACCTGTAATTCCAGCTACTGGGTTGGGAGAATCACTTGAACCTGGGAGGCGGAGGTTGCAGTGAGCCAAGATCGCACCACTGCACTCCAGTCTAAGCGACAGAGCGAGACTCTGTCTCAAAAAAAAAAAAAAAAAAAAAAAGAAGAAGAAGAAGAAGGTAACTCTTTGGCACATATTCGAGATAAGTAGTTTATCTGGGCTGTGACCCCAGGAAACACAGATAGAATGGACACGTGAGTTGGGGCAGGAAGGCAGCCAATAGATGGCGTTATCAAGCCAGTCACCACTGGGGGCAATGGGAGTTTAGTCCTTCTGGGGAATTCTGGGAGCCAGTGTAGAACACCGGTCTGAATTATCCCACTTGAGGGTATGGATCCACTGACTTGCATCAGGCATTGGTTGAAGGCTGCTCCTGGGGTGGGGTGGGAGCTGTTAATTCCCTGGCACTTCCAACCTGCAGCATGGATGTGTAAAGAGGGCCCCCACAGAGAAATGTGCAGCTCGTGGCTGGAAGGTGACTGGTGTGTACTATAATGGTGGGGCCAGGGATGTTGAAACAGACACCTAGTTGCTCTGGAATGAATGAGGAAGTGTGCGATAGTGAAGCCAGGAGAAAAAAGAGTGGCTTAATGCCTGCCCCACCCCACTCCTTTCTCCATGTCAGTATCTGGGATAGTGTGTGTTTGTGTGTGTGTGTGTGTGTGTTTCGGTTTGGCGTGTGTTTGAGGTTAGTGGTTTTTCTTCAGGTGTTATGAGATATTTGAGGAGAGTCCAGGTGAGGGAGATTTGAAAGAAGTTGCTATTCCAGGTTAAAAAAAGAGCACTGCGGCTGGGTGCAGTGGCTCACGCCTGTAATCCCAGCACTTTGGGAGGCCGAGGTGGGCAGATCGCTTGAGGCCAGGAGTTCGAGACCAGCCTGGGCAACATGGTGAAACCCCGTCTCTACTAAAAATACAAAAATTAGCTGGGCGGTGGTGGCGGGCACCTACAATCCCAGCTACTCGGGAGGCTGAGGCATGAGAATCACTTGAACCCGGGAGGTGGAGGTTGCAGTGAGCCGAGATCATGCCACTGCACTCCAGCCTGGGTGACAGAGTGAGACTCTGTCTCAAAAAAAAAAGAAGAGCCCTGGGCTTTGTCTGCTGCTTTAATGCAGGCTACACACAACCTGGTTCTGCCGGCAGTGCTGAGAGGACAAGCCCAGAGGGGTACTTGGGAGAGCTGTTTATCATCCATCAGTGGGCAACGGGCAAATGCTCCATATAATCCCCAGGAACATGGAGGCAGCTATGTTCTAAAGCTTCGCTACTCAAAGTGCAGCTCCCCCGCCCCAACAGCAGCATCACCTCACCTAGGAGCTGCAATGCAGAAATCT